>NC_000019.10:45422692-45725722 GCF_000001405.40 Homo sapiens | reverse complement strand
TGGCTCTATTGCCCAGGTTGGAGTGCAGTGGTACAGTCTCGGCTCCCTGCAACCTCTACCTCCCGGGCTCAAGCCATCCTCCCACCTCAGCCTTCCAAGTAGCTGGGACTGCAGGCGCACACCACCATGCCCGGCTAATTTTTAAAAAAATTTTTGTAGAGACAGGGTTTTGCCATGTTGCCTAGGCTAGTCCTGAACAATGAGACTCAAGCTGTCGACCTGCCCAAACTGCTGGGATTACAGGTGTGAGCCACCGCACCTGGCCCACAAGTGTTTTAGTTATTTATTTATTTGTTCATTTATTTTTTGAGACAGGGTCTGGCTCTGTTGCCCGGGCTGGAATGCAGTGGCACTATCTTGGCTCACTGTGACTTCCACCTCCTGATCTTACGCCATCCTCTCACCTCAGCCTCCAAAATAGCTGGGACTACAGGGGCATGCCACCACACCTGGCTAATTTTTGTAATTTTTGTAGAGATGAATAATACATGCTGCCAAGGCTGGTCTCGATCTCCTGAGCTCAAGTGATCTACCCACTTCAGCCTTCCAAAGTGCTAGAATTACAGGGTTGAGCCACCGCAGCCTATTTATTTATTTAGAGACAGGGCCTGTCTCTGTTGCCCAGGCTGGAGTACAGTGGTGCAGTCACAGCTTACTGCAGCCTCAAGCTCCTGGCCTCAAGTGATCCTCCTGCTTCAGCCTCCAGAGTATCTGGGACTGCAGGTGCTTGCCACCATGCCCAGCTAATTAAAAAAAAAATTTTGTTGTTGATGGGGCACAGTGGCCTCATGCCTGTAATCCCAGCACTTTGGGAGGCCTACATGGGCAGATCTCTTGAGGTCAGGAGCTTGTGACCAGCCTGGCCAACACGGTGAAACCCCATCTCTACTAAAAATACAAATTAGCCAGGCGTGGTGGCGTGTGCTTGTAGTCCCAGCTACTCGGGAGGCTGAGGCACAAGAATCACTTGAACCCCAGGAGGCGGAGGTTGCAGTGAGCTGAGATTGCACCACTGCACTCCAGCCTGGGTAACGAGCAGGCCTCCGTCTCGAACAGAAAAAATAAGAAATTTTTTTTTTGTAGAGACAGGGTCTTGCTATATTGCCCAGGCTGCTCTCAAACTCCTGGACTCAAGTGATCCTCCCACTTCGGCCTCCCAAAGTGCTGGGTTACAGGCATGAGCCACAGAGCCCAGCCCACAAGTGTTAATAGAGCACTTACCATGTGCCAGCGCCTGTATTGGGTGCAGACTCGACCCTGCCATTGGGGAACTTGCTGTTGTCATAATGGTAGGGCAGTTCTGCAAGTATGCGAGCATTTGTGCTCATTTTCAAGTTTGGGTTTCTCTATTCCCAATTCATTTTCAGCCCCTTATGCCAGCTTGGCCTGCTTGTCACTGCTTTCATGGATTTTTTAACATTCTGTCTCCAGCCCTCATTGAATTATCTGAAAACCTATTGGTTTGGGGAAAAGTTGCCAGTCTCTCACTTGTCCCTGATCCTATGTGTCACATCTGGCCACCCTGGGGTGATCTGACACTTTTTTGTTTTCCGTTGCCTTCATTTATTTGTCTTAGAGCATTTGTCTGCTTTCCAAGTTATTTTGCCTTTTCTTGAAATCTTAAATTTGTTTTCAGCCTGTGCTTGTCTGAAGCTTACTCATACAAAATGGTATTTTTACCATCTTTATTTCAAAACCTGTGACATGTACTAGGAAACGAAGAAAAAAATTGTATTTTTTACCACGTTTAATGATGTATTTCTAACTGCTATGGTAAAGCTGTCTTACTCCTAAAAGCACAAGTTTTCTTTTTTTTTTCTTGAACTCCTGAGATCAGGAGTTCAAGACCAGCCTGGCCAACATGGTGAAACCCTGTCTCTACTAAAAATACAAAAATTAGCTGGGCGTGGTGGCGCACGCCTGTAGTCCCAGCTACTCGGGAGGCTGAAGCAGAAGAATTGCTTGAACCTGGGAGGCAGAGGTTGCAGTGAGCTGAGATCATGCCACTGCACTCTAGCCTGGGTGACAGAGTGAGACTGCGTCTAAGAAAAAAAAAGAAGAATTAGTTGGGCTTGGCGGCCAAGGAGGTTGAAGCTACATTGAGCTGTGACAGAACCACTGCACTCCAGCCTGGGTGACAGCGTGAGATCATCTCAAACAAAAAGCAAAACAAAACAAAAATAAAATGAAAAAGCCAGAGTGCCCAGCTTTGAGTCCTGGCTTCACCTCTCATCAGCTGTGTGACCTAGGGTAAGTAATTTGATCCCGTTGGACGTCAGTTTCCTCCTCTGGAAAATTAGCGTTCATTCCCTAAGTAATCCACAAGTGTTTCATTCATTTATTTACTTAGAGACAGGGCCCACCTCTGTTGCCCAGGCTGGAGTGCAGTGGCATGATCATAGCTCACTGCAGCCTCACACTCCTGGGCCCAGCGGATTCTCCTGTCTCAGCCTCCCCGAGTAGCTGGAACTACAGGCTCATGCCACCATGCTCAGCCAATTTAAAAAATTATTTTAGAGATGTGGTCTCACTTTGTTTCCCAGGCTGGTCTTGATCTCCAAGGCTCAAGCGATCCTTCTGCCCTGGCCCCCCAAAGTGCTGGGATTAAGGCATGAGTCACCACCCACAGCCTTCACTTTCAATTTTTATGTTTAATTATTTATTTTTTTGAGATGGAGTCTCCCTCTGTAGCCCAGTCTAGAGTGCAGTGGCACAATCTCAGCTCACTGCAACCTCCACCTCCCAGGTTCAAGCGATTCTCCTGCCTTTGCCTCCCGAGTAGCAGGGATTATAGGCGCCTGTCACTATGCCCAACTAATTTTTTGTATTTTTAGTAGAGACAAGGTGTCACTATGTTGGCCAGGCTGGTCTCATCCTGACCTCAAGTGCCCGCTTCAGCCTCCCAAGGTGCTGGGATTACAAGCATGAGTCATCACACCCAGCCCACTTTTTTTTTTTTTTGAGACGGAGTCTGGCTCTGTCGCCCAGGCTGGAGTGCAGTGGCGCAATCTCGGCTCACTGCAAGCTCCGCCTCCCGGGTTCACGCCATTCTCCTGCCTCAGCCTCCTGAGTAGCTGGGACTACAGGCGCCCGCCACCACACCCAGCTAATTTTTTGTATTTTTAGTAGAAACGGGGTTTCACCGTGTTAGCCAGGATGGTCTCGATCTCCTGACCTTGTGATCCGCCTGCCTGGGCCTCCCAAAGTGCTGGGATTACAGGTGTGAGCTACGCCTCAGTGCCAAACTGGTACCAGGTGCTCTGCTGGGTTTGTTTCAGCGGATGGTCAGCCAGCCCATGGGTGGATGCTGTCATTATTGCCATTTTACAGTGGGGGAAACTGAGGCACATGGGGCTGAAAAACCTGCCTGAGGTCATACTGCCAGAGGTGGGAAAGCTGGGATCCAGCAGGCCCTGTCTGGTTCCTGTCTGCTTCCAGGATCTCAGGGCTTGGATGATTCCTGCCTTCAGGGACCATTAGTCAGAAAGGAAAACTTAAAAGGGAGGGGACCCAGTGGACTCTAAGGCCAACAAGCCATGGGTGAGGTATGGATGAGTCAGGATTCTGGACAAAGGAGCAGCAGGGTAGGGCATAGAAGGAACAGGGACCGGGCGCGGTGCATCATGCCTGTAATCCCAGCACTACGGGAAGTGGGTGGATCATCTGAGATCAGGAGTTCAAGACCAGCCTGGCCAACATGGTGAAACCCTGTCTCTACTAAAAATACGAAAATTAGCCGGGCATGGTGGCAGGTGCCTATAATCCCAGCTACTCAGGAGGCTGAGGCAGGGGAGGTGGAGGTTACAGTGAGACGAGATCGTGTTACTGCACTCCAGCTTGGGCAACAGCACGACTCCATCTCAAAAAAAGAAAAAAAAAGGGTGGGGTGGTGCCGGGCGTGGTGGCTCACGCCTATAATCCCAGCACTTTGGGTGGATCACGAGGTCAGGAGACCGAGACCATCCTGGCTAACATGGTGAAACTCTACTAAAAATATAAATAATTAGCCGGGTGTGGTGGCGGGCGCCTGTAGTCCCAGCTACTTGGGAGGCTGAGGCAGGAGAATTGCTTGAACCCACGAGGCAGAGGTTCGAGTGAGCCGAGATCGTGCCACTGCACTCCAGCCTGGGTGACAGAACAAGACCCTGTCAAAAAAAAAAAAAAAAAAAGGAACAGGACCAGGAACGAAACCCTGGTGTCCTGCCACCAATTCCCATGTAACTGGGCAAGTGCCTTGTGCTGGGTGTGACCCTGGCCCTGTGATGGGGAGCGGGGTCATCTGACTAGGGGTGGGGATGGGGAAGTGGGGTGGGGTCAGACATCTACGCTTTACCATTTATCATTATTTTTCCATTCTTTCTTTCTGTTTTGGTGTTTTTGAGCCAGGGTCTCGCTTTGGCACCCAGGCTGGAGTGCAGTGGCAAAATCTCAGCTCACTGCACCCTCCACTTCCGGGCTCAAGCGATCCTCCCACTTCAGCCTCCCGAGTAGCTGTGACTGCAGGCACATGCTGGCTAATTTTTGTATTTTTAGTAGAGACGGGGTTTTGCCATGTTGCCCAGGCTGGTCTCAAATTCATTGGCTTAAGCGATCTGTCTGCCTCGGCTTCCCAAAGTGCTGGGATTACAGGCGCGAGCCACCACACGTGGCCTATTTTTCCTTATTTGTTTGGTTTATTCTGTTGTTTTTTTCCCCGCTTCACTTCTTTTTTTTTTTTTTTTTGGCTGAGAGTCTTGCTCTGTCACCCAGGCTGGAGTGCAGTGGTGCAATCTCGGCTCATTGCAGCCACGCCTCCTGGGTTCAAGCAATTCTCCGATTCTCCTGTCTCAAGCTCCTGAGTAGCTGGGATTACAGGAGCCTGCCACCACATTACAGGTGTGAGCCACTGCGCCCAGCCAGGATGATGTTTATATTGTAGTTTAGACCTTGAGCTCTGGAGTCAGCTGATCTTTGATTCTAAGTTCTGACTTGGTGTGGTTGCTCCTGCCTGTAGTCCCAGCACTTGGGGAGGCCAAGGTGGAGGATTGCTTGAGTTCAAGAGTTCAAGACTGGCCTAGGCAACATAGTGAGACCTCATCAGTACAAAAAAATGTAAAAATTAGCTGGGCGTGCTGGTATACACCTGTGGTTTCAGCTCCTCAAAAGGCTGGGATAGGCTGGGCACAGTGGCTCACACCTGTAATCCTAGCACTTTGGGAGGCTGAGGCGGGTGGATCACTTGAGGTAAGGAGTTCAAGACCAGCCTGATCAACATGGTGAAACCCTGTCTCTACTAAAAATACAAATATTAGGCCAGGTGCAGTGGCTCACGCCTGTAATCTCAACACTTTGGGAGGCCAAGGTGGGGTGGATCACCTGAGGTCAGGAGTTCGAGACCAGTCTGGCCAACATGGTGAAACTCCATCTCTACTAAAAATGAAAAAATTATCTGGACATGGTGGCGCACACCTGTAGTCCCAGCTACTTGGGAGGCTTAGGCAAGCAAATCGCTTGAACCGGGAGGCAGAGGTTGCAGTGATTGCAGTGAGCCGAGATCGCACCGTTACACTCCAGCCTGGGCAACAGAGCAAGACTCCGTCTTAAAAAAAAAAACAAAAAAGAAGGCAGCTGAGATGGGAGGATCACTTGAGCCCAGGAGATTGAGGCTGCGTTGAGGCGAGATTGCACTCCAGCCTGGGTGACAGTGAGACCATCTCAGAAAACAACAAAAAACAAAACACACACTCACAAAAACAGAGTTCTGCTACAAAGCTATAAATGAGGGCAATTACTTAGCCATTCTCTGCCTCAGTTTCCTTATCTTCAACACGAAATTAAAAATAGGAGATAGAAGAATCAAACAAGTTCATATTTGTAGAGTGCTCGAGTATTGACTGCTGTTGTGATTATCATTTTCTAATATATTCATGTTGGTTCTGACTGTTTGTTTGGATGTCTGACCCCTTTCCCATGAGCCATTCCTGGGGAGCTCAGTGTCACCTGTGTGTTCCAGCGCCCAACAATGGCCAGCATGCAGGACCACAGTGAATGTCAGAGACAAGTTTTTGCAAATGCACCATGTATGTATGTATGCTAGGGATGTAAATATGTGGATTATTTAATTGTTGGGGGCATTCAACCAAGGGTGTAGATTGAGTGGTTCAGGTCCTTACTAATTTTCCCAAGCAGTCTTTTCTTAGAAATATGTTGTTTTCCCATATCAATTGTGGATTTAACAAACTTTCCCTTGTCATTTGTAAGTTTATGGCTGTCATGTGTAGAGATGGTCGTTTTTTGCTTTATCTATTTGGAAGCCATAGTATTTGGATCATGTATGTTGAGAACTTTTGTGTATAATGGGTCACTTCCACCTCCCTCCCCCAGCCCTAGGGACTCATGTAGAGAAGTAAATAATTGGTCATTTTGTTTCGTCATCATCCATTGCTTTTGTCAGTTTATTTATTTTTTATTTATTTAATTTATTTTTAATTTAATTTAAGACAGTCTCGTGCTGTCACCCAGAGTGGAGTGCAGTGGCCTGATCTGAGCTCACTGCAGCCTCTACCTCCTGGGCTCAAGCAATCCTCCCACCTCAGCCTCCTGAGTACTTGGGACTACAGGCACGTGCCACCACACCCTGCTAATTTGTGTATTTTTTGTAGTGATGGGGTTTCACCATGTTGCCCAGGCTGGTCGCAGACTCCTGAGCTCAAGGGATTGTGTCCCCCCTCTGCCTCCCAAAGTGCTGGGATTACAGGTGTGAGCCACCGTGCCTGGCCAAGTTTTTTTTTTTTTTTTTTTAAGGGGTAATGTTACTCCTCTACTTGTCTCTTGGTTCGTGTTTTCCCAGCCAGTTTTTTGCCGTCTTTTGATTTTCCATATTTTTGGTTCACAATGTTTTACAATGAATAGATTTTCATGGAGTAGTTGCTGAAGGCTGACCTAGTGTAGGGCCTTATGCTGGGCTCAGTGTGGGGGAGTTAGAAGATCCTGTCTCAGGCCTGGAGAGAGACCCACCCCAGACGATGACCCAGAGTAGGCAGGGAAGAGGGAACCCAGAGGTCCCCTCTGGGCAGGTGGGTGATTTCCAGGAAGGGAGTTGGAGAAGGCCTCTCTAATAAAACTGCATTTGAACACAGACCTGAATGAAGTAAGGAATTGAGCCTTGCAGAGGGGGAATGTATTGCAGTTGGTGGGAACAGCAAATGCAGAGACCAGGGAAGGCAAGAGCCCGGTAACTTTGAGGAATAGACAGCAATGAGCCCACCGCATGGACGCCCTGGGTGAAGCCTGACCTGGCCTAGGGGGATTGGGGGTGTCAGCTTCTTAGAGGAGGGGTGGTCGAGCTGAAACCCCAGGGAATATATAGTGAAACAGTAGGGCACAGTGACTAGGAAATCAGATTCCCTGGCTTCATATCCCTGCTCCAGCTCACACTCCAGCTCTGTGTGACCTTGTGGTCAGGAGACCTGCCCTGCGTCAGTTTCTTCATCCATACCGTGGAGACGATCACTCCTACCGGGGATCAGATGGGTCCTGAGTATTCTATGTATGCCAGATCAGGTGCCCACCAGGGTGCACTGGGGTATTGCCTGCGGGGCGGAGGAGTGGGGAGGGATGCGACTGGACAGGTGGGGTACCTGGGTGTTTTCCAGAGGGCACTGGGGAGCCATGGCAGGTTCTCACCAGGATAGGGACGGGTTCAGGTTTATAGGACTGTGCTTTAACAGGACTTTTCTGGCTGCTCTTTTGTACTAAGTGAGGCAGGTTTGGGGCGCCTGTTTGGAAAGGCTGAACTGGCAGCTCCGAATGGCTACACGGCTTGAGCCTTGAACGCCAGGCCTAGAGGCTTGTTTTCAGTTGCCGTGGGAACCTTCGTAGGGTTCTGTCCATTTGTTTTTCAGGGTGGGGTTATCCCGATGCCCAATTCCCCCCGCGGAAATCCTCAGCCCGCCCCCCGCCCCCACAGTTCCCAACCAAAGCTGGATACTCTGATCTCTCCGCCTGCTTCCTTCCGCCTTGGTGTTCTTAATCCCCGGGCTGCCTGGCCCTTTAAGTCTCAAGCGTCAATCAGGGCTTCTGTTCGAGGGGACGTGGTGTAATAAGCCTCCCCTGGAGTGTCGTGGCCTTTGCCCTGACCTTGTTCCGTTTAGCTGGACGTTGGGAGTTGTTCCACGCTCCCTTGCATCCGGCTGTGTCTACCCCACCACCCACTCCCATCACCTCTCGCCTACTCCTCCCTATTTCGAAGTTGGGCCCCTTCGCCAAGGCCTGCCTTATATGGGCACGGCCCCGAATGGCGGCCGCTCATTGGCTGAGAGCGTCACGCGCGCGTCTGTCAACAAAAGGGCGGAGGGAAGCTAGTTGCTAGTCTGCCCGCGCGGTGGCCGGAGGGAAGGAGCGAGGGGGCGGGCCCTTTTACCTTTCGCGCGCATGCGTGTGGGCTGCAGCCTTCTCCCGCCGCCTGGGGGGGCTGCGGGTGAGGGCTCTTTGGGGGCGTGTGTAGGTTTCGAGGGTCACCTGAGGGGTTTGGAAGATTTCTTTGGGGGGGCGGTTACAAGATTTGGGGGTTCCTTTTCCATTTGCAAAATGTTCTGGGGCTTGGGGAAGTTTTAACGTGGGTTTAGGGGATACTTTTGGGGTTCTCTCGCGCTTAAGGGGCACCTTGGAGTTTGGGTTCGTTTGTAATGCGGAAGGTTCGGTTGTGTTTTCGGGATCGGGTTCCCTTTGTGTTTTGGAGTGTTTGTTGGGCATAGAATTTGGGGAGCTCCCGGAGAGACAGAAGCAAAGAGCCCGAGAGTACCAGTCCTGGAGGTGGAATGTCTGGGCTCGCGTCTTGACTTCCTACCTGTCTTAACCCGGACAGGAGATTTCACCTGTGTCTCATCGGGAACTAGGCATTAATAACACTACCTGCTTCCTAGGGACCGAGGAGGATTAGGAATTGTTAGCGCAGTACCTACCTAGTAAGCTCGCAGCGAGCGTGCAGTAAGCACATGTCTGCTATTGTAACATTTGTGAGGTTTCTTTGTTTTTTTTTTTTGGCTTTGTGAAACATTTTTATGGTTTAAGATTCATCTTAAAGTGTTAGGGAGCTTTTGTGTTTTCAAAGAGTTCGTCTGCTGTTGGAGGCTTCTAGTGGAATTGGGAGATAATGGAGGAGGGTTGGGGGGAGTATAGGATTCCGGGAGAGTGATTGTTTATGACATAGTTTGGGGAATTGCTGTGTTGGGATCTGTGAGAGATTGACTGAGATTCGGCCCTTCAGTGCTGGAGAGGATATTTTTAGGTTCGGTGGTTTAAAGTAGTATTTGAAAGCTTTTCGATATTTGGGGGAGGACATTGAGATGCTGGGGGTAAGGTTGGAACTGATTAGGGGACTTGAGGGGGTGGCCAGGTTGTAGCAGGATGGCATCTGTAGAGACTGGCTTTTGCTGTGTTAGCCTGCCTCCCTGGGCAGTTGGTTATACAGGTCAAGTATCCCTTACCCGAAAATCTTGGGACTAAAAAGTGTTTCGGATTTTGGATTTCTTCGGATTTTGAGTATTTGCATTATACTTATCAGTTGAGTATGCCAAGTCTGAAAAATCTGAAATGCTCTAATGAGCATATCCTATCAGTGTCATCTTGGCACTCAAAAAGTTCTGAATTTGGGAGCATTTTGGATTTTCAGATTTGAGATACTCAACATGTATGTGAATTGGTGGTTGGTAAACAGCCATCTATAGGTTTTGGAGGCTGTGGAGTGATATTTTTAACACTGAGCTGAGATTACAGCAGGGACTGTAAGTATTTGAGGGGTAGGTGGGATTGGGGATTATGGAGTGGAGATAAAGATTCTTGACATGGGGATTCTCTGTGTTTACTGGTACCTGTGAGTGCTTGGAGGCTGTCTGGATTTTGTTTTGTTTTCTTTCTTTTTTTTTTTTTTTTTTTTGAGATGGAGTTTAGCTCTTGTCGCCCAGGCTGGAGTGCAGTGGCAAGATCTCAGTTCACTGCAACCTCCGCCTCCCGGTTCAAGCTATTCTCCTGCCTCAGCCTCCTGAGTAGATGGGACTACAGGCGCGCACCACCACGCCTGGCTAATTTTTGTATTTTTAGTAGAGACGGGGTTTTGCCATGTTAGCCAGGCTGATCTCGAATTCCTGACATCAGATGATCCGCCTGCCTCGGCCTCCCAAAGTGCTGGGATTACAGGTGTGAGCCACTGTGCCAGGCCTGGAATTGTTTGAATTTAGAGGGATGGTCTGTACTGCAGGAGTTGGCAAACTTTTTCCATAAAGAGCCAGATAATGGGTATTTTAAGCTTTGCAGGCCATGTGGTCTTTGTTCTGCTATTCAGCTCTGCTGTTGAAGATGAAAGCATCCATAAACAAATGAGCATGTTTCAATAAAACTTTATTTACAAAGACAGCGAGCTGGATTAGGCTTCTGGGCCATAGTTTGCTGACCTCTCTGGCCTGTAGGCATGTGGAAGTTTCAAGGTTTAAAGGGTCATTTTGGTTTTGAGCTGTCTGGAGGGAGATGAGCCAGAGAAAGATTGAGGCATATGTTACTTAGTAGGTTCAAACTGCAGTGAAAGTGATCATGTCGGACTCATGCGCAAGATTGCCTCCAGATTAGGTCATTCACATCAAGTCATTCCAAAATAAAATAGTCATTAACAGAGCCCTAAATTGAAGAGTCCAGAAATCAAGTTGAGAGCCTCTTTTTGCTCCGGACCCACTGTAATCTTAGCTATGTCACCCTTCCCCACTCTGAGCCTCTGTTTATCTGTGTGCAGCTTGAGGAGAAAGCTAGGCTAGAACAGGCACCCTCGTGTTTTCTTTCTTTTTTTTTCCCAAGATGGGTTCTCTCTCAGTCACCCAGGCTGGAGTGCAGTGGTATGATCACAGCATCACAGCTCACTGCAGCCTCCACCTCCTGGGCTCAAGCGATACTCCCACCTCAGCCTCCCAACTAGCTGGGACTACAGGTGCGCCACACCCCACCCGGCTAATTTTTGTATCTTTTTTCGTAGAGATGGATTTTGCCCAGGCTGGTCTCAAACTCCTGGGCTCAAGCAATCTGCCCACCTCGGCCTCCCAAAGTGCTAAGATTACAGGCACAAGCCACCACACCCGGCTTTGTTCTCTGTTTTTTAGAGGGTCTCACTCTGTCACCCGGGTTGGAGTGCAGTGGTGCCATCATTGCTCCCTGCAGCCTGGAACTCCTCCTAGGCTCTAGAACAGGCCCTCTTACTCCGCGGGTCCACGGCTGTGCTTTAGGGAATCCCCTGTACTGTCTTTGCAAGGGTGTGCATTTTTCTGACTGAGGACACACAGCTTTAATAAATTCTCATTAAGCCCCACTACCTGAAAAAAAAAAAGAAAAGCCGATTTCTTAAGTGCTTGTCTGAATCTGACCTCAGATTTTCATCCCCATCCCAGCGCATTTCGTTCCTCTCTCTGTGGGTTTAAGCAGCCATAGCTGTGGGTGGGGCTGGGAATTTCTGTCTTTTCAGGAACGAGCTACTGAGTGAGCAAATAGAAAAAGGACCTTGTCTGTCAGTGGTCCTTTCACTTAAGTGTAAAAGTTATGGCAGTTTAAAGGCCTCTGGATTGTGGGCAAAGGCAGTTGGACAGTGGGGTAGGACCTATGGGGTTGGTGCGTGCTGCCAGTTAGGGTCCCGCTCTGCAAGTTAAAAGGGCATCTCTCATCCCCTCTGCAACCTCTGTCTGCTCACCTGAGCATGGCAGTGGGAATAGAGTTCTTTTTTTTTTTTTTTTTTTTTTTGAGACGGAGTTTCGCTCTTGTCGCCCAGGCTGGAGTGTAATGGTGCCATCTGGTCTCGCTGCAACCTCCACCTCCCAGGTTCAAGCGATTCTCGTGCCTCAGCCTCCCAAGTAGCTTGGATTACAGGCGTGGACTATCACGCCCAGCACATTTTTGTATTTTTAGTAGAGATGGGGTATCACCATGTTGGCCAGGCTGGTCTCAAACTCCTGACCTCAGGTGATCTGCCCACCTCAGCCTCCCAAAGTGCTGGGATTACAGGCGTGAGCCACCGCGCCCAGCCAGGAATAGAGTTCTTGATGGTCTGGTTTGGTCTAAGGAGAGGTGGAGGTTGGGGTGGTCCTGGGAAGAAAGGCTGTCCCCCTAGCTCCCCAACCTCCTCTTCGTGTCTCCAGGTGGCATGTGGAGCCTCCCACCACCACCTAGGTCCTGAGATGCGCTGAAGCCCAGCCTGTCTGCCATCATCCCCCAGCATGGACCGTGGGAGCCTCCTGCCCTTCCAGCTATGGTGCCCCCGGCCCTTTGGCACCTACTCACAGAACCAGCCACGCCCGCCTTCTGCGGCCCTCAAGCCATCAGCCTGCCCTGAGCCTGGTGGCGGGGCCGAGCCAGACCATGGGCCTGCCCACTCAGAGAACACACCACCCGCCTTGGCCACTGAGGTCCCTGCCTCCCAGCCGGCTCCGCTCCTCTCAGCAGCAGCTGCTGGTGATGAGGGTCGAGTCCTCCTGGACACGTGGTATGTCATCAAGCCCGGGAATACAAAGGAGAAGGTGGCCTTCTTTGTGGCCCACCAGTGTGGTGGGGGCAGCCGGGCCAGCTCCATGAAGGTCAAGGGGCACTGGGGCAGCGATAGCTCCAAGGCCAAGCGGCGGAGGCGCTGTCTTGACCCCACCAAGGCTCCTCCTGACCCAGGGGGCCGGGAGGGCCCCCCTGCTGCTGAGGAGGGCCCCGCCTCAGCCGGTGAGGACGTGGACCTGCTCTCTGTGGCCGAGATGGTGGCCCTGGTGGAACAGCGGGCAGCCCTGGCCCTGCAGAGCTACCCACGACCGACCACCCCAGCGCCTGTAGTCTTTGTGTCCGCCGAGCAAGGTGGACCGGCCAAGGGGGTGGGATCTGAACGGCGGTCCGGTGGTGGGGACTGCAGCCGTGTAGCCGAGGCCGTGGCCCACTTTGAAGCGCAGAGGGACAGCCCTCCCACCAAGGGCCTCCGCAAGGAAGAGCGGCCCGGGCCAGGCCCTGGGGAGGTGCGCATCGCCTTCCGCATCTCCAACGGCCGGGAGCCCCGTGCACCAGACAGCGGCCTGCCCAGTGGGGGCGGGGGCAGGCCTGGTTGTGCCTACCCTGGCAGCCCAGGTCCTGGGGCCCGAGCCAAGGACAAGATCACATGTGACTTATACCAGCTCATCAGCCCCTCGCGGGATGCCCTCCCCAGCAACGTGGAGTTCCTGCTGGCCAGGGCGGATGAGGCCAGTGAGGGTGACAGCCCGGCACCCGCCAGGCCTGAGGACACTCCCCCGGCGCCCCCTCCGCCCCCTGCCCGGGACTGCGGAGCGTCAGGCTTCCACGTGGACGTGGTGGTGACGGGCGTGGTAGATGAGTGCATCTTCTTTGGCAAGGACGGCACCAAGAACGTGAAGGAGGAGACTGTGTGCCTGACGGTCAGCCCGGAGGAACCGCCGCCTCCGGGCCAGCTCTTCTTTCTCCAGAACCGCGGGCCGGACGGGCCCCCGGAGCCACCCCCGGCCGACTCCCCGGCCACTGCGCCCGGCCCAGACGATGCCGAGGGCACGGCGGACACCTCCCTGTGCCGCTTGTACCGGCACGTGTCGCACGACTTCCTAGAGATCCGCTTCAAGATTCAGCGGCTGCTGGAGCCGCGACAGTACATGCTGCTGCTGCCCGAGCACGTGCTGGTCAAGATCTTCAGCTTCCTGCCCACGCGCGCGCTGGCCGCCCTCAAGTGCACCTGCCACCACTTCAAGGGCATCATCGAGGCGTTTGGCGTGCGGGCCACAGACTCGCGCTGGAGCCGAGACCCGCTCTACCGCGATGATCCGTGCAAACAGTGCCGCAAGAGATACGAGAAGGGCGACGTGTCGCTCTGCCGCTGGCACCCCAAGCCCTACCACCATGACCTGCCTTACGGACGTTCCTACTGGATGTGCTGCCGTCGAGCCGACCGCGAGACTCCCGGCTGCCGCCTGGGCCTCCACGATAACAACTGGGTGCTGCCCTGCAATGGGCCAGGCGGGGGCCGGGCCGGCCGGGAGGAGGGGAGGTGAAGCCGGGGGAGGGGAGGGGAGAGCCCACCACGCCCACCCCTCCCCTCTCCCCCCGGGAGCCGAGGGTCCGGACTGGGCCGCCTGCCCATTCCCCTACTCCAGGCAGCATTGATCCCTCACCGGAACTGAGCTGGGGTTCAGCAGGGGTGACCCAGGAAAGCCCTCTGCTTGATCCTGTTGATTTTCTACTCTTCAGAACCAGGGCCGTGGACCCTCTGAGAAGGGTGTTTTTTTTTTTTTTATCAGCATCTCACTTTCTTCTCCATTCAGCCCCAACCCCCTCCCTGCCATGCTTTCCACCCCAAGGACCCACCAGCAGGGAGCAGACGGCAGCTAATTTTGGTACCACTTAAGGGTCCCCCCATTCTGGCCCCCATCCTCTCCCTCACCCCAATTCTTTCTCGCTGGAGCTGTTATTTCCCAAGAAGCCGCATCGCCCAAGGTTGGCACCTCTCCTAACCTGCCACACGACAGCTCTCACCTCTCTAGGAATTGGGGGCTGTCAGGTCACAGGTGGGATCTGGCATTTTTTTATGACAGTCCATTTCTAGATGGTTTGCCTATTAAAGAAGTGGGGGGGAAATACTGTTTTCTCCTTAACCTCAAGCTACCAGTCTCTCCTCTTCCGCGTAGAGGAAGAGGGGGGCAGACAAAAAAAAAGCTGAAGTATAAAAACCCTCCTCCTCCCGTTATTATTTAAGCTACTGCCATCAACCCCACCCCCATAAAGCTGTGAAGCCCTTTGCCTCGCTTTTGACAGCGTGGGGGGGCCCCGTGGGCAGGGACTTCGGATTTGCATTTCTGGGTTGTTTTTCCTTCCACTCTGGGGTCTCGTTCAGGCATTGGGGTCTCCTCACCCCAGCCACATGTTTCTTTAAGAATCCTTTGGTCAACCAGGACCTTGATTTTTCAGGCATTTTGGTCTGGGGTATTTTTGTTTGTTCTCTCTGTTTTTTGTTTTCTTTTTTTTCTTTCCATCGTGGTTCTGGAAGCTTCTAGCGTGTGGCATCTGACCAATTTTGAATTGGTCCTTTCTATAAAATCAATATTTATAAGGCTGTGTGCAGACTGGTTTGTGTGTTGTGAAGGGAGGGTTTGGGAAGAGAGGGGAGTTGTAGGCCTGTGTATGGGGGATGGAAAAAGTGGAAAGAGAAGGGATCCCTAGCCAAGTCCCTTAGCCTGAGATTATTTTTTACTCTTCTCATCTGTGTCAATTTGGATTTGAAAAATCTCAAAATAGTAGTAGCTTGAACAAGATTTTTTTTTTTTTTTTTTTCCCTTAGAGACAGGGTCTCTCTCTGTCACCCAGGCTGGAGTGCAGTGGTATGATCACAGCTCACTGCAGCAACCTCCTGGGCTCAAGGAAACCTCCCACCTCAACCTGCCAAGCAGCTGGGTTTTCTACAGGTGTACGCCACATACCCAGCTAATTTTTAAATTTTTTTTTTTTTTTTTTTTGAGTCGGAGTCTCACTCTGTCGCCCAGGCTGGAGTGCAGTGGCGGGATCTCGGCTCACTGCAAGCTCTGCCTCCCGGGTTCACGCCATTCTCCTGCCTCAGCCTCCCAAGTAGCTGGGACTACAGGCGCCCGCCACTACGCCCGGCTAATTTTTTGTATTTTTAGTAGAGACGGGGTTTCACCGTTTTAGCCGGGATGGTCTCGATCTCCTGACCTCGTGATCCGCCCGCCTCGGCCTCCCAAAGTGCTGGGATTGCAGGAGTGAGCCACCATGCCCAGCCAAGATTATATTGCTTTTACTATCACCATTTTGCTGGAAGGGAGGCCCCCTTCCTCCCAGAAGCACTACACTATGCTTCTATATACATCTCACCCGTCAGACTTAGCCACAGAAGGGCTGCATGAGTCTAGGAAATGCAGTCTTTTAGCTGGGTGCAATATGCCCAACAAAACACTCTTTACTAAAAATCCCTGTAATTAAAGTTTTTAAATAGCCACTTAATTTTTTATTTATTTATTTGAGACAGTCTCAATCTGTCACCCAGGCTGGGGTGCAGTGGTGTGATCTCGGCTCACTGCAACCTCTGCCTCCCGGGCTCAAATGATTCTCCTGCCTCAGCCTCCTGAGTAGCTGGGATTACAGGTACTCGCCACCACAGCTGGCTAATTTTTGTATTTTAGTAGAGACGGGGTTTCACCACGTTGTCTAGGCTGCTGTCGAACTCGTGGCCTCCAGTAATCCACCCATCTCAGTTTCCCAAAGTGCTGGGATTACAGGGATGAGCCACCACGCCCAGCTGGATATCTTAAATTTTCAGTTTAAAGGAAGGGAAAAATGGATATTGAGAGGCAGCTAAGTCTCTGACATTCTTCTCCGGAAATCAGAATTTCCAGAGGACTAGGATACATTATGGTAGTGATTCAATGCTTAGATTTTAGAATCAATAAGACCTGGGTTTGAATCTTGTGGGGAGGGTGAGTTAGATTATTCGGACCTTCCTGTTGAGAACAACTGAAAAAAAAATGCCCTTCAAAGGATCAAATAGCCAATAAAATACAGTAAAGACCCACCACGCCAAATAGTTAAGAGAATGATATGTGGGAGCCGGGCGCGGTGGCTCACTCCTGTAATCCCAAGCACTTTGGGAGGCCAAGGCGGGCGGTTCGAGATCATCCTGGCTAACACAGTGAAACCCCATCTCTACTAAAAATACAAAAAATCAGCCGGGTGTAGTGGTGGGTACCTGTAGTCCCAGCTACTCGGGAGGCTGAGGCAGGGGAATGGCGTGAACCCGGGGAGCGGAGCTTACAGTGAGCCGAGATTGCGCCACTGCACTCCAGCCTGGGAGACAGAGCAAGAATCCGCCTCAAAAAAAAAAAAAAAAAAAAAAGAATGATATGTGGGGCTCTGAAGCCACATTTGCTCTCAGGGTGTTTGCTGATGTGGACACACTGGGGTTTCCTACTTGGCAGCCTTACTGGAAGGAGCAGGCAAAAGTCAAGTCCAAAGCCAGCCCACAGTGAGCAACTGCAGGAACTGGGATTCCAGAGAGCTACAAGCTCAGGTAAGGATGACCCGGAAGACTGAAGAGGTATTCAAGAGGCAGAAATCAAATGAAAAAAAAAGAAAGATTCTGATAATCTGTGGTCACAGACTGGCCCTCGGCACAGGTTCGCAGCCAGGTTCACGTCCTGTGTGATACAGGGTACTTCTAGCTGACATGTCTGGCAGAAACAAACACAAGTCCACCTGTGGAAGGAACTGTCATCTAGAAGCCCCACAAATATTTTTGTTTGTTTGTTTTGAGATGCAGTTTCGCTCTTGTTGCCCAGGCTGGAGCGCAGTGGCGCGATCTCGGCACACTGCAACCTCTGCTTCCTGGGTTCAAGTGATTCTCCTGCCTCACCTGCCAAGTAGCTGGAACTACAGGTGCGCACCACCACACCTGGCTAATTTTTTGTATTTTTAGTAGAGACAAGGTTTCACCATGTTGGCCAGTCTGGTCTTGAACTCCTGACCCACCTTGGCCTCCCAAAGTGCTGGGATTACAGGTGTGAGCCACCACGCCTGGCTTTTTTTTTTTTTTTTTTTTTTTTTTTGGATATGGAGTCTCACTGTTGCCTAGGCTACGGTGCAGTGGCACAATCTCAGCTCACTGCAACCTCCGCCTCCCCGGTTCAAGCGATTCTACTGCCTAGGCTTCCCAAGTAGCTGGGATTACAGGGACCCACCACCACGCCCAGCAATTTTTTTTTTTTTTTTTTTTTTTTTTTGGTAGAGATGGGGTTTCACCATGTTGGCCAGGCTGGTCTTGAACTCTTGACCTCAAGCAGTCTGCCCGCCTTGGTCTCCCAAAGTGTTGGGATTACAGGTGTGAGCCACCGCACCCAGCCCACCACAAATAATTTTTCAGGTAATGAGTAGTACACAAATAACCAAACAAATGGAAATAATATGAATAAGAACCAGCAGAAACAACAAAAACACCCACATAGGCTTCACATGATGAAACTGTCAATCACAGATTATAATACAAAATTTATTTTAAACTGTTTAAAAATTTTAAAAGCTTGGAATTATCAGCAAGGAAGCCAAAACTAAAAAAAAAAAAAAAAAAAAAAATCAAAATGGCCTAGTAGGTAGGAAAGGGAAAAAAAACCCACTGACATAACTTTTACAAATGAAAAATGCAAGGCTGGGCACAGTGGCTCATGCCTGTAATCTCAGCACTTCGGGAGGCCGAGGCGGTGGATTGTGACATCAGGAATTTGAGACCAGCCTGGCCAATACAGTGAAACCCTGTCTCTACTAAAAATACAAAAATCAGCCGGGCGTGGTGGCGTGTGGCTGTAGTCCCAGCTACTCGGGAGGCTGAGGCAGAAGAATTGCTTGAGCCCGGGAGCCAGAGGTTGCACTGAACTGAGGTCGTGCCACTGCACTCCAGCCTGAGCGACAGAGCGAGACTCTGTCTAGAAAAAAAAAAAAAAAAGATAAAAGGGTTTGCTGGCTGCGGGAACTTGCCAGGCACCAGCAGCCTCATCTGTACAACAGGGCTAACAGTTCTTACCCCAGATTCAAGCCAAAAATCTGCATAAAGCAGATTAAAGTTAAAATTCTATGGATACTTTTTCTTAACAAATTTCATCTGGCACAAGTGTATTTTTTTTTTTGGTAGTGGTGGGGGTGTATTTGGGGTATTTTTATTTTTATTTTTTTGAGACAGGGTCTCATTCTGTCACCCAGGCCGGAGTGCAGTGACACAATCATAGCTGACTGTAACCTCAAACTCCTGGGCTCGGGAGATCCTCCTGCCTCAGCCTCCCAAGTAGCTGGGACCACAGGCACCATACTAGCTAATTTTAATTTTTTTTGTAGAGACAGGGTCTTTGTTGCCCAGGCTGGTCGGGAACTTCTGGGCTCAAACAGTCCTCCTGCCTCAACCTTCCAAAGGACTGGGATTACAGGGGTGAGTGACCGCACCCAGCCACAGGTACTTTTTGGAAGGGAGATAGGACATGGGGGTTGCGAGCACAGCTGTGAGTGAAAATTTGCACACCATACACAACTCGTTTGCAATTCTCAGTCTCAGCCACCTCACCTGCAAAATGAGAACTGAAATTGTACCTATTTCAGGATTTGTAGTCAGGGAGACTACATAGTTTTGTATATGTAAAAAAAAAAAGTTCTCATGGGCTGGGCACGGTGGCTCACGCCTGTAATCTCAGCACTTTGGGAGGCCAAGGCGGGTGGACACCTGAGGTCAGGAGTTCAAGACCAGCCTGGCCAACATGGCAAAACTCATCTCTACTAAATATGCAAAAATTGGCCAGGCATGGTGGCTCGATGCCTGTAATCTCAGCACTGTGGGAGGCCGAGGCAGGTGGATCACCTGAGGTTAGGAGTTCAAGACCAACCTGATCAACATGGTCCCATCTCTACTAAAAAGTACAAAAATTAGCAGGGCATGGTGGCAGGTGCCTGTATTCCCAGCTACTTGGGAGATTGAGGCAGGAGAATCGCTTGAACCCAGGAGGTGGAGTTTGTAGTGAGCTGAGATCTCGCCATTGTACTCCAGCCTGGGCGACAGAGTAAGACTCTCTCCCCCAAACCAAGAAAATACAAAAATTAGCTGGGCATGGTAGCACATGCCTGTAATCAGCTACTCCAGAGGCTGATGAAGAAGAATCGCTTGAACCCAGGAGGTGGAGGTTGCAGTGAGCCGAGATTGTGCCACTGCAACTCCAGCCTGGGTGACAAGAGCGAAACTCCATCTTAAAAAAAAAAAAAAGTTCTCATGATGCCTGGCACATAGTAGATGCTCAATAAATGTCAGCGAATGTGGAAGAACCTAAATTGAGGACCTATGTTTATCCTCTCATTTGATACCCCGAGTTTCAGCCCTGGAGCTGATTTGGAGGGCAGATGCTCACCTACACAGCGTAGGACTGCTTCCAGGTGCCATCTGTCTCAGGTTTTTCTTTTGAGTCGGTTTGCTGAGCAGCTGTGTATGCACCAAAGTGTCTCCTTAAGGACAGCGTGGGCCAGGCACGGTGGCTCACGCCTGTAATCCCAGCATTTTGGGAGGCCGAGACAGGCGGATCACGAGGTCAGGAGATCGAGACCATCTTGGCTAACACGGTGAAACCCTGTCTCTACTAAAAATACAAACATTAGCCAGGCGTGGTGGCACGCACCTGTAGTCCTAGCTATTTGGGAGACTGAGGCGGGAGAATCGCTCGTACCCGGGAGGCGGAGGTTGCAGTGAGCCAGCATTGCAGCACTGCGCTCCAGCCTGGGTGACAGAGCGAGACTCCGCCTCAAAAAGAAAAACCTCCTGGGCTCAAGTGATCCTCCCACTTCAACCTCTCAAAGTGCTGAGATTGCAGCCATGAGCCACTGCACCCAGTCTGCATTTTTTAATGAGCACCCCAGCTGAGTCTGAAAATTAGGTAGGGTTGGGAAATACTTGCTCATTGGAGTTTGCAGTTACACTGCCATCTCACAGTGCTGTACCAACAGCTGAAGGGGAAAGACAGTGTGCCCTAACTACTCTGCGGTAAATCTAGATCTGTCTTACCCATTCCTCTCATAGATGCTCTCAGACTTTCAAAACCCCATGTTTTCCAAAGTACCTTCTGAGGTATCCTAGTTCTTTTTGTTGTTGTTGTATTTTGTTTGTTTGTTGAGACAGCCTCGCTCTATTGCCCAGGCTGGAGTGCAGTGGCGTGATTTTGGCTCACTGTAGCCTCTGCCACCAGGTTCCAACAATTCTCCTGTTTCAGCCTCCCAAGTAGCTGGGATTACAGGCTCATGCCACCACACCTGGCTAATTTTTGTATTTTTAGTAGAGATGGGGTTTCATCATGTTGTCCAGGCTGCTCTCGAACTCCTGAGCTCAGCTGAACTGCTGGCCTCGGCCTCCCAAAGTGCTGGGATTTCAGGTGTGACCCACCATGCCCGGCCGAAGTATCCTAGTTCTATGAAGTGCTTCCCAATAAAAAGTGTTCCATAGTGAAATACTTTGGGAGCCTCTGGGTTCTGTCTTAAAAATTCACATGATGCAGTGAGGAAACTCATTTTATGTTGTCTCACCCTCTTCTTGGATTTCAGATCCCCCTTGTCATGCAATGTCTATTTACACGAGTTCTACAGAATGGCCTTTTTTGTTGTTGTTGGTGGTGGTGGTGTTTGTTTTGAGACAGGGTGTCACTGTGTTGCCCAGGCTGGTCTTGAACTCTTGGGTTCATGGGATTCTCTCACCTCAGCCTCCTGAATAGCTGAGACTACAGGGTGTGCACCACCACACCTGGCTTATGCAGGTGGTGTTTTGCAGAAACATTGGTTACGCTTTTTTTTTTCTTTCTTTTTTCTGGAGAATGGGGTCATGCTCTGTTGCCCAGGCTGGTCTCAAACTCCTGAGCTCAAGCTATCCCTCTGCCTCTGACTCCCAAAGAGCTGGGATTACAGGTGTGAACCACCATGCCCAGCCAGAAACAATGGCTTATTACCCACTGGGTCTGGAAGAATCTGGACTTCCAAAATATGAGCTTCTGTCTCCTCTGTGCCTGGTTATGAGGACATCCTCTGTGTGCCCCGTGTGGGAGTTAGGTTAGGACTGGTGCAGTAGCAAGGCTGCTGTTCTGGAGAATGAACTGACACAACACAAACCACAGAGAATTCATCTAGCTGGGTGGCATCACTGGGCCAGACCAGTAATAGTCTTTTAGTCTTTTACTCTTTTTAAAAAATATTTATTTATTTATTTATTTATTGAGATGGAGTCTCGCTCTGTTGCCCAGGCTGGAGTGCAGTGGTGTGATCTTGGCTCACTGCAACCTCCGCCTCCTGCGTACAAGTGATTCTCCTGCCTCAGCCTCCCAAGCAGCTGAGATTACAGGCGCCCACCACCATGCCCAGCTAATTATTGTATTTTTAGTAGAGACAGGGTTTCGCCATGTTGACCAGGCTGGTCTCAAACTCCTGACCTCGGGTGATCCTTCCCCCTCAGCCTCTCAAAGTGTTGGGATTACAGGTGTGAGCCACCACACCCAGCAGTCTTTTACTTTTTCAGTTCGCTGACTTAAAGAACAGCATTTTGCCAGGTGCGGTGGCTCACACCTGTAATCCCAGCACTTTGGGAGGCCGAGGCTGGCGGATTACAAGGTCAGGAGATCGAGACCATCCTGGCTAACACGGTGAAACCCCGTCTCTACTAAAAATACAAAAAATTAGCCAGCGTGGTGGCGGGCACCTGTAGTCCCAGCTACTTGGGAGGCTGAGGCAGGAGAATGGCGTGAACCCAGGAGGCGGAGTTTGCAGTGAGCCGAGATCGCACCACTGCACTCCAGCCTGGGCAACACAGTGAGACTCCGTCTCAAAAAAAAAAAGAACAGTATTTGGTCCCTGCAAACCTTTGGACCAAGTGTTTACCTCTGGGGAGGGAGCAAGTTCTTATTCCTCTGGCTGTCATCCCACAGTGGTCTCTTCCCTGTCCTTGAAGGGTGGCAGCTTGAGACAATCAAAAGAAAGAAGGTCTTCCAATTGTAGCACAATTAGGAGACAAAGGTATGAAAAGGACAAACCAGCACACCCTAGGCAGATCCTGCCTGAGCTTCACTGGCCCCCGCTGGGACCTTCTCTCTCACAGTCCTCTCCACAGTCATTGGCCAAGCACGCTAGAGCCCCAGGTATTCAGCCAGGAACACAGCGAGAATGCGGCACAAGTTGTGTACCGTGGGTGGGTGGAGATTGACCTCGGTGTCCGCAGGGGTGTGCCAGACAGCAGGGAAGGGCGTGGAGATGAGATGGAGCACGGGTACCCCTGAAGTGACAGAGGAGACTTTGTCAGGTCCACTGCAGCCCACCACAACCCAGGAGCCCAAGCCCAACCTCTAGGTAACCTTGCCTTGCCACCACACACTGGTGAAAGATACTATGTTCTGGCACTTTTTTTTTTTTTTTGAGACAGAGTCTCACTCTGTCGCCCAGGCTGGAGTGCAGTGGCGTGATCTCGGCTCACTGCAGCCTCTGCCTCCCAGGTTCCAGCGATTCTACCGTCTTAGCCTCCCGGGTAGCTGGGATTATAGGCAGGCACCACGACACCTGTCTAATTTTTGTATTTTTAGTAGAGATGGGGTTTCATCATGTTGGCCAGGCTGGTCTCAAACTACTGACCTCAGGTGATCTGCCCGCCTCAGGCTCCCAACGTGCTAGGATTACAGGTGTGAGCCACCATGCCCAGCCTGGCACTTTTTTTTTTTTTGAGATATCATCACCCTCTGTTGTCCAGGCTAGAGTGCAGTGGCTCAATCAAGGCTTACTGCAGCCTTGACTTCCCAGGCCCAAGTGCTCCTCCCACTTCAGCCTCTCGAGTAGCTGGGACTATAGGTGTGAACCACCATGCCCGGCTAATTTTTTTGTATTTTTAGTAAAGACAAGATTTATGCCATGTTGCCCAGGCTGGTTTCAAACTCCTGGGCTCAAGGATCCCCCCCCGCCACCCCGCTCAGCCTCCCAAAGTGCTGGGATTACAGCTGTGAACCACCGTGCCCAGCTGCAAACATTTCTGGAATGCTTGCTATGTGCTGGGTGCTGGTCCAAGTAAGGTCTTTACCGGTGTTAGCATGTTCAATCCCCTCAACAATACTCTAAGATAGGGAGTATTATCCCCATTTTACAGATGAATAAATCAAAGCACAAAGAGGTTAAGGCCACTTAGCACCATTCCCCAGCCCTGGGAAGGGGACTTGGCCAGTTCCAATTTGTGGCTTCCTTGGACACCCACCCTCCATCCCTCCCTGCAGCTGGTACCTCTGCGGAGGAAGGGGATGTGGTCGTCTTCCACAGAGCCAAAGGGCTCCCCGGGTTGGAAGTACATCACTTCCTGGGGATGAGACTGCAGCAGGTTCAAACGGTGCAGACGCTTCTCTGGAAGTGGGGGCGATTAGAGAGGAAGGGTTAGTCCTTAGTAGTCGAAGGTCCCCAGTCCACAAATCAGAGGAAGGCAGAGCACCCAGAGACAAAGCCCTGGTCAGCCCAACAAGAGTGAATGCCAGTTACTCCTTCCTGTGGGCTCACTATGTTCCTGGTCTCATTCAATCCCTCAGAGTCTAAGACATAGACATTCTTTTTTTTGAGACAAGATCTTGTGGCCTGGTGTGGTGGCTCATGCCTGTAATCCCAGCACTTAGGGAGACCAAGGCAGGTGGATCACCTGAGGTCAGGAGTTCGAAACCAGCTTGGCCAACATGGTGAAACCCTGTCTCTACTAAAAATACAAAAATTAGCTGGGTGTGGTGGTGGGCGCCTGTAATCCCAGCTACTTGGGAGGCTGAGGCAGGAGAATTGCTTGAACCTGGGAGGTGGAGGTTGCAGTGAGCTGAGATTGCACCACTGCACTCCAGCCTGGGTGACAGAGTAAGATTCTGTCTCCAAAAAAAAAAAAAAAGATCTTGCTCTCTCACCCACACTGGAGTGCAGTGGGACAATCCCAGCTCAGTGCAGCCTTAATCTCGCTGGCCTAAGTGATCCTTCAGTCTCAGCCTCCCAAATAGCTAGGACTTCAGGCGCATGCCCCCATGCCTGGGTAATTGTGTGTGTGTGTGTGTGTGCGCGTGTGTGTAGAAATGGGATCTTCCTGTGTTGCCCGGGCTGGCCTCAAACTTCTGGGTTCATGTGATCTTCCTGCCTTGGTCACTCAAATTTCTGGGACTACAGGCATGAGCCACTATGTCTGGGCCCTCCGGCCTTTTTTTTTTTTTTTTTTTTGAGACAGAGTCTTGCTCTGTCGCCAGGCTGGAGTGCAGTAGCACAATCTCGGCTCACTGCAACCTCCGCCTCCCGGGTTCAAGCAATTCTCCTGCCTCAGCCTCCTGAGTAGCTGGGAGTACAGGCGCCCACCACCACACCCAGCTAATTTGTGTATTATTAGTAGAGATGGGGTTTCACCATATTGGCCAAGCTGGTCTCGAACTGCTGACCTTGTGATTCGCCCACCTCGGCCTCCCAAAGTGCTGGGATTACAGGCATGAGCCACCAGGCCCGGCCCCCACTGGCCGTTTTACAGATAGGAAACTGAGGCTCAAAGAAATGAAGCCACTTGTCCAAGTTCATCCAGCTGGTAAGATTGGAAACCACGGCTGTCTCACCTTAGAGCCCCTGTCTGGTAATCACTATTACTAATCTCTAGTTCCTTAGAAAGGCTAGGGAGGTAGAGGAAAGGCTGGGTGAGCCTTTATTTTATTTTCTTATTTATTTATTTGTTTATTTATTTATTTATTTAGTGACAGAGTCTCGCTCTGTCACCCAGGCTGGAGTGCAGTGGCACAATTTCAGCTCACTGCAACCTGTGCTCCCAGGTACAAGCGATTCTTCTGCCTGAGCCTCCGGAGTAGCTAGGACTACAGGCACACGCTACCACACCCAGCTAATTTTTGTATTTTTAGTAGAGATAGGGTTTTACCATATTCGCCAGGCTGGTCTCAAACTCCTGACCTTGTGATCCACCTACCTTAGTCTCCCAAAGTATTGGGATTACAGGCGTGAACCATTGCGCCCAGCCAAGCCTTTATTTTTAAAAACAATTTTTAATTTTTTTAATTTTAATTTTTATTATTACTTTTTTTTGAGACAGAGTCTCACTCTGTCCCCAGGCTGGAGTGCAGTGGTGTGATCACAGCTTACTGCAGCCTCGACCTCCCAGACTCAAGTGATCCTACCACTTCAGCCTCCCAAGTCACTGGGACTGCAGGCAGGTGCCACCATGCCTGGCTAATTTTTTTTTTTTTTTTTTTTGAGATGGAGTCTCGCTCTGTTGCCCAGGCTGGAGTGCAGTGGCGTGATCTCGGCTCACTGCAACCTCCGCCTCCCAGGTTCAAGCCATTCTCCTGCTTCAGCCTCCCGAATAGCTAGGATTACAGGCACATGTCACCACGCCCAGCTAACTTTTTGTATTTTTAGTAGAGATGGGGTTTCGCCCTGTTGGCCAGGCTGGTCTCAAACTCCTAACCTCAGGTGATCCACCCGCTTTGGCCTCCCAAAGTGCTGGGATTACAGGTGTGAGCCATCGCGCCTGGCCTAATGTTTGTTTTTATTTTGTAGAGACAGGGTTTCGCCATATTGCCCAAGCTGGTCTGAAACTCCTGAGCTCAAGTGATCCACCTGCCTCTCAAAGTGCTGGGATTACAGGTGTGAGCCACCAAGCCCAGCCTTTATTTTATTTTTATTTTTTATTTTTTTGAGACAGGATCTCATTCTGTTGCCCAGGCTGGAGTGCAGTGGCGCAATCTTGGCTCACTATAGCCTTGACCTCCCAGGCTCTAAGGATACTCCCCAGTAGCTGGGATGACAGGTGCATGCCACTGCACCCAGCTAATTTTTTTTTAAGAGATGGGGTCACCAGGCACGGTGGCTCACGCCTGTAATCCCAGCACTTTGGGAGGCTGAGGTGGACGGATCACGAGGTCAGGAGTTCAAGACCAGCTTGGCCAACATAGTGAAACTCTGTCTCTACTAAAATACAAAAATTAGCTGGGCATGGTGGCATGCGCCTGTAGTCCCAGCTACTCGGGAGGCTGAGGCAGGAGAATGGCTTGAACCTGGGAGGTGGAGGTTGCAGTGAGCCAAGATCATGCCACTGCACTCCAGTCTCAGTGACAGAGCGAGACTCCATCTCAAAAAAAAAAAAAAAAAAAAGATGGGGTCTCCCTATGTGGCCCAGACTGGTGGATGAGCCTTTAGAGTGTAGGTGCCTGTCCTACCCCAGCCCACCGCCCTGTACCCCATACCCCAGGTGGGCTGGGGCCCACCTCCGCATTCACCCTTACCAATGCTCCTCAGCCGATGGAACCAGCGGACCGTGCGAGGGAAGTGGCTGTAGAAGGTGGGATTGGGGGCTCCCAGGAGATCAAGAAGCATAAAGAGCTCCTAAGGAGAAAGGCTAGGACTGGAGGGGCCCGTGCAGGATGACGCCAGCCCTGCTTAACCTGCTCCCTCCCTCGCCAGAAGCCAGGGGACCCTGGTCTTACAATAGCCTGGATCCTGGTGGGGCCGGGGCTGTGAGGTATAGACTCCATGAGCTGGGCCAGGTGCCGGGAACCGTAAAGGGAGTCCTTGGGTCCCCACTCCTTCAGCGCCTCTTCACCATCCAAGAAGAGCAGTTGCAGGGTCACCGGGGCTGCCTGTGGGAGCAGCAGGGGGGTGGCCAGAGCCAGCTCAGGACTAGCCCTCAGCCTCAACATACCCACACTTCTTGCCCGCTTGCATGCTTAAGAGAACACATAAGGTGTCCTCACTCATAGAACGTGGTAGCCAAGAGCACAGATTCCGAGTCAGTTGTCTGGGATCAAATCCGTACTTGGCTGCTTCATAACAAAGCAGGCATGGGGAAGTTACTAACTTCTGGAAGGATCAGTTTCTTCATCTATAAATGGGGTTAATAAGAGGTTTTTTGTTTTTTTTTTGTTTTTTGTTTTTTTTAGAATAAATCTTGCTCTGTCACCCAGGCTGGAGTGGAATGATGCAATCTTGACTCACTGCAACCTCCACCCCCTACCTCCCAGGTTCAAGAGATTCTCCTGCCTCAGCCTCCCATACAGCTGTGACCACAGGTTCCCGCTATCATGCCTGGCTAATTTTTGTATTTTTAGTAGAGACAAGCTTTCACCATGTTGGCCAGGCTGGTCTCGAACTCCTGACCTCAAATGATCCACCTACCTCAGCCTCCCAAAGTGCTGGGATTACAGATGTGAGCCACCGCGCCCGGCAATAACAGTTCTTTTCAAAGGGTAAGGTTTGAATCCAGGTCTTAGAACAGTGCCTGGCATATAACTAAATAAGGGTTATCTCTGATTATTATTCCTCAAGCTCAGTTTGGTGAACCAGATAGATCCACAAATGAATAATTATACAAACAGTGAAATGCAGTTGAGACAAATGCTTCTAAGAACTATAGAGTCCTGAGAGGGCATAGGAAGGAGGCTGGGGGATGACCTGGCCTGGAGAGGGCGTTGGGTCTTTTGGGAAGGGATGTTTGCCATGAGAATGGGTAGGAACTGGCCTGGCAAAATGGAGCAGGAGGAAGAGTATTCCCAGCCAAGGGAGCAACACAGGGCAAGGCTATGGCCAGGGAAGGGGTCCCAGAGGTTTGAGAGGGGTACGGAAGGTTTAGCAAGGGCCAAGGAGTGTGGGCTTTGTTATAGGGACACTGGGGAGGCACAGAGAGGGGTTAAGCAGGGCAGGAGCATGATTAAATCTGTGTTTTTCTTTTCTTTTCTTTTTTTTCTTTCTTTTTTTTTTTTTTGAGACGGAGTCTCGCTGTATCGCCCAGGCTGGCGTACAGTGGCGCGATCTCGGCTCACTGCAAACTCTGCCTCCCGAGTTCACGCCATTCTCCTGCCTCAGCCTCCCAAGTAGCTGGGACTACAGGCGCCCGCCACCACGCCCAGCTAACTTTTTGTATTTTTAGTAGAGACGGGGTTTCACTGTGTTAGCCAGGATGGTCTCAATCTCCTGACCTCACGATCCACCTGCCTTGGCCTCCCAAAGTGCTGGGATTACAGGTGTGAGCCACCGCACCTGGCCTGTGTTTTTCTTTTCTGTTTGTTTTGAGACAGAATCTCGCTCTGTCATCCAGGCTGGAGTGCAGTGGTGCGATCTCGGCTCACTGCAACCTCCGCCTCTCAGTTTCAAGTGATCCTCCTGTCTCAACCTCCCAAGTAGTAGGATTACAGGTATGTACCACCATACCCAGCTAATTTTTGTATTTTTAGTAGAGATGAGGTTTCCCTGTTGGACAAGCTGGGCTCGAACTTCTGACCTCAAATGATCTGCCTGCCTCGGCCTCCCAAAGTGCTGGGATTACAGGTGCGAGTTACCACGCCCGGCCGGGAAGGCCTCTTTGAAGGGGTGACATTGGAGTGGACACCTGAGTGAAGAGTGGGAGCCAGCCAGGAAGATATCTATGAAAAGCATATTCTTTTTTTTTTTTTTAAGAGACAAGGTCTCTGTCACCCAGGCTAGAATACAGTGGCACGATCATGGCTCACTGCAGTCTCAAACTCCTAGACTCAAGCCATCCTCCCCTCTCAGCCTCCCAAGTAGCATGCCACTACTCCCAGATAATTTTTTTTTTTTTTTGAGATGGAGTCTCGCTCTGTTGCCCAGGCTGGAGTGCAGTGGTGCAACTTTGGCTCACTGCAACCTCCGCCTCCCGGGTTCAAGCAATTCTCTGCTTCAGCCTCCCGAGTAGCTGGGGTTACAGGTGTGCACCACCAAGCCTGGCTAATTTTTGTGTTTTTGGTAGAGATGGGGTTTCATCATGTTGGCCAGGCTGGTCTTGAACTCCTGACCTTGTGATCCACCCACCTCAACCTCCCAAAGTGCTGGGATTCCAAGTGTGAGCCACGGAGCCTGGCCAGAAAAGCACATTCTATCCAAAGCAAACAGCAAGTGCAGATGCCCTGAGGTGGGAGCAAGCTCTGCGGGTTTGAGGAACCCAGAGGAGGTGGGGGTGGCTACAGCAGAGTGAGCAAGAGGTGAGGGGTGGGAGATGAGGCTGGAGAGGTAACAGGGCACAGCTCGTGGGCCAATATAAGGACTCTGGATTATGGCTGGAATGAGGCGGGAGCCCTGGGAGGGTTTGGGGGAGAGGAAAGAGAATCTGACATCTAGAAGGTAAAAAGATCCCTGTGATGACCAGGCGCGGTGGCTCACGCCTGTAATCCCAGCACTTTGAGAGGCCGAGGTGGGCAGATCACCTGAGGTTGGGAGGAGAATTGCTTGAACCCAGTAGGCAGAGGTTGCGGGGAGCCAAGATCTCGCCATGTGCACTCCATCCTGGGGAACAAGAGCGAAACTCCGTCTCAAAAAAAAAAAAAAGATCCCTGTGGCTCTGTGCGTGGAGTAGAGTGGGAAGACGAGAGGGATGACAAATGTCCAGGCAAGGGAGGGTGGGGGCTTGGGAAAAGGTGGAGGTAGCCCACTACCCTCCCCGACTCCTGCTCCTCACCTGTTTTTTGGCCCTGCTCAGCTCCAGGTCAAGTGCTTGGGCCAGCTCCAGCAGCAGGGCACAGGGCACAGCCGAATCCGTGGCCCCTACAAAGGGGGTCGATCCGGGTGGGAAGAGCTTCGAGTCATAATGGCAGGCAAGGGTGAGGTGACGGGCAGCCCTTGGGTCCAGTGTGGCCACCACATTGCCAAAGTCCACTGGCCCCAGGGGTGTTGAGGCTGTGAAGGGATCCAGCTCCACGTGCCAACCTGCTGTCAGGGACCGCAGCGTGGCCTCCAGGAACTAGCGGCAAGAGAGAGGTGGGAGGGTGGACGGGGACTGGGGAGGAGGTGGGGAGAAGGGCCACGTGACCTGAGCCATGCAGAGCAGATGGGTTGACACTAAAGCCCCACTCTGATTGAATGGATTTCTTTCTTTCTTTCTTTTTTTTTTTGAGATGGAGTCTTGCTCTGTCACCCAGGCTGGAGTGCAGTGGCTTGATCTTGGCTCACTGCAACCTCTGCCTCCTGGCTTCAAGTGATTCTCCTGACTCAGCCTCCTGAGTAGCTGGGGTTACAGGCGCCCCCTACAACGCCTGGCTATTTTTTGTATTTTTAGTAGAGATGGGGTTTCACAATGTTGGCCAGCCTGGTATTCGAACTCCTGACCTCAAGTGATCTGCCTGCTTCAGCATCCCAAAGTGTTGGGATTACAGATGTGAGCCACTGTGCCCAGCCCCCTACTCTGATTAAAATCATTCCCTTGACAGTGCTGGTGAGTACCTACTGGGTGCCAGATGTTGGGGAGACCCCACCTCTTGAAGCCAGCAAGACTCATCACAGCTTACCCTTAAATAGCTCTCACTGTGTGCTAAGCCCTCTTCTAGGAACCATTTAGGGGAGGGACTGCCAATACATGACCCCATTTTACAGATGAGGAAATGGGCTCAGAGAGGTTAAGAAACTAGTCCAGGCCGGGCGCGGTGGCTCACGCCTGTAATCCCAGCACTTTGGGAGGCTGAGGTGGGCGGATCATAAGGTCAGGAGTTTGAGACCAGCCTGGCCAATATGGTGAAACCCCGTCTCACTAAAAATACAAAAAATTAGCCAGGCATGGTGGTGCACACCTGTAATCCCAGCTACTCAGGAGGCTGAAGCATGAGATTTGCTTGAACCTGGGAGGTGGAGGTTGCAGTGAGCCGAGATCGCGCCACTGCACTCCAACCCAGGCGACAGTGTGAGACTCCATCTCAAAATAAAATAAAATAAAATAAAATAAAAAAGAAACCAGTCCAAGGTCACAATCTAAGTGGATGAGGTAGCATTGGGACTCAGGCAGTATTTAAGTGACTTTTTTTTTTTGAGATGGAGTCTCGCTCTGTCACCCATGCTGGGGTGCAGTGGCGCAATCTCAGCTCACTGCAGTCTCCGCCTCCTGGGTTCAAGTGATTCTCGTGCCTCAGCCTCCCAAGTAGCTGGGACTACGGGTACCCACCACCACGCCTGGCTAATTTTGTATTTTTAGTAGAGATGAGGTTTCACCATGTTGGCCAGGCTGGTCTCAAACTCCTGATCTCGAGGGATCTGCCTGTCTCGGCCTCCCAAAGTGCTGGGATTAGAGGTGTGAACCACTGCGCCTGGCCTTTAAATGACTCTTCATGCTTTCTGGAAGACAACAGATACATTACAGCACCAGCTCGGAGCCAACCTGTTTGGGTTCAACTCTAGGTCTATGATTTTCTAAACATTGGGTCTCACTAGGTTGACTAGGCTAGTCTCAAACTTCTCAGGTGATTCTTCCACCTTGGCTTCCCAAAGTGCTGGGATTACAGGCATGAGCCACTGCACCCGGCTAAGGTCTACTACTTATTATCTGTAGGATTTGTGCAATGTGTATAACCTCTCTGAGCCTCAGTTTCCCCATCTGCATAATGAAGATCATATTGGTACCCACCTTATAGGGCTGTCTGTTGCCTATGCCTAGCACACAGTAAGCTTTTGGTGGGGGCATTAAGGGGGGCAGTACAGCCTGGTGGTTTGTTACCAGCATGGAGTCTAGAGTCCGATTAACTCCAGTCAGAGCCCCAGTTCCTCCTCTTAGCTTCTTTGGGATCTTGAACAGGATTCTTATTTCCCATTCCCTGGAGGGCTAGGGGGTCAGGGACTGGAGGTGGGTCCCTTTACCTTTCTGACTTGGAGATTTCCCGGGCTGCCCGGGGTTCGCACAACCAGCAGGGGGCGCAGATAAGTGCTCCAGAGACGCTGTGGATCCAGTTGTCCCACCACCCTCCGCAGCCGGGCTTCGGGGAGGCTTCCGATCAATGGGACCTTGGGAAGGAGGTGGGATAGGGAAGGGAAGAATGAGAGCAACCCCCCCATTTCAACCCTACCCCGGGCGCCGTCACCCGCGAGGAGCCCCGGGTTCTCTTCCTAATCTGCCGCCTCCAGCATCGGAGACTTCTAGGATAAATCCAAGGCTCAGGAAAAGTCCTTCCAAGACCATCCGGTCCAGCCTACCTCAAACTTGATGGGGAAATCGAGGCCCAGTGAGAGAGAGGGGAGATGGAGGAAGGGACTCTTCCAAATAGTTGACTAAAGGCGTAGAACCCTGAACCCCCCCGTCTTACTATTTCAGACCTTTCCTCTTAAAAGGAAGCTACTGTTGCAGAACCAGCCCGAAGCCTTATTCCTTTGGTAAGGGTCATGCGCTCAGATGACGAAGACGGTGGCATCTGCGGTTAGGGCCGTACGCTAAAGCCACGTCAACCCTGGGTAACAGCGGGGAGGGAATGAGGGTCCCCGCGGTGCCCGGGTCCCCGCCCAGCCTCACCCGCAGCTCCCGGCCCAGCGGCAGCTCCTCAGTCCTGCGGTGCCAGCCGCTCCAAATGGTGTAGAACGCCGAGCCCACGGCCAGCGCCAGCAACAGAGGCAAGAGCCGAACCCGCGGTAGCAGGCGGCGCTTCGGCGGCAAGAGTGGCTCCATGAGGCCACGTTCCCCCAGCCGCAGGCGGGGTCGCCCGCGGCCCCCGGAACGCATGGCCGCTTTGCCCTGAAACCTGTACCAGACCACGGATTGAGTTTAGGCCCAGCCAAGTTCCTCCCCATGGAATCGGTGGGCCAATAAGCAACAGCTGCGGCTGCACCAGCCCACCCCACAGCGAGCAGCGAAACCAATAAGAACTACGGTCCTGAGGACACGCCTCCCAGCCTCCCTTAGGTATTGGGGTTGGTTCCCCTGAGAATGGCACGACCCAAATGGGAGCGCAAGAGAAGTAGGCTCCGCCTTAGCGGAGGAGGGAAAGCCAATGAACAGCGTTTGATCATGGAAAATATTCGATCTCCCGGGCGCAGGTCCATGCCCCTTCCGGATGTAGGCAGGGGATTGGTGGCGCAGGGTCGGAAAGATCAGTAGATACGTCAGTAACGCGTCCCAGAGGGAAGAGGGGCGGTGCCTGTCTCCGAAGCGAGGAGCGGATTGGCTTCACGGAGGCCGCGCCCCCGAAGTCACGGCCGGCGGGCATTTGGAAATAGCTTGTCATTTCCCTCCTTCAACCTGTACCATTCTTCAAGAAACGGTTTGAATCAGACTGCCTTTCCTTTTGTCTTCATTGTCATAAACATCTGCCCCCGTGTGGTTCTGACTGGCCGCGAACCCCTACCCGAAGCTTTTATTCCATCATTGTGCACCGTTGGTGGGGAATGCTGTGGCAACAGGCCACGCCTCCACTTACTGGTTGGCTTTGCGCAGGCGCCAACGGAAGTGGGTCGCAGGAAGAGGAAGTCCCGCCTCTCTCTCCTCAGGCAGCAGCAACGCGGAGGAAACGGGAGTGAACGGAGAGCGTAGTGACCATCATGTGAGGCCGGGCTAGGCTTAGGCGGCGGGAATGAGGTTGAGGGTGGATATTTGACCGATTGAGTGTGGGAAGGGTTGAGCAGAGCGGGGGGGGCAGGGGCAGATGTTTTAGGGATGCAGCGTCCTGCTTTTCTCCTGATGAGTTTGAGAACGGGCGTGGGGCCTTTGACGCATCGTGACTTCGGGAGAGGGGACAGCTTTATCAGATAACGCCCTGGGCTGGGCGCGGGGGCTCATTCCTGTGATCCCAGCACTTTAGTAGGCCAAGGCGGAGCATCGCTGGAACACAGGAGTTCGAGACTAGCCTAGGCAACATAGCGAGACCCCCGTCTCTACAAAAAAAAAAAAAAATTTAATTATGAAAAACATGTTTTAAACGATAACGGGAGTGGTCCTAGATAATTAGTCCTATTGAAATGAATGTTAAGGGGCAGCGATTTTACGAATACTGGGGGAGGCCGAGCGCGGTGGCTCAGGTTTGTAAATCCCAGCACTTTGGGAGGCCGAGGCGGGCGGATCACCTGAGGTCAGGAGTTTGAGACCAGCCTGGCCATTGTGGTGAAACCCCGTCTCTAACAAAAATACAAAAATTAGCCGGCCGTAGTGGCGGGCGCCTGTAATTGCAGCTATTCGGGAGGCTGAGGCCGGAGGATCGCTTGAACCCGGGAGGCGGAGGTTGCAGTGAGCCGAGATTGCGCCACTGCACTTCCAGCCTGAGCGACAGAGTAAGACTCCATCTCAAAACGAAACAAAAGAAATAAAACGAATAATGGGGGAGGGAAGTTAGGACTTTTAGAAATAATTATTTGAAATAAGGGACTTATCTTGATCATTTGAGCTGGAGACGGGTGCGTTTTCGACTTGATTCACAACTTACACGGATAACGAACGAGTCATTGACATGATTTTGCGCATTTATTAGTGCAGCAGATATTACATTGAATGCTTATGTATCAGACACTGCTTAAGCTACATAGGATACATCAGTGAATGAAACCTCTAGTCCCCAAGGGAAAAGAAAAATCTTTTTCTCTTTTTCTTTTTTTTTTTTTTTTTGAGACGGAGCCTTGCTCTGTTGCTCAGGCTGTAGTGCAATGGTGCGATCTCAGCTCACTGCAACCTCCGCCGCCTGAGTTGAAGCGATTCTCCTGCCTCAGCCTCCCGAGTAGCTAGGATTACAGGCACCCACCACCATGCCCAGCTAACTTTCGTATTTTTAGTAGAGACCAGGTTTCACCATGTTGGCCAAGCTGGTCTCAAACTCCTGACCTCAAATGATCCACCCGCCTCGACCTTCCAAAGTGCTGGGATTACAGGTGTGAGCCACCGTGTCTGGTCGGGGTTTTACTTTCTACACTGAGATGGGGGGAGGATGGGAGGGTTTTCTTTTGTTTTGTTTGTTTGAGATGGAGTCTCGCTCTGTCACCCAGATTGGAGTGTAGTAGCACGAGCTCTGTCTCCTGGGTTCAAGCGATCTTCCTGCCTCAGCCTTCAAAGTAGCTAGGATTACAAGCATGCGCCACCATGCCCAGCTAATTTTTTTTTTTTTTTTTTTTTTGAGACGGAGTCTCGCTGTCGCCCAGGCTGGCGTGCAGTGGCGCAATCTCGGCTCACTGCAGCCTCCGCCCCCTGGGGTTCACGCCATTCTCCTGCCTCAGCCTCCCGAGTAGCTGGGACTACAGGCGCCCGCCACCTCGCCCGGCTAATTTTTTGTATTTTCAGTAGAGACGGGGTTTCACCGTGTTAGCCAGGATGGTCTCGATCTCCTGACCTCGTGATCCGCCCGCCTCGGCCTCCCAAAGTGCTGGGATTACAGGCGTGAGCCACCGCGCCCGGCCTAATTTTTTTTTTGAGATGGAGTCTCACTCTGTAGCCCAAGCTGGAGTGCAGTGGCGCAATCTTGGCTCACTGCAACCTTCGCTGCTGGGGCTCAAGCGTTTCTGCTGCCTCAGCCTCCCAAGTAGCTGGGACTAGAGGGATGCGCCACCACACCTGGTTAATTTGTTTGCATTTTTAGAAGAGACAGGGTTTCACCATCTTGCCCTGGGTGGTCTCGAACTCCTGAGCTCAGGCGATCCACCTCGCGTCGGCCTCCCAAAGTGCTGGGATTACAGGCGTGAGCCATCGCATCTGGCCTAATTTTTGTATTTTCTAATTTGTATTTATTTATTTTTTGAGACAAGAGTCTCGCTCTGTCACCCAGGCTGGAGTGCAGTGGCATGATCTCACTTCACTGCAACCTCCGACTCTCTGAGTTCAAGCAATTCTTCTACTTTAACCTCCCGAGTAGCTGAGATTACAGGCGTGCACCACCACGCCTGGCTAATTTTCTGTTGGTTGTTTTTTTTATTGTTGTTTTGTTTTGTTTTGTTTTGTATTTTTAGTAGAAATGGGGTTTCACCATGTTGGCCAGGCTGGTCTCGAACTCCTCACATCAAGTGATCAATCCACCTTGACCTCCTAAAGTGCTAGGATTACAGGCATGAGCCACTGTACCCATACCCTGGGAGGGTTTTGAAGAGTGACATGTTATGATTTAGGTTTTAGCACAACCCCCTCAGACCACTCTGTGGAGAACAGACTGTCAGGGAACGTGGGTGGAGGCAGAGAGACCAGAAAGATTCCAGGACAGAGATGACAGAGGCTTAGGCCATGGTAAGAAACGGCCATTTCCTACAGATTTCATGTAGGATGTGAGGGAAAAAGAGGAATCAAGTTGACAAAAGAGTTTTTGCCCAGAGAACTAGAAGGATGGAGTTACCATCAAAGCAGATGGGGAACGCTGTAGATAGGGTAGGCTTGGGTGGTTGGGTGATCTGGATCCCGACCTGAGACATGCAGAGTTGAAAATGTCTGGCTGGGCACGGTGGCTCACGCCTATAATCTCAGCACTTTGGGAGGTCGAGGCGGGTGGATCACAAGGTCAAGAAATCAAGACCATCCTGGCCAACATGGTGAAACCCCCTGTTTACTAAAATACAAAAATTAGCTGGGCGTGGAGGTGGTGCATGCCTGTAGTCCCAGCTCCTCAGGAGGCTGAGGCAGGAGAATCGCTTGAACCCAGGAGGCAGAGGTTGCAGTGAGCCGAGATCACATCACTGCGCTCCAGCCTGGGCAACAGATCAAGACTCCGTCTCAAAAAAAAAAAAAATGTCTGTTAGGCATCTAGCTGATGATACTCAGAAGGCTGAACAGGAGGACAGATGTGGTGGGACAAGGTTGGGGAGACACTGAAGCCAAGGCCCTGATCACCCATCCTCACAGCTCCAGCCTCTCAACTCCAGCCTCTCTCACTTATTGGTTCCATGTTTGTCCATGCAGGAGCCTCCTCAACAAGCCCAAGAGTGAGATGACCCCAGAGGAGCTGCAGAAGCGAGAGGAGGAGGAATTTAACACCGGTCCACTCTCTGTGCTCACACAGTCAGTCAAGAACAATACCCAAGTGCTCATCAACTGCCGCAACAATAAGAAACTCCTGGGCCGCGTGAAGGCCTTCGATAGGTGAGTGCTGGGTCCTGGGAGGTGTTCTCCGCAGGCCTGGAGAGGCCACTCCAGCTCCAGTCTGAAGAGCTCAAAGACAGCTGTCTCAGAAGCCTGGGGTGTATGGCCAGGCGTGGTGGCTCATGCCTGTAATCCCAGCACTTTGGGAAGGCAAGGCGGGTAGATCACCTGAGGTCAGGAGTTCAAGACCAGCTTAGCTAAAATGGCGAAACCCCATCTCTACTAAAAATATAAAAGCCAGGCGTGGTGGTGCACGCCTGTATTCACAGCTACTCAGGTGGCCGAGGCACAAGAATAGCCTGAACCCAGGAGGCGGAGGTTGTGGTGAGCTGAAATCGCACCACTGCATTGCAGCCTGGGCAACAGAGTGAGATTCTGTCTCAAAAAAGAAAATGATAATTTTCAATGGCCCTGTGAGGAAGGTAACGTGATTATCTTCCCTCTTAAAAAGGAGCAAACTGGCACAGAGAGGTGCAGTCCTTTGCCTCAGCCTCAACCTAAGGACTGGCAGAGTTGCTTTGGCAGCTTGGTCATCCCGGCCTAGCACCTGCACCCTTCCCCAAGCCATGCTGCTGGAGGGGGCGAGCAGCAGGCAGTAGGGGGCACTGTCAGAGGCACGCCCCTCACGCCCAGTGCCTCCCCTCCCTGTTCCCCACCAGGCACTGCAACATGGTGCTGGAGAACGTGAAGGAGATGTGGACTGAGGTACCCAAGAGTGGCAAGGGCAAGAAGAAGTCCAAGCCAGTCAACAAAGACCGCTACATCTCCAAGATGTTCCTGCGCGGGGACTCAGTCATCGTGGTCCTGCGGAACCCGCTCATCGCCGGCAAGTAGGGGCCGCCTGTCTGTTGACAGAACTCACTCCTCTGTCCTATGAAGACCGCTGCCATTGGTGTTGAGAATAATAAAGCTCTGTGTTTTTTTCTAGTGGTATCTGTTTCCAGAGCCTTGGGAGTGGGGTGGATTCAGGAGGGCTTGGGGGAGGCAGCTGGTATCGGACTGAATGGTGGGAGCAGGACCCCTGAGCAAGTGGAGAGGCCCTGGCTCTGCCCCATCGAGGCCTCACTTTCTCCATCTGCAAAGCAAACAGTTTGCATGGAAATGAGCGCCCAGTTGTGGCTCTGGAGAACATTTTAGCTCTCCTGCTTTAATCTTCCTGAGCTTCTCCTTGTCACTCTGTTGCTCTCTTCTCTACCTCTTATAATGAATTGGCCTCGCTTGACCAAAGTATCTTTTGGGGCCAGGCATGGTGGCTCACACCTGTAATCCCAGTACTTTGGGAGGTGGAGGCGGGCAGATCACCTGAGGTCAGGAATTCGAGACCAGCCTGGCCAACATGGTAAAACGCTGTCTCTACTAAAAATACAAAAACTGGCCGGGCGTGGTGTCTCACACCTGTAATCCCAACACTTTGGGAGGCCAAGGCGGGTGGATCACCTGAGGTCAGGAGTTTGAGATCAGCCTGGCCAACATGGTGAAACCCCGTCTCTACTAAAAATACAAAAATTAACAGGGCATGGTGGCAGGCACCTGTAATCCCAGCTACTCAGGAGGCTGGGGCAGGAGAATTGCTTGAACCCCGGAGATGGAGGTTGCAGTGAGCTGAGATGGCCCCACTGTACTGTAGCCTGGGTGACAGAGTGAGACTCCATCTCAAAAATTATATATGTGTATCTTTCAGCCTTTCTTTATGTTTGTTCCTTCAGCAAACATCCCCCAAATGCCCCCTGTGTGTCCAGCCCTGTGTTGCAGTGCAGGGGCACCAGGTACCCAGGAGCCTCTGGTCTGCCCTGAAAGACAGGAGGATTAGACAGGTGATGAACGCAGTCAGTGCCACCAGCACAGCGGCTGAGGTGAGAGCATTGCTTAAGCCCAGAAGTTTAGGACTAGCCTGGGAGAATGGTTGTGAGTTTTATAGACAGTGTGATACTATCTCTAAACTAAATAGATAAGAAACAGAAAAAAGGGCCGGGTGCAGTGGCTCACACCTGTAATCCCAGCACTTTGGGAGGCCAGGCGGGTGGATCACCTGAGCTCAGGAGTTTGAGACCAGCCTGGCCAACGTGGTGAAACCCTGTCTCTACTAAAAATACAAAATTAGCCAGGCATGGTGGTGCACGCCTGCGGTCCCAGCTACCTGGGAGGCTGAAGCAGGAGAATAGCTTGAACCAAGAGACGGATGTTGCACTGAGCTGAGATCGCGCCACTGCACTCCAGCCTGGGCAACAGATTCTAAGACTACCTCTCAAAAAAAAGGAAAGAAAGGAAGAAAGAAAAGAAAAGAAAGCAGTCAGTAGCTAAATATTACTGCTAGTGATCCTGGCTAACACTTGCTGAGCTGTTTAGGTGCCAGGCCAGGCTCAGCGCTTTTCAAACATCCTCCCAACAGCTCTGGCGCGGGCCTGTTAATTTATTATCCCCCTTTTCCAGAAGAAGGAACTGAGACACAGAGAGGCAATGTCACTTTGCGGGGACAACCAGCCAGGAAGTGGTGGTGCTGTGATTTAAACTCACCTCCAGAGCCTGTGGCTTCACCCCTGAGCTCTGCTGCCCCTCAGATTCAACTGCATTACCCTTGAGAGGAATTCTCTGACAAATTTGGGGAGATAAATGGAGGTGGGAAAGGGAGGTGGTATATACTGGGGGGATTAAGGAAATTCCCTGTGTTGCTCTGACACACACATCGTGTGCTCCCCATATCTTTGTTTTTTGTTGTTTTTTTTTTTTTTTGAGACAGGGTGTCATTCTGTCTGCCAAGCTGGAGTGCAGCAGCACCATCATGGCTCACTGTAGCCTTGACTGCCCAGGCTCAATTGATCCTCCTGCCGGCTTTTTGTAGAGATGGGATTTCACTGTGTTACCCAGGCTGATCTTGAACTCCTGGGCTCAAGTGATCCTCCTGCCTCGGCCTCCCAAAATGCTGGAATTACAGGTGTGAGCCACTGTGTTGGGCCCTCCCCCCATATCTTTGTCTCTGCCTATGTCTCTGTCCTCTGGATATAGGCAAACACCTGAAAGTTGCAAGAGTTTGCAGGCCTGAGGTCAGTGCACACTCAGTGAGATGTGTGCCCTGCTCTGAGCTGTGAAAGGCACAGCCTGGGGCCGGGCGTGGTGCCTCACGCCCTGTAATCCCAACACTTTGGGAGGCCAAGACAGGCGGATCACGAGATCAAGAGATCAAGACCATCCTGGCTAACATGGTGAAACTGTGTCTCTACTAAAAATACAAACATTAGCTGGGTGTGGTGGTGCACGCCTGTAGTCACAGCTACTCGGAAGGCTGAGGCGGGAGAATCGCTTGAACCTGGGAGGTGAAGGTTGCAGTGAGCCGAGATCGCACCACTGCACTCCAGCCTGGCAACAGAGTGAGACTCCGTCTCAAAAAAAAAAAAAAGAAAAAGAAAACAAAAAAAAGAAAGGCACAGCCTGAGATACACTGTGAGCATTGTGGCAGAGCTGGGACCCTGCAGCAGAGAGAGGCCTGATACACAGAAGGCAATGGGTTATGGGGTTATAAAGGCGTGCATTTACTACATCTAATTGGAAACAACCATCTGTGGGGTGGATACTAGAGCTATTTTTTTTTTTTTTTTTTTTGAGAAGGAGTCTCACCCTGTTGCCCACAGGCTGGAGTGCAGTGGCACCATCTCTGCTCACTGCAACCTCCACCTCCCGGGTTCAAACAGTTCTTCCTCAGCCTCCCAAGTAGCTGGGATTACAGGCGCCCGCCACCACGCCCAGCTAATTTTTGTATTTTTAGTAGAGACAGGATTTCACCATGTTGGCCAGGCTAGTCTCAAACTCCTGATCTTGTGATCCACCCGCCTCGGCCTCCCAAAGTGCTGGGATTACAGGCGTGAGCCACCACGCCCGACCTAAGTGATCCCATTTTATAGATGAGATCGTTGAAGCCAAGAGAGGGTAAGCAACTTGCTCGGGGTCACCCAGTTAGGAAACAATGGTACTATTTCCAAACCCGGGGAGCCAGGTCCTCCAGAAAAAGTCTTAACTCTTGGGTAGCAAGATGGAGCTGCAGTGTCCTAATCTATAAAGTTGGGACAAGGGGCATGCAACAGGAGGTCACCCGGGGTTTGGTTCTGATACAGGAAGCAACACAGCCCTGGAGTCAGTCTGGGTTCCATTCCTGCCTGCCTTCTCAGGTGTGGTATTGACCTGTAATTACTGGGAAATGGAAATCAGTTTCCCCACCTTGCGGGTTGGCACCCAAGATTCCAGTCCTGGCCGCTCTGCTCAGCTTGTCTGAATTTCCTTCCTCACCTCCTGCCCCACATGCTTTCCAATGCGTCCGCCTCCAGAGGGTGAAATAAAAGTAGAGGTGGCAGGCATAGCCCTGGGCAAACTGGCCCAGCATTGTCCACACACCAGCACCAGGCACGGTCCTAAGCGTCACTCATGGGCATGCCAGGCGACCCTAGGATGCAGGTAACATCTGATCGTATATGTCACAGATCACATGTAACATGGCCACTTGGGGACTCTCTTAGGAGGGACAGTGGCAGCAGGTGTCCCGTTTTCTTGTAGCAACACATGGATAAATTTGAGTAAAGCCACCACGGGCCCCTACTCCACCAGGCAGCCTGCCTCGGTCATTTCCCTTTGTGACACTGCCAAGAAGATGCTTCTACCCAAGAAAGAAAAAAAGCAACTGTTTCTTATACTTTATTTACAAGAGCCTTGCCCTAAGGCCCCCACCCCGCGAGAACCCACAAGGCAGGGTGTAGGGGAATTGGGCAGCAGGGCCGCAAGCTTGAAAAGGCTGAGTTCAGCTTTGGGGCATGTCGGTCCAGGGAGCCACAGACCCCAGGGAAAATGCTCGACAACACCCATACGGTAACTTAAGTGTGCATATGTGTAGGGGGAGGATTTAGGGGTGAGGGTCTTGTGGGTGTATGTACAGGTGGTCCAGCCACAATGAGACTGTCAGCATGCCCCCTCATTCTCCCAGGTTCCAGGGGCCACCCATCTAAGGACAGTGGGGATATGCGTCCTCACTCCGCAGCCAGCAGTGGCCCTGGCTGCTCTGGATATAAAGTTTCAGCTGCGAGGCCTGCCTTGCCTCACCTGTGCTCCGGTCCACACCAAATCACCCTCTCAGGACCCAGTGCCTCTCACATTACTATCTCCAGCTCGCCCCTCTCCTGAGAGCTCCAGACCCTTACACTCAGTGTCCTGTCATGTCCTACAAACACTGCCAGCCTAACCTTTCCAAAGAGCACACGTGGTTCTCCCCCTACCCGAACCCAATCTCTCTATCTTTAGTCTCTCCACCATCCAAAGCCAAGGAGTCCTCTCTGCTGCTGTGTCCTCATGTGCTCCTTCATGAAATCCTCTCACCTCCACCTTTTAAACAGCTTCAAATCCGACTGCTTCATACCCCTCAGTGGCCTCCATCCTGGTCCAGCCACCATCACTTCCCACCTGCAGTCCCCTCCTTTCTGGGCTCCAGCTTCCACCCCTGCCCCTGATAATTTGTCCTCCTACAGGGCAGACAAGAAGGATCTGTTTAAAACATTAGCCCATTTGGGCCGGGCATGGTGGCTTATGCCTGTAATCCCAGCACTTTGGGAGGCTGAGGTGGGTGGATCACTTGAGGTCAGGAGTTCGAGACCAGCCTGGCCAACATGGAGAAACCCTATCTCTACTGAAAATGCAAAAATTAGCCAGGCATGGTGGCGGTGCCTGTAATCCCAGCTACCCGGGAGGCTTGAACTCGGGAGGTGGAGGGTGCAGTGAGCTGAAATTGCACCACTGCACTCCAGCCTGGGTGACAGAGTGAGACTCCGTTTAAAAAAAAAAAAAAAAGCCGGGTGCGGTGGCTCACGCCTGTAATCCCAGCACTTTGAGAGACCCGTGGTGGGAGGATTGCTTGAGCCCAGGAGTTCAAGACCAACCTGGGTAAGAGTGACATCCTCATTTTTTAAAAAATAAAATATTACCCCCAAGAGACACTCCTAAGAATCTCCAATGCACCTGAAATGAAATCCCAACTTGGGTGCCCCTGCCCACTTCTCTGTCTCTCCCCACCTGTTGGCTCTGACTTAATTCTACTCCAGCCAAGGCTGAGCGCCTTCCTGCCCAAGGGCCTTTGCCTATGCTATCGCTTCCGCCTAGAATCCTGTTCTCCAGCTCTCCCCAAAGTGATCTCTTTCACCTCTTTCGGGGATGGCTTAAGTGTCACCTCCTTGGAGACGCCTCCCAGACCACCCTAGGCCCCCTTCTCGCTTCCCTTCATAACCATTCCATAGCGTGTGTGGAACTTGATGTTTTGTGTTCACGGTCTGTTTTCCCCACTCAGTTGTCATCTCCAGAAGGGCAGGGACCTTTTTTCTGTTTCCTTCACCATTTCCCCAGCGTCCTCCGTACTGGGCCTGGCACGCAGTTGGCACTCAATAAATCCATGCTAACTGAACAGACACGGGGATCCCGCCCCCTAGCAGTAACTTTCCAACTCCCGGCTGGCCTCATTCCCAGGCCCTGGGAGGGTCCCCGAGGACAAGCCGCGGCTGGTGGGGACCTCGCCCGGGCCGGAGCCGGAGGGCAGGGCCCGGAAGGCGCGCTCCGGGAGCTGGCGTTGCTCCTCGCCCAGGCTGCGGCGCAGGCGGCAGTGGTGCCAGCCACGGCGGATCTCCGACTGCACCTGTGAGACGATGGCGCTCAGAGGCGGCGCCGTACCCCGCGCTGCCGCCAGAGGGCGGGGGCGGCGGCCGGGTCTCTGCCTACCTCCTTGTTGATGAAGCAGTAGAGGACGCTGACCAGGAAGCCCTGCCCAGAGGAGGCGCGGAGGTTACATCGCTGGTGGGGGCAGGACTGTAACCGCCTCCGCGCCTCCCTCCCCGTTTTTTGTTTGTTTGTTTGTTTGTTTGTTTTTAAGAGTCGGAATATTGCTCTTGTTGCCCAGGCGGGAGTGCAGTGGCACGATCTCGGCAAACGGCAACCTCTACCTCCCGGGTTCAAGTGATTATCCTGCTTCAGCCTCCTGAGTAGCTGGGATTACAGGCGCCCTCCACCACGCCCAGCTAATTTTTGTATTTTTAGTAGAGACGGGGTTTCATCCTGTTGTCCAGACTGGTCTCGAACTCCTGACCTCTGGAGATCCACCCATCTCAGCCTCTCAAAGTGCTGAGATTACAGGCATGAGCCACCGCGCCTAGCCTTTGTAACTGTTCTCTTAATAAGCTCGCGCCCTTGCCAGGCCCTGAAGCACCTCAGCTACCGCCACCGTGGTCCTAAACTATTAGGGTCATCTTTTCACTGGTTCCTGGCTTCCCCCACACCAACCCCACTGCTTGCTCCAGAAGGTTAGCTGAGCACTGCTGGCTGGGGGTTAAGAACTGTGGACCCTGGAGGTGGGCTCCCTGGACTCAAAAACCACCTTTCCACTTTCTTTCCCATTTGGGCAAGCTGCTTAACCACACTGTGCCTCAGTTTCTTCATCTGGAAAATGGAGCAGTAATATAGTAGTAGTTGTGAAAATTTAGGGTGATTGTGTTGCCGTTTTGTTTTTTGCTTTTTTTTTTTTTTTTTTTGGAGACAGGGAGACAGAGTCTTGCTCTGTTGCCCAGGCTGGAGTGCAGTGGCACGATCTCAGCTCACTGCAAACTTGGCCTCCCAGGTTCAAGCGATTCTCCTGAATCAGCCTCCCAAGTACCTGGGATTACAGGCATGCGCCCCCACGCCTAGCTAATTTTTTGTGTTTTTAGTAGAGACAGAATTTTTGCCATGTTGCCCAGGCTGTCTCAAACTCCTGAGCTCAGGCAATACGCCCGCCTCAGCCTCCCAAAGTGCTAGGATTACAGACGTGAGCCAACGCACCCAGCCTGTTTTTGTTTTTTGAGACAGGGTCTGGCTCTGTCACCCAGGCTGGAGTGCAGTGGAGTGATCATGGCTCACTTCATCACTTCAACCTCAACTCCTGAGCTAGAGGGATCCTCCCACTTCAGCCTCCAGAGTGGCTAAGACTACAGGCATGCACCACCACACCAAGTTAATTTTTTTTTTGTTTTTGAGACAGGGCCTTGTTCTGTTTCCCAGGCTGGAGTGCAGTGGCACAATCTCAGCTCAGTGCAACCTCTGCCTCCCAGGTTCAAGCGATGTTCCTGCCTCAGCCTCCTGAATAGCTGGGATTACAGGCACGTGCCACCTAGCCTCGCTAATTTTTGTATTTTAAGTAGAGACAGGGTTTCTCCATGTTGGTCACGCTGGACTGGCCTCCTTGGCCTCCAAAGTGCTGAGATTACAGACATGAGGCACCGCGCCCGGCAGCTAATTTTTTATTTTTGGTAGAGATGAGGATCTTGGCCAGGCGCGGTGGCTCACACCTGTAATCCCGGCGCTTTGGGAGGCTGAAGCGGGCGGATCACCTGAGGTCAGGAGTTCGAGACCAGTCTGGCCAACATGTTGAAACCCCATCTCTACTAAAAATACAAAACTTAGCCAGGCGTGGTAGTGGGCACCTGTAATCCCAGCTACTTGGGAGGCTGAGGCAAGAGAATCGCTCGAATCTGGGAAGTAGAGGTTTCAGTGAGCTGAGATGGCACCATTGCACTGCAGCCTGGGCAACAAGAGTGAAACTCTGTCTCAAAAAAAAAAAAATTAGTCAAGTGTGATGGCTTGCTCCTGTGCTCCCAGCCACTTAGGAGGCTGAAGCAGGAGGATTGCTTTGGACCAGGAGTCCAAGGCTGCAGTGAGCTAGGATCACACCCCTGCACTGGATCCAGCCTGGACAACAGAGGGAGACCTCATCTCTAAAAAAATAAAAATAAATAAAACAGTAACCCCCATCCCTCAGTGGACACTCCTCATCTCTTTTCTTGCTTTATTCTCCCTCTAGGCACATCTCACCATCTGACATTCTATATGCTTTCCTTTTTTTTTTTTTTTTTCTTGAGACATGATCTCCCTCTGTGGCCAGGCTGGAGTGCAGTGGCGTGATCTCGGCTCACTGCAACCTCCACCTCCCGGGTTCAATCGATTCTCCGACCTCAGCCTCCTGAGTAGCTGGGATTACAGGCGGCCGCCACCACATCCAGCTAATTTTTCTATTTTTTTAGTAGAGACAGGGTTTCACCATATTGGTCAGGCTGGTCTTGAACTCTTGACCTCAGGTGATCCGCCTGCCTCGGCCTCCCAAAATGCTGGGATTACAGGTGTGAGCCACTGCGCCCAGCTGTATGCCTTACTTCTATAGTGTGTTTAGTGTGTCTTTCCCACTGGAGGGTAGGGACCATTTGGTTCTTGGCTGTATTCCTGTGATAAGCCTGGAGGAGTGCTTAGCATATACACATGCTCAGTAATTTTTTGCTGAATTTAATGAATGAACAGCCTTGTCCACTGAGACTAGTATTTTCCCCACTTTAGAGATGAGAAAACAGGCCGAATGAGGTGAAGCAGGTTGGGGACTCAGGTAAACCAAGCAAGTGTAAGGTGGGCCTTCAATTTTGGAATGAATCTTTCCTTAGATTCTGCACGTTGGCACCTCACTTACCTCTCCCTACCCTCAACCCTGAGGTGAAGGCCACACAGCTGGCAAACAGCTAGAAAGTGACAGAACCTGAATTTGGCCTCAGCTGTGTCCAGCTTCGAAGCCCTCACTCTTCACTAGCAGGCAGCACTGCTGGGGCCGCCAATCTCCTGTCCTGGTCCCTGCTGCTCCCCACAGCCCAGGACAGTCCTAGCTCAGTATTTTGTATCGAATGAATGAACGGGCTGGGCGCCATGGCTCACGCCTGTAATCCCAGCACTTTGGGAGGCCGAGGCGGGTGGACTACCCAAGGTTAGGAGTTGGAGACCAGCCTGGCCAACATGGTGAAACCCCGCCTCTACTAAAAATACAAAATTAGCCAGGTGTTGTCGCACATTCCTGTAATCCCAGCTACTCTAGAGGCTGAGGCAGGAGAATCGCTTGAACCCGGGAGTCAGAGGCTGCAATGAACCGAGATCGCGCCACTGTACTCCAGCCTGGGCGACAGGGCGAGAATCCGTCTCAAAAAAAAAAAAGAATGAATTAATTAATGAACGAACTAAATCCCATCTTCCCACCCCATTCAGTGGCTGCACCAGAGAACGACTGTAGCTTTCGTGCCCCTCTGGGGAGGAGGCCCTGGGTGGAAGGATGGAGCCCCTGCACCCTGCCTGAGCACCTGGAAGGAGCTGAGGAAGATCTCAAAGCCGAGCTTGGCGAAGCGCAGGGCGCCCCGGGCCTGTTCCTCTGTCACGGGAGCAAACACCACCTCGTGGACACCCAGCAGGGGCACCAGCGTCAGCGTGGAGCGAGCCAGCCTGGGGAGAGAGGGCGGCAGCAGTGATCCCGCAGCCCTGGTTCCCCATCTCGCACCCGGCCCCTTCCCCTCGGTCCCCAACGCATGCCCTCACCTCAGCCGGTAATCCCGGCAGCGCATTTGCCGTGTCCTCAGCTTGGACAGGAGAATGCCAAGAATGCGGATAAAAATGAGGAAATTAATCTGTGGGGAGAGATAAGGGCTGAGCCAGCCGCGATCCCATTCTGAAGGGGCAGGAGGAGGTGGCAGCCCACTTCCCAGAATGGGAAATCCCTGAGGGCGGCCTGGTGGAGGCGGGACCGATCCTACCAAGATGGTCATGAGGATGGGGGTCCGTATAATCCACCAAATGGCCTTGACTTCGTTGCGCTCCCAGCACCTGGGGAAGGCGGAGTAGAGCTAAGAGATAGAAAAACTCTAGACTCACCGATCACCAAGCTCATTTGCTCGCTAGGCCCCGCCCACCGCACTTGAGACCACACACATTCTCTAAGGTCCCGCCCATTACGATCCAGGCCCCACCCCCTCCCCTTGCCGATTGCCCTGGAACACAACCTTTCCTAGCTCCCCATTACTTCGGATCCCGCCCACGTATCCCCAGCACCGAATAGCCTTCCGACCCTGCCCACATGTCCATCACAACCCGCCACAGTCCCTCAAAGCCCCGCCCACCTCCCACGCCCCGCCCCAGACCCTGCAACTCACTGCGTGTTCTCGTACAGGTACCTGACGATCACCCAGGGAATGACGAAAAGCGCGGGGGCCCCTGTGCAGACCCCGACCCCGCCCCCCCACCCCGCCGCAGCTGTCAGCGCGCTCACGGGCCCCGCCAGGCCCAAGACCCGCGGAATTCCTCTGTCGGGGTGGGGAAGGCAGAAGCCTAGAGACGGGAGGAGACCCGCAGAGGCCAACCAGCAGGGCAGTTGGGGGAGCCGAGGAGAGGCGCGCTGGGTTGGGCGGGGGACGGGATCGGAGCTCACCCCAGCCGAGGAGCAGGTAGTAGCGGAAGTGGCCCTCCTCGGAGCCTCCCACGAGCACCAGGAGACTGTGCAGGTAGACGCCCTCCACCAGCAGCCACGTGTAGTTGGCACCCACGCAGTACTGGGTCACGATCTGGGCCGTGCGGCAGGCAGCGAGGGCCTAGGGAGGGGCCAGACCGGTAGAGGGGTAGTCAGCGCTGCCCGGGTGTCTCCCAGTCTCCCCCAGCTTTGATCGCCCTTCCACCCCGTCTCTTGCCATCAAAGGTTCTTCCACTCTGTGTCCCCAGTGAATGGTATCTGTGATTGGTTTCTCTCACCCTATTCCCTTTCCCTGTATGGACTCTCCCACTCTGAACCCCTTAACAATTGGTATCTGGTAGGGCGCGGTGGCTCACGCCTGTAATCCCAGCACTTTAGGAGGCCGAGGTGGGCGGATCACCTGAAGTCAGGAGTTGGTGACCAGCCTGGCCAACATGGTGAAACCCTGTCTCTGCTAAAAATACAAAAATTAGCCAGGTGTGGTGGCAGGCGCCTGTAATCCCAGCTACTCGGGAAGCTGATGCAGGAGAATCGCTTGAACCCGGGAGGTGGAGGTTGCGGTGAGCCGAGATTGCACCACTGCACTCCAGCCTGAGCGACAGAGGGAGACTCCGTCTCAAAAAAAAAAAAAAAAAAAAAAAAATCAGCTTCTTTTTTGAGACTCCATCTCAAAGAAACAAAACAAACAAAAACAAAACAAAAAATAATTGGTATCTTCCATCATTGCCGTCAGTTCCCCCCTAGATCCCCAAAATGTGACCTCTGTCACTGGTCACCCCAGCTCCTTCTAAGAACTGAACTCCCTGCCAGTACCCACATTATGGACTCTCCTGCCCTATGGCTTCCTCTTTTTTTTTTTTTTTTTTTTAGACGGAGCCTTGCTCTGTCGCCCAGGCTGGAGCGCAATGGCACGATCTCGGCTCACTGCAATCTCTGCCTCCCAGGTTCAAGTGATTCTCCTACCTCAGCCTCCTGAGTAGCTGGGACTACAGGCATGTGCCCCATGCCCAGCTAATTTTTGTATTTTTAGTAGAGACGGGGTTTCACTATGTTGGTCAGGCTGGTCTTGAACTCCTGACCTTGTGTCCTGCCTTCCTCGTCCTCCCAAAGTGCTTGGATTACAGGCATGAGCCACTGTGCCTGGCCCCTCTTATTTTATTTTATTTCATTTTATTTTTTTGAAACAGGGTCTCAATCTTTCGCCAGATTGCACTGGCACTATCACAGCATCACAGCTCACTGCAGCCTCGACCTGATGGACTCAAGTGATCCTACCATCTCAGCCTCCCAAGTAGCTGGGAGTACAGGCGAGGGCCGCCATGCCTGGCTAATTTTTGTATGTTTTTGTAGAGGTGGGGTTTTGCTATGTTACCCAGGCTGGTCTTGAACTCCTGGGCAAAAAGCGATCTGCCCACCTCAGCCTCCCAAAGTGCTGGGATTACAGGCATGAGCCACTGCCGGGCCACGCTATGGCTTTTTTTTTTTTTTTTTTTTTGCGATGGAGTCTTGCTCTGTCACCCAGGCTGGAGTGCAGTGGCGCAATCTCAGCTCACTGCAACCTCTGTCTCCTGGGTTCAAGCAATTCTTCTGCCTCAGCCTCCTGAGTAGCTGGGATTACAGGTGTCCGCCACCACACCCAGCTAATTTTTGTATTTTTAGTAGAGACAGGGTTTCACCATATTGGCCAGGCTGATCTTGAACTCCTGGCCTCGTGATCTGCCCGTCTTGGCCTCCCAAAGTGCTGGGATTACAGATGTGAGCCACTGTGCCTGGGTGCGTGCGGCTTCTTAACAATTGGTATGGTCCAACTTTCAACAAGTTAGTTCTTACCACGTCTGCTCCCAGACTCTAGTCTCTCCCACCCTGTCTCCTAGTAACAAACTGGCACCTGCCACATCCCCACCCCCACTTACTTTCTCGTATCCTGCCATGCCTCACCGCCAGCAGGTGGATTCTCTCATTGGTGAAAAAGTTCAATGATGGGTGAAATAATGAGGGAGAGGAACGGAAAATTCCAGTATGGGAGTGATAGGCTGGGAGAGTTAAATGATGGCAGAGGCCGAGTTGGGAGGTTCCCTCTCCAAATGTGTCTTGATCCCCCACCCCAAGACACATTTGGAGAGGGACCCTCCCAACTCAGATAAACTGTGGAGAGTGTAGGAGATAGGAAATGGACTGAGAACTTCCTGGTCCCACCAGAGAAGCAAGATTCCCATTTGGAGGAACGGAAGGAGGATGCCCACCTGGTTCCACAGCGCAAGGGCCTGGTCCCCAAGGTAGGGGCCAGGTCGAGGTAGCAGACGGTCTCGGCTGAGAATGGCCGCAGCTCGCAGCATGAAAGACGTGAACAGGTTGATGTGGATATAGTTTCTAGTGCAATGTAGCCGCCTAGGGGAATTTGGAAGGCAGTGTGGGGGCCCCTGGAGAGCTGTCCTCAGCCACACAGAGTTCTATTTTTTTTTTTAAACAGGGTCTCACTCTGTCACCCAGGCTAGAATGCAGTGACACAATCAGGGCTCACTGCAGCCTCAACCTCCTGAGCTCAAGCAATCCTCCTGTCTCAGCGCCCCCCTATAGCTGGTACCACAGGTGCACCACCAGTATGCCTAGCTAATTTTATTTGTCGTAGAGACAAGGTTTCACTATATTGCCCAGCCTGATCTCAAACTCCTGGGCTCAAGCGATCCTCCTGCCTTGGCATCCCAAAGAGCTGGGATTACAGGCATCAGCCACCGCTCCCGGCCACACAGAGCTCCTTTAACCACCCCCACTGCTCCCCATAGAACCACCAGTGGATAGCTGGACCTGGTGGAAACAGACCACCCCATCTTACTGGACAAACTGAGGCCGAGCTCACATCTCTGCCGCCACCACTCAGGGTTAAGGTCCCACCTGAACAAACTCAAGATGAGCAGGGCTAGCAGCAGTGTGGCGAGAGACAGGGAGTAGCCGACAGTGTACATGACCTGCAACCGCTCCAAGATGAGCCTTTGGTCCTGGTCGGGGCAAGAAGGGGAAGGGAACAAGGCTTGGCTCGAAGCCCCAGGCCCAGAGAGAGACTGGAAGGACCTCTGCTCTTTGTTTCTGCCCAAATACCCTATTTTATCTTGGGGAACTGCTTACCCTTATTTGAGAAGGGCTGACTCCACCCTTCAGCTCCAGGGCACGAGGCATGTGACCAGCCAACCAGAGATTTTTTTTTTTTTGAGACATGGTCTTGCTTTGTTGCCCAGGCTGGAGTGCTCTGGCAGGATCATGGTTCCCTGCAGCCTCGCCCCCCAGGGCCCAAGCGATCCTCCCACCCCAGCCTCCAGAGTAGCTGGAACTACAGGTGCGTGCCACCATGCCCAGCTAATTTTTGTATTTTTAGTAGAGACGGGGTTTCACCATGTTGGCCAGAATGGTCTCAATCTCTTGACCTCGTGATCCGCCCGCCTTGGCCTCCCAAAGTGCTGGGATTACAGGCATGAGCCACCACTCCTGGCCAAATTTTTATATTTTTTGTAGAGATGGAGTTTCACTATGTTACCCAGGCTGGTCTCAAAATCCTGCGTTCAAGCAATCATCTTCTCAAAGTGTTGGAATTATAGGCATGAGCCATTGACCTTGGCCCAACTACAGCATTCTTTTTTTTTTTTTTTTTTTTTTTTGAGATGGAGTCTCGCTCTGTTACTCAGGCTGGAGTGCAGTGGCACGATCTTGGCTCACTGCAACCTCTGCCTCCTGGGTTCAAGCAATTCTCATGTCTCAGCCCTCTGAGTAGCTGGGACTACAGGTGCATACCACCATGCCCAGCTAATTTTTGTATTTTTAGTAAAGACGGGGTTTTGACATGTTGGCCAGGCTGGTCTCAAACTCCTGACCTCAAGTGATCCACCCTCCTTGGCCTCCCAAAGTGCTGGGATTACAGGCGTGAGCCACACCACCCGGCCATCTTATTCTTTTCCATCACAGAAGGCAGTACATCTTTCTCTCTTTGAAGCAAGTCTGAGTTGAGTTTCTCTCACTTACAACCCAGAGGTCTGAACAGTCCAAGGGGTTTCAGGCCCTGCCTGAATCTACTGCCTTTCCATCTCTCCCTGGACTCCTAACCTGAAGCCCTCACCTCTTCTTACCAGAAAGGCCTCATTCTTCTCTGGGTTCTCACATTGTGTATGGTCTCTCCAAAGTCCCCATTGGCCATCACTGCCACACTGGCGGAGGACGAAACCTGCAGCCACTGTGGGGAAAGAAGAGAGGGAATTAAGGCACACAGAGAAAGAGATAAATACAGAAAGACAAACTGTGAGACAATAACAGAGAGGGAGAGAGCCGAAGTGGTGATGATGATGATGATGATGATGATGATGATAAACCCTTATATGGCATGTTATTTGTATTAATTTAATATTCATACTAGCCCATGGAATTAGTAATATCCTTAACCTAGTTCTACATATGGGAAAATTGAGGTACAAAATGTTAAGGCTGGGCGTGGTGGCTCACACCTGTAATCCCAGCACTTTGGGAGGCCAAGACAGGTGGATCACAAGGTCAAGAGATCGAGACCATCCTGGCCAACATGGTGAAACCCTGTCTCTACTAAAAATACAAAAATTAGCTGGGTGTGGTGGCGTGCGCCTGTAGTCCCAGCTACTCAGGAGGCTGAGGCAGGAGAATCGCTTGAACCCGGGAGGTGAGGTTACAGTGAGCCGAGATCACGCCACTGCATTCCAGCCTTGCAACAAAGCGAGACTCTGTCTCAACAACAACAAAAACAACAAAAGTTAAATAGGCCTGTAATCCCAGCGCTTTGGGAGGCTGAGGTGAGAGGATCCCTTGAGGCCAGGAGTTTAAGACCAGCCTGGGTAACATGGCAAGACTCTGTCACTGCCAATTTTTTAAAAAAAATTAGCTGGGTGTGTTAGCGTGCGCCTGTAGTCCCTGCTATTTGGGAGGCTGAGGCGGGAGGATCGCTTCAACCCAGGAGTTCCCAGGCTGCAGTGAACTATGATGCTGCCACCACATGGGTGACAGAGCCAGACTCTGTCTCAAAAAGAAAAAAATAGGTTAAATAAATAAAGTGTCTGAGGCGACATAGCTAGTTAGGTTAAGATGCCCAGAGACTGACAGACTCAGGAAAAGGAGACAAAATAAGAATCCTGTGGTGGCCGGGCGCGGTGGCTCATGCCTGTAATCCCAGAACTTTGGGAAGCCAAGGCCGGCGGATCACTTGAGGTTAGGAGTTCGAGACCAGCCTGGCCAACATGGTGAAACCCTGTCTGTACTAAAAATATATATATAAAAAAAAAGCCGGGTGTGGTGGCGCGCGCCTGTAATCCCGGCTTCTGTAATCCCGGCTTCTCGGGAGGCTGAGGCTGGAGAATCGCTTGAACCCGGGAGGCGGAAGTTGCAGTGAGCCGAGTTCATCCCACTGCACTCCAGCCTGGGCGATAGAGCGAGACTCCGTCTCCAAATAAATAAATAGAAAGAGATACGGAGACAGAGAAGCTGCGTTATGTGAGATAGGCAGGGTTGGACAGACAGGAGAAACCCAGCCTGCCGGAAAGGAGTAGGGGGCAAAGAGGAGCAGGAGAGGGGTGCAGGTGAGCTGTGGGACTCGGATGTAGGTGTCTGGGGGCAAAGGTTAGCAGTTGTTTGTGTCTGGGGAGGGCTCCGGGCCCAGGGAGCACCTCACCATGGTGGTGCCAGGGCAGGTACCAGGGGCAGGACGCACGGGCAGTGGCATTGGGTGCAGCATAGTCCCAGCAGACGTACATATCGAAGGACCCGTTACAGGCGAGGCCTGGGGGTGGGCACGGGGGCCAGGTGCCCAGTGGACCTACTGCGCAGTGGGCCAAGTGCTACTGCGCAGTGGGCCAAGTGCTTCTCCGCAGTGGGCCAAGTGCTTCTCCGCCGGCCACACCAAGCCCGGCTCTAGCCCCGCCCACTCGGAGGGCGTTCCGTCCCGGCTCGGCCACAAGCTCCTCCCACCAGCCTCAAAGCTCCGCCCCTCCTCCCGGCCCCACTCTGGGCTCCTCCCACCAAACAAGTCCCCGCCCCAGATCGTCCCACCCGGAAGGGCCCTTCCCAGTCTCCATCCCAAACCCCGCCCCCTTCAAGGTTTATTTCTGTGCAGGCCCCGCCCAAGGCTCCTCCCATTTCAAGCTTCCTCCCAGGCCTCCCCCAGGAACCGTGGTCCCGCCCCAGTTCCCACCATGCTCAGGTCAGTCCCCGGGCCTCTCCAGCCCACAGCGCCCCGAGATTTCTTCCCCGCCCGTCAGCCCAAGGCCCATCCCAAGCCCACCCCTCTCAGCCTCAGGTCCTCCCCGCGTCCCCAGCCCTCCTGGTCACACCTGAAGGCGGTTCCGCGGCTGCCAAGGTCTCCTGGCACTCCCTGCGGTACCGTTCCCAGCGCTGGTACAGCTCCCCCGCCGTCTGCCCCTTAGAGCCTGTCTAGGAAAAGAAAGAAGGGAGGACCCCCCCAGACCGACCCCCGCTCCCAGGCTGCTAGGTCCATGTGGCCCAGAAGCGCCCCAGAGAGACTTTGAGGGTCTGTTGCGTGTTGTTCGGGAGTCTTGGGTAGCTTGGAAACCAGTTCCAAGTCTTGGGGTGGGGTGCCTGGAAGCCACCCACTGGAGTTGCTATGGGAGACTGAAAACCTTCAAGAAAATTGGGGAGGGGGTGGCTGGAAATTATCAGGAGGACTTGTTGGGGGAAGAAAAGGGAGTGGAAACGATAATCAAAACTCGAATCTGGGCCCGGGCGCGGTGGCTCACGCCTGTAATCCCAGCACTTTGGGAGGCCGAAGCGGGTGGATCACTTGAGGCCAGGAGTTCGAGACCAGCCTGACCAACATGGTGAAATCCCCGTCTCTACTAAAAATCCAAAAATTAGCCAGGCATGGTGGAGTGCGCCTGTAGTCCCAGCTACTCGAGAGGCTGAGGCGGGAGAATCGCTTGAACCCGGGAGACGGAGGTTGTAGTGAGCCGAGATCATGCCACTGCATCTCAGCCTGGGTGACAGAGTGAGACTCCGTCTCGAAACAAACAAACAAACCACCACCCAACAACTTGAATCTGGGCAAGCGGGACAGTCTTGAAACTCTCTTTGCGCTGAGGGAAGCCTCCCCCCCCCACCCCGAGACAGAGTCTCACTCTGTCACCCAAGTTAGAGTGCAGTGGCGCGATCTCGGCTCACCGCAACCTCTGCCTCCCGGGCTCAAGCGATTCTCCTGCCTCAGCCTTCCGAGTAGCTGGGATTACAGGCGGCCGCCACCACGCCCGGCTAATTTTTGTATTTTTTTTAGTAGAGAGGGAGTTTCACCATGTTGGCCAGGCTGGTCTCGAACTCCTGGCCTCAAGTGATCCACCCGCTTCGGCCTCCCAAAGTGCTGGGATTACAGGCGTGAGCGACAGCGCCCTGACGACGGAAGCCCTAAAACCGTCCCCATACCTCCCTCCAAGCCTGGAGCTCCTCTGGCTCCTCGCTTCCTCACCTCCGCCCTCTGGAGCAGCAGCCCGCACAGTGAGAGCCGCAGCAGCAGCTGCAGGATCGGAGAGGTAGTCATCGTGAGGGCGGCGAAGGGTCTGGTTCGTGCAGGGGCGATCAGGCCTGGAGGGTCCCAGGGCAAGGTCAGCACCTCTGCCCTCCTACTCCAACCCCAGCGTCACCCCGCCTCAGGGATTCACACACAGGGGCAGACGGCTGGGGAGCCGTATACACGCGGGACTCCGAGGCAGCGCACCCGCTCCCGCAACTCCCAGGCGTGATGATCTGGGGGGAGGGAGAGGCACGCGGAGTGGGTGGAACTCCGGTGGTGGGCGGGGCCCCTTAAGTGATTCCCCGGCCTCCCCTGACTGTTGTTGGGGCAGCAAAGGTGGAAGGGGGGGGTGTTTGCTGAGCGGGCGGTTGCCCTAGAGCTACGCTGGGCGGAAGTGTCAGTGTCACCGAAGTCTGGACCTACAGACTCCTGGGAACCCGGGGACCGCCTTGGAGAGGAGGGGGTAGAAACCGTCAGCCTAGACCCCTTTTCTATGGGGAACTGAAAAACTTGAAGGTTTTCAGTACCCCCTAGTGGGGTACTTGAAACGCCCATCTGAGTTCCCACAGCCTGGTGGAGAACTTGAAACGCCCATCCGAGCTCCCACTCTCCAAGCCCAAAGGGTTTTCTAGCACACATAGGAACCTGACCTTACAAAACTTTCCCCGCTGGGGGTAGATAAAGCCCAGAGTAAGTGGAACAACCCTTTCCCAGCATCCAAATACTTAGGGACTAGAGAAGCGACAGATCCGGGGTTAGATGTGCAGATGCCTGGAAATCGGTCTAACGCCCGACACCCACTCACCCGCGCCCCCGCGGCTCCACGTAGAGAAAGACGGAAGCAGAGAGGATCTCAGGTCGAGCCTCAGAAGGACAGACAACGGCGTCACAGACACAAGAGACAGAAATGTAAAGACTGAGAGGCGCAGAGACGGAGGGACAGAATGAGACCCCCAGCCAGAGACCAGAGAAAAACAAACAGAGAAAGAGACGCAGATGTGGGCTAGGAGACAAAGAAGAGGCAGAGACGTGGAGGGAGACAGAGCAGGGGAAAGAGAAGTTATCTAGCAGCTAACCAGAGATGGAAACACGCAGACAGAGACATCAAGAGACAGAGATGAGCAGAGATGGTGGTGGGCACAGAGACAGAGAGACAAAGGCAGGGCAGAGAAGCAGAGAGGGAGAGTGCCAGAGACTTGAGAGGTCAAGGGGGGGCAGGGAGAATGGGCTGGGATTGGGGAGCCCTCACCTGTCCCCAGTCCTGCTCCTGGTCACTTGCTCCTGCAGCCCCTGCCACCGCTGCCTCCAACTGCCTTGTCTCGGCTCTGGGAGAGGTGACAGGCGCTGGCAGCCCGGGGTGATGGGAGGGGGCGGGGCCAAGGCGGGACAGGGAACGGAAGCGGGGAGCTCTGGGGCAGAGAGCCGAGCAGGGGGCAGTCATCAAGGTCATGAGGGAGGGCAGTTACTGAATTGTCCTTATCGTCCTGAGGACCCCTGCACCAAGTGTGTACAATCTCTCATGCTGTCCCACCCACAGGTACCCGCCCCCACCGCCACTCATTCCCAGAGCCTCAGTCACTCAATCAAACATGCAGTGTCACACACAATCCCATAGGCTGAGCCATGGAAAGGCACAGTCACAGAACCTCACAAGCTGTTACTCACACAGTCACACATTCAGTCACACCCATACAGTCCCATGGTCACACCCAGACAGCCACAGTCTCTCACTCACAGGTGGACAGTCATCCACTGTGACACACAGTCATGTACCCAGGGCTATGGACTCCTGCACACACACAGTAACGCTCACAGTGTCTCACAGTTCCAACAACACTGTCAATCACCCACACATTCACGCAATCACCGGGTTTCATCACAAACACTGTTGCCCTGCTAGCCTGTGTGGCCCAGGAGGGTAGAGCCAGGACATCTGGGTCACCACTGGGTCCCCAAAATCGTTAAGAGCAGGGGTTCAAGGAAGGATTGTCATGAAATAAATATACGCAGTATGCAGTTGTGTGGTTACTCGCAGACATAGAATTTTTTTTTTTTGAGACAGAGTCTTCCTCTGTTGCTGAGGCTGGAGTACAGAAGCATGATCTCAGCTCACTGCAACCTCCGCCTCCTGGGTTCAAGCAATTCTCCCACCGCAGCCTCCCAAGTAGCTGGGATTCCAGGCACACACCACCACAACCGACTAATTTTTGTATTTTTAGTAGAGACGGTGTTTCACCATGTTGCCCAGGCTGGTCTCAAACTCCTGACCTCAGGTGTTCCACATGTCTTGGCCTTCCAAAGTGGTGGGATTACAGGCGACAGCCACCACACCCGGCCCATACAATCCTTTTTACATTTTATTTATTTATTTATTTATGAGAGTGGAGTGCACTGGAACAATTATAGCTCACTGCAGCCTCCACTTCCTGGGCTCAAGGGATCCTCTTAACTCAGCCTCTTGACTAGCTGGGACTATGGGCATGAGCCACCATGCCCCACCATTTTATTAAAAAATAATTTCAACTTTTTTTTTTTTGAGACAGGGTCTCACTCTGTCACCCAGGATGGAGTGCAGTGGCGCCATCTTGGCTCACTTCAACCTCCGCCTCCAGGGTTCAGGAGATTCTCCTGCCTCAGCCTCCCGAGTAGCTGGGACTACAGGTGTGTGCCACCACACCCAGCTAAAATTTTTGTATTTTTAGTAGAGATGGGGTTTCACCATGTTGGCCATGCTGGTCTCCAACTCTTGGCCTCAAGCAATCCTCCTGCCTCGGCCTCCCAAAGTGCTGGGACTACAGGGATGTGCCATCACACCCAGCCTCAACTTTTATTTATTTATTTATTCATTTATTTTAATTCATTTTATTTATTATTTTTTCTAGACAGGGTCTCACTCTGTCACCCAGGCTGGAGTGCAGTGGCGCCAACTTGGCAACCTCTGCCTCTTGGGTTCAGGCGATTCTCATGCCTCAACCACCAGAGTAGCTGGGACTACAGGTGTATGCCACCACGCCTGGCTGATTTTTATATTTTTAGTAGAGATGAGGTTTCACCATGTTGGCCATATTGTTCTCCAACTCCTGGCCTCAAGTGATCCTCCCGCCTTGGCCTCCCAAAGTGCTGGGATTACAGGTATGAACCACCGCGCCTGGCCTTAACTTTTATTTTAGATTCAGGGGGCACATGTGCAGGTTTGTCACGGGGGTGTATTGCACGATGCGGAGGTTGGGGGTATAAATGATCCCATCATCCAGGTAGTGAGCATGGCACCCAACGGGTAGTTTTTTAACCCTTGTCTCCTTCCCTGCCCCCTCTAGGAGTCCCCAGTGTCTGTTGTTCGCATGTTGGTGTCCATGTGTACCCAGTGCTCAGCTCCCACTTATAAGTAAGAGCATCTGGTGTTTGGATTTCTGTTCCTTTGTTAATTCACTTAGGATACTGGCCTCCAGCTGCATCTGTGTTGCTGCAAAGGACTTTCCTTTCCTTTTCCTCTCCCCTCTCCCCTCTCCCCTCCCCCCTCCCTTCCTCCCTTTCTCCCTTTCTCTCTTTCTTTCTTGGGATGGAGTCTCACTCTGTCGCCCAGGCTGGAGTGCAGTGGCACGATCTCAGCTCACTGGAACCTCTGCTTCCCAGGTTCAAGCAGTTCTCCTGTCTTAGCCTCCCAAGTAGCTGGGATTACAGGCGCCCGCAACCATGCCCGGCTAATAATTTTTTTTTTTTTTTTGGCCGAGTCTCCCTCTGTAGCCCAGGCTGGAGTACAGTGGCGTGATCTTGGCTCACTGCAATCTCCACCTCCCGGGTCCTGGTTCAAGCAATTATCCTGCCTCAGCCTCCCGGGTAGCTGGGATTACAGGCACGCGCCACCATGCCCAGCTAATTTTTGTATTTTTAGTAGAGACAAGTTTTCACCATGTTGGCCAGGCTGGTCTTGAACTCCTGACCTCGTGATCCTCCCGCCTCAGTCTCCCAAAGTGCTGGGATTACAGGCGTGAGCCACTGTGGCTGGCTTTTTTTTTTTTTTTTTTTTTTAGAAGAGATGGGGTTTCACTATGTTGGCCAGGCTGGTCTCAAATTCCTGACTTCAGGTGATCTGCCTGCCTCAGCCTCCCAAAGTGCTGGAATCACAGGCATGAGCCACTGTGCCCGACTCTTTTTTTTTTTTGAGACAGAGTCTTGCTGTGTCACTCAGGCTGGAGTGCAGTGGCGTGATCTCAGCTCACTGCAAGCCTCGCCTCCCAGGTTCACGCCATTCTCCTGCTTCAGCCTCCCGAGTAGCTGGGAGTACAGGTGCCCGCCACCATGCCCGGCTAATTTTTTGTATTTTTAGTAGAGACGGGGTTTCACCGTGTTAGCCAGGATGGTCTCGATCTCCTGATCTCGTGATCCACCCGTCTCGGCCTCCCAAAGTGCTGGGATTACAGGCATGAGCCACCGCGCCTGGCCTTTTTTTTTTTTAATGTCTTATTATACAGTCTTTTTATGACACAAGCTGAAAGTCACACACAATGTCATGCAACCACACCCATTAACACCGTCACACACTCACACACTTCACAGTCACCCACAGAGTCCTCAGTCACATTCCAACAACACACATTCCCCAACTGTCATGAGGCAAACACTCTCACACCGTCACCCTCACCCCCACGGTCACACTGAGTGACATGGTCATACAGACTCACAACTCTCCCTTAGTCTCACCCATATTCACAAGTCACATACAGTCATATACATGTCACGCACACAACCTCACTGTCCCATAGCTGTGCACGTCACAGTGACTTGTCACACCCTGCAATCCCACCTCCCACAGTCACGCACAGTCACACAGGTGCACACAGGGTCACACACACCATCGTGTCACAATTGCACACTAACCCATAGCCTCACATGGTCTCATCATGACAGTCGCCAGTGAATCACACACATTCTCTGCTGTCTCTACTTCCAGTCTGTTCCTTTGCCCTAAATATGGGGAACATCTGTACGTGACTGGGGGTGGGGGACAGGCTCAGAGCCCAGTCCCAGCTCCCAGCTCTCATCTCCTGTTAATACAAACTCCAATTCCTGCACATTAATCATACAATGGACATTTGTGAGCATGCACTCCCCTGGGACTCTAAGTGGGACAGAGGCGAGTCTGCCCATTTTGTAGAGGAGAAATTAAGGCCCAGAGGCCCCAGGAGGGACAGGGAGTAAGGGGTGGCATGAGGTCTGCACCAGAGGCTGGAAGGAGACAAGTCTCGGGGGAGGCGAGGGTTCTCGCTTCCTGGACTTAGGCTGCCTCCCCGCTCTCTGCCCCACATTCCTGGTGCCCTCCGGGTCCTGGGAAAGGCTCCTGTCCTGGAGTGGAGAGGGAAGGGGGTCTGAGATTGCCCAGCACCTTGGGAGAAGTTTAGGTTGGAAGGGAGTCTCTCCTTGGCCCCAATGAGGGCCTGAGGTCACTCCACAGAGGAAGGCAGTGAGGGGTGGGGAGGCTGTAGAGGGGGAAGGGAGAGGCTGGCAGGGAGGGGGAAGCAGTGGAGAGGAAATGAGCTGGTGGTGTGAAACAGGAAAAGGAGCTAAGAGCCTAGTGTGGTGGCTTACACCTGTAATCCCAGCACTTTGGGAGGCCAACATGGGAGGATCACTTAAGCCCAGGAGTTGGAGACCAGCCTGGGCAACATAGCCAGATCCCGTCTCTAAAAAAAAAATATTTTTTTTTTTCAGTTTTCCAATTAAAAAAAAAAATTTACCTTAAGTTCTGGGATACATGTGCTGAACGTACAGGTTTGTTACATAGGTATGCATATGCCATGGTGGTTTGCTGCATCTATCAACACGTCATCTAGAATTAAAAACAAAATTTTTGTTTTTTTTGAGACAGAGTTTCACTCTGTCGCCCAGGCTAGGGCAGAGATTGCAGTGAGCCAGGTTCAAGTGATTCTCCTGCCTCAGCCTCCCGAGAGGCTGGGATTACAGGCACCTGCCACCATGCCTGGCTATTTTTTTTTTTTTGTACTTTTAGCAGAGTTGGGTTTTCACCAAATTGGTCAGGCTGGTCTTGAACTCCTGACTTCAGGTGATTGGCCTGCCTCAGCCTCCCACAGTGCTGGGATTATAGGCATGAGCCACTGCGCCTGGCCAATTTTTTTTTTTTTTTGAGATGGAGTTTTGCTCTTGTTGCCCAAGCTGGAGTGCAATGGCACGATCTCGGCTCACGGCAACATCTGCCTCCTGGGTTCAAGTGATTCTCCTGCCTCCGCCTCCCAAGTAGCTGGGATTACAGGTGCGCACCACCATGCCCAGCTAAGTTTTTGTATTCTTAGTAGAAATGGGGTTTCACCATGTTAGCCATGGCTGGTTTCGAACTCCTGACTGCAGGTGATCTGCCCATCTCGGCTTTCCAAAGTGCTGGGATTACAGGCGTGAGCCACCGCGCCCGGCCTCTCAACATTTTTTTTTTTAATTAGCCAGGCATGGTGGTGGTGCGCCTGTGGTCCCAGCTACTTGGATGGCTGAGGCAGGAGGATTTGCTTGAGCTCAGGAAATTGAGGCTGCAGTGAGCTGTGATGATCGCGTAACTGCACTCCAGCCTGGGTGACAGAGTGAGATCCTGTCTCAAAAAAAAAAAAAAAAAAAAAAAAAAAGAAATCAAGGACCAAGAAAGATCTAGAGTGGGAGGCAGATAAAGACAAGAAGAGAGGCCAGACACAGTGGCTCATGCCTGTAATCCCAACACTTTGGGAGGCCAAGGCGGGCGGATCACCTGAGGTCAAGAGTTTGAGACCAGCCTGGACAACATAGTGAAACCATGTCTCTACTAAAATACAAAAATTAACTGGGTGTGGTGGTGCACACCTGTAATCCCAGCTGTTGGGGAGACTGAGGCAGGATAATTGCTTGAACCTAGGAGGCGGAGGTTGCAGTGAACTGAGATTGTGCCACTAAACTCCAGCCTGGGCGACAGAGCAAGACTCTGTCTCAAAAAAAAAAAAAAAAAAAAAAAAAAGCAAGAAGAGAAAGACCAAGAGAGAGAGACTACAAGAGAGAGACTAGAAGAAACAGAGAGAGAGAGAGAGAGAGGGGGAGAGAGAGACAGAGAGAGACAGCGACAGAGAGAAACACACACAGAGACAAACAGACAACACAGACACAGATAAGAGGGGGTGAGGGAGAGAAGCCAAGAAAGAGAAAACAGGGACTGAGCCGGAGAGAGACAGAGAGGCGCGGTGGGTCACACCTGTAATTCCAGAGCCCTGGGAGGCCGAGGTGGCTGGATCACCTGAGGTCACAAGTTGGAGACCAGCCTGGCCAACATGACGAAACCCCGGCTCTACTAAAAATACAAAAATTAGCCGGGCGTGGTGGTGGGCGCCTGTAGTCCTAGCTACTCGGGAGGCTGAGGCAGGAGAATCGCTTGAACCCGGGAGGCAGAGGTAGCAGTGAGCTGAGATCGTGCCTCTGCACTCCAGCCTGGGCGACAGAGCCAGACTGTCTCAAAAAAATAACCAGGGCCGGGCGCGGTGGCTCACGCCTGTAATCCCAGCACTTTGGGAGGCCGAGGCGGGTGGATCATGAGGTCAGGAGATCGAGACCATCCTAGCTAACACGGTGAAACCCCGTCTCTACTAAAAATACAAAAAATTAGCCAGGCATGGTGGTGGGCGCCTGTAGTCCCAGCTACTTGGGAGGCAGAGGCAGGAGAATAGCATGAACCCGGGAGGCAGAGCTTGCAGTGAGCCGAGATCGCGCCACTGCACTCCAGCCTGGGCAACAGAGCGAGACTCCGTCTCAAAAAATTAAATAAATAAATAACCAGAAAAGGCCTGGTGCGGTAGCTCACGCCTGTAATCCCAACACTTTGGGAGGCCGAGGCGGGTGGATCACGAGGTCAGGAGATCGAGACCATCCTAGCTAACACGGTGAAACCCCGTCTCTACTAAAAAACAAAAAATTAGCCGGGTGTGGTGGCGGGCGCCTGTAGTCCCAGCTACTCAGGAGGCTGAGGCAGGAGAATGGCGTGAACCCGGGAGGTGGAGCTTGCAGTGAGCTGAGATCGCGCCACTGCACTCCAGCCTGGGCGACAGAGCAAGACTCCATCTAAAAAAAAAAAAAAAAAAAAAAAATCCAGAAAAGAAACTGCGAGATGGAAAGGCTGAGTGAAAATTGCTTGAGCCCGGGGAGGGGGTCGAGGCTGCAGTGAGCTGTGATCATACCACTATACTCCAGCCTCGGCAACAGAGGGAGACCCTGTCTCAAAAGAAAAGAAGGGCAGGGGAGGGGAGGGGAGGGAAGGGAAAAGAAAAGAGGAGAGGCTAGGTGCCGTGGCTCACGCCTGTAATCCCAGCACTTTGGGAGACCGAGGTCAGGAGTTCGAGACCAGCCTGACCAACATGGTGAAACTCCATTTCTACTAAAATACAAAAGTTAGCTGGGTGTAGTGGCGCGTGCCTGTAATCCCAGCTGCTCGGGAGATTGAGGTGGGAGAATCACTTGAACCTGGGAGGCAGAGATTGCAGTGAGCTGAGACTGCACCACAGCGCTGGGCATCAGAGTGAGACTTCTGAAGACAGGATGAGGAGTCAGGGGTGGGTAGATGCCTGGTCTTCTGCCCACCTCAGCCCTCCTGGGGTCCTCTGTTGTCTCCCAGCGTCTGCAAAGGGGCTGGCTGCACAGGCTCCCTCCAGCTGCGTTGCTCATGGCTTCTGAAAACTTCAGGCCGAGAAACAGCATGCACCATCCCAACTCAGCCCCTCCCAGACAGCTGAGTTCCACGCCCCACTCCCGCAACAGGGGACTCAGAACCAGAGGAGCCTCATTCCCCAGCCTTTCCACACCCACCCCGATGGATCTCCATTTTCCGTCTCTAGTCTTGTTTAGCAAAACCTCTCCTACAACCCCTCTGCCTCTCCCATCTCTCTCCCACCTTCCCTGACCCAATGTCTCTCTCTCTTTCTGTCCATCCTACCTTGTTTCTCTCTTTCATCCAAATATCTCCTCACTCCTCTTCTTTTCTTTTGAGACAGGTTCTCCCTCTGTTGCCTAGGCTGGAGCACAGTAGAGTGATCACAGCTTAACGCAGCCTCGACCCCCCTACCTGGGTTCAAGCAATCCTCCCACCTCAGCCTCCTGAGTAGTTGGGACCACAGACGCATGCCACCATACCTGGCTAATTTTTGTTGTTGTTGTTGTTTGAGACGGAGTCTCACACTGTCGCCCGGGCTGGAGTTCCCTGGTGCGATCTCAGCTCACTGCAACCTCCACCTCCCAGGTTCAAGCGATTCTCCTGCCTCAGCCTCCCAAGTAGCTGGGATTACAGGCGCCTGCCACCATGCCTAGCTAATTCTTTGTATTTTTTTTAGTAGAGACGGCGTTTCACTGTGTTGGCCAGGCTGGTCTCAAACTCCTGACCTCATGATCAGCCCGCCTCGGCTTCCCAAAGTGCTGGGATTACGTGTCCAGCCTTTTGGTTTGTTTGTTTTTGTTTTTTTGAGATGGAGTTTGTCTCTGTCACCCAGGCTGGAGTGTAGTGGTGCCATCTCGGCTCACTGCAACCTCCACTTCCCGGGTTCAAGAGATTCTCGTGCCTCAGCCTCCCAGGTATCTGGGATTACAGCATGTGCCTACCATGCCCAACTAATTTTGTATTTTTCGTAGAGATGGGATTTCACCATGTTGGCCAGGCTGGTCTCGAACTCCTGGCCTCAGGTGATTCACCTGCCTTGGCCTCTCAAAGTGCTGGGATTACAGGTGTGAACCATGGTGCCCAGCCAATTTTTGTACTTTTTGTAGAGGTGGTGTCTCGCTATGTTGTCCAGGCTGGTCTTGAACTTCTGGGCTCAAGTGATTCATCTGCCTCAGCCTCCCAAAGTGCTGGGATTACAGGTGTGCACCACTGTGCCCTGCCTCTTTACTCCTTTTCTCTGAGCCCACACTCAGTTTGCCTCTGTCTTCCTCTCCTGTCTGTTGGGAAGGCTTTTCTCTTCTCTTTTTCCATGTTTCATTCTGCCTCTCTGCTGGGTTCTTTCACTCTCTCTCTCTCCCTCTGGATTAGCCTCATTTTGCCAGTCTTTAAAGTTTCTCCTTTCTCTTCCCCTTTTTCCATCTCCTCTCTGGGATTGCGTCTGTTTCTATCCATTGCCCCTGGTCCCTGGTCTCCTGGCTCTGGTCTCCTGCACTCCTGCCTCCCCCGGCCCTCCAGCAATGACCAGGCAGTGCCCCTGTCCAGGATGCAAGGGTGGGGTGGAAGCTGCAAGGCCTGTGTCTCCCCACATGGGGCTGCCTGGCTAAGCAGACCCTGCGGGGAGCAGGCGGGGGCCTGGGGTGCTGGCAGATGGTGCCAGAGAAATGAGGCAGAGAGAGATGGGGAGAGGGGGCACCCCGTGGGGACAGAGACCAGGAATGGGAAGCTGTGACAGCCCCCTCTCCATCTCGGAGATTCAGGACTGCAGAGAGATGAGGCCTGAATGACAGATACACAGAGACACACACATACACAGAAAGAGAAGAGATACAGAGAGTGAGAGAGACAGCAGAGCTGAGACAGAGACCTGGCGAGAGATGTGGGTCCAGGCACACACAGACAAACGGATGTGAACCAGAGAGAGGGGAGTCCAGAGATGGGAAGAGACAGAGATCCCGAGACAGAGGCCTGGAGAAACAAACAAAAAATATAGAGACCCAAAGAGAGACACAGACATGAAACCCAAGGAGAGACAGAGACACGGAGAGACAGAAACACAGAGATGGGGACCCAGAGAAAGAGGGACAGAGAGGACACCCAGAGAGATAAGACCTAAGAAACAAGGCTGGGCGTGGTGGCTCACACCTGTAATACCAGCACTTTGGGAGGCCGAGGCAGGTGGATCACCTGAGGTCAGGAGTTCGAGACCAGCCTGGCCAACATGGTGAAACCTCGTCTCTACTAAAAATTAAAAAATTAGCCGGGTGTGGTGGCGGGCACCTGTAATCCCAGCTACTCGGGAGGCTGAGACAGGAGAATCACTTGAACCCGGGAGGTGGAGGTTGCACTGATCCGAGATCGCAGGATGAGGCAGACAGATCGCTTGAGCTCAGGAGTTAGAGACCAGCCTGAACAATGTGGCAAAACTGCATCTCTACAAAAAAATATTAGCTGGGCATGGTGGCACGCACCTGTGGTCCCAGCTGCTGGGGAGGCTGAGGTGGGAGGATGGCTTGAGCCCGGGAGGCGGAGGTCACGCCACTACACTCCAGCCTGGGTGACAGAGTGAGACCCTATCTCAAAAAAAAAAAAAAAAAAAAAAAAGGAGAGAGAGACAGGGAGAGGGAAGGGGAGGAGAGGGGAAGGAAAGGGAAAGGAGGGGAACAGAGAGGGACGAAAACAGAGAGAGGGACTTATATCCCAGAAGAGAACAGGGATTAAGTCAGACTCCGTGAGACAGAGACGCATGGCTCCCCTCGGCGTCTTCCAGCCTAGTCTGGGAGGGCACATCTCCATAGCGACCTCCCCAGATCCTGAGGGCAAATATTGTCCTGGCCAGAAGCGTCTGGGCTATGTTGACATAATCTCATGCGGGAGGGGGAGGTGGGGGCTCCAGGGCCTCAGAGGCCAGCAGAGGGGCTCTCAGCTGGGGCCCTAGAGACGGCTCCAAAACCCAGTGTAAACCGCCAGCCCTGGGAAGGATCAATTGAAAGATTCAAACTTGTAGGGGTCCCTGATTGCTCCCTGGTAGTGCTCAGCAAGCCCCTAAGCCCCTTTTCAAGCCTCAGGGAGAGCAGGCAAACCTAGGCCTTTCCCTCTAGGCTATTTTTTTTTTTTTTTTCGAGCAGCGTCTTGCTCTGTCGTCCAGACTGGAGTGGAGTGATACAATCATGGCTCACTGCAGCTTTGACCTCCTGGGCTCAATGATCCTCCCACCTCAGCCTCCCCAGTAGCTAGGACTACAGGCACAGGCCACAAAGTGCAGCTAATTTATTTATTTGTTTGTTTAATTATTATGATTTTTTGAGATGGGATTTTGCTCTGTCACCCAGGCTAGAGTGCACGATCTCGGCTTACTGCAACCTCTGCTTCCTGGGTTCACGCGATTCTCATGCCTCAGCCTGCTGAGTGGCTGGGTTTACAGGTGGCCTCCACCACGCTCGGCTATATTTTTATTTTTTTTTTAGAGATGGGGTCTCACTCTGTTGCCCAGGCTGGTCTTGAACTCCTGTCCTAAAGAAAGCCTCTTGGCTAGGAGTTGTAGCTCACAGCTGTAATCCCAGCACTTTGGGAGGCCAAGGTGGGTGGATTGCTTGAGCCCAGGAGTTGGAGACCAGCCTGGGCAACATCGTGAAACCCTATCTCTACAAAAAATACGAAAAATTAATGGCGTGGTGGTGCATGCCTGTAGTCCCAGCTAGTTGGGAGGCTGAGATGGGAGGATTGCTTGAGCCCCGGAGGTCCAGGCTACAGTGAGCCAAGATGATGCCACTGCACTCCAGCCTGGGTGACAGTGAGACCCTGTCTCAAAACAAAATAAAACAAAACATAAAAAAGAGATCCAGTTGGCTGGGCGCAGTGGCTGACGCCTGTAATCCCAGCACTTTGGGAGGCCGAGGTGGGCGGATCACGAGGTCAGGAGATTGAGACCATCCTGGCTAACACAGTGAAACCCTCTCTCTACTAAAAATATGAAAAAATTAGCTGGGCGTGGTGGCGGGCGCCTGTAGTCCCACCTGCTGGGGAGGCTGAGGCAGGAGAATGGCATGAACCCAGGAGGCAGAGCTTGCAGTGAGCCGAGATCGCACCACTGCACTCCAGCCTGGGCGATAGTGAGTGCAAGACTCTATCTCAAAAAAAAAAAAAAAGAGAGAGAGAGATCCAGTCCGGGTGCAGTGGCTCACACCTGTAATCCTAGCGCTTTGGGAGGCCGAGGTGGGTGGATCACCTGAGATCAGGAGTTCGAGACCAGCCTGGCCAAGATGATGAAACCCTGTCTCTACTAAAAATACAAAAAATTAGCTGGGTGTGGTGGCGTGCGCCTACAATCCCAGCTACTCAGGAGGCTGATACAGGAGAATCACTTGAACCCAGGAGGCGGAGGTTGTGGTGAGCCGAGATCGCGCCACTGCACTCCAGCCTGGGCAACAAGAGCAAAACTCCATCTCAAAAAAAAAAAAAAAAAAAAAAAGAGATCCACCGCCTCAGTTTCCCAAAGTGCTGGGATTATAGGCGTGAGCCACCGTGCCCAACACTATGTGCCCTATGAGGGCAGGACTGGGGCTGTCTCAGTCACTGCTGTGTCTCCAGCATTGCCCAACATTGGTTCAGCAGAGGTCAGAGTTCAATGCATTTTACTGGACGTTTGTTACATGCCAGGCTATGAGCTTGGCAATGCTGGGGACCCTGGTGACTGGGACAGCTCTTGCTCTGGCTTTGTGAAGCTCCCAGCTCAAACATAAACCCAAGTAGGGGGACGAGCTGACAGAATGAGACGTAGAGAGAGAAACACAAAGAAAGAGGCCAGGCATGGTGGCTCACACCTGTAATCCCAGCACTTTGGGAGGCTGGGATGGGAGGATCGCTTGAGCCCCGGAGTTCGAGACCAGCCTGGGCAACATAGTGAGACTCTGTCTCTACAAAAAAAATTTTTAAAAATTAGCAAAGCACGGCTGCTCGTTCGTGTAGTCCCAGATACTCAGAAGGGTGAGGCAGGAGGATCACTTGAGCCTAAGAGGTTGAGGCTGCTGTGGGCCATGATTGCACCACTGCACTCCAACCTGGGCAATAGAGCGAGATTCTGTCTCAAAAAACAAACAAACAAAAAATGAAAGAATGAAAGAAAGTAGCCAGGTGCGGTGGCTCACGCCTGTAATCCCAGCACTTTGGGAGGCCGAGGCTGGTGGATCATGAGGTCAGGAGTTTAAGACCAGCCTGGCCAAGATGGTAAAACCCTGTCTCTACTAAAAATACAAAAAATTAGCCGGGCGTGGTGGCGGGCTTGTAATCCCAGGTACTGGGAAGCCTGAGGCTAGAGAATTGCTTGAACCTGGGAGGCAGAGTTTGTAGTGAGCCGAGATCACACCACTGCACTCCAGCCTGGACGACAGAGTGAGACTCCATCTCAAGTAAATAAATAAATAAATAAATAAATAAATGTAAAAAAGAGATGCTGAGAGAAAAACAGAGTCTGAGATTAGTATCAGTAATAATAATACTAATGGCCACCATATTGGATATTTTACACATCTATATGTCCCTTCTCATAACAGACCTATAGCAGAGGTGTTATATTATCCCCATTTTCTGGATAGGGAAACTGAGGCCCAGAGAAGGGAAGTAACTTGATCAGGGTGACATGTCTCATAGGTGTTGAAATCAGGACCCGGGTTGTCTTTTGAGAAGGAGTCTCATTCTATTGCCCTGGCTGGCGTGCATAGGCACGATCTTGGCTCACTGAATGCAGTGGTGCAATCTTGGCTTACTACAACCTCCACCTCCTGGGTTCAAGCAATTCTCTTGCCTCATCCTCCCCAGTAGCAAGGATTACAGGTGCCCACCACCACATCAGGCTAATTTTTGTATTTTTAGTAGAGACGGGGTTTCACCATGTTGGCCAGGCTGGTCTCAAACTCCTGACCTCAGGTGATCTGCCTGCCTCGGCCTCCCAAAGTGCTGGGATTACAGGCATGAGCCACCACACTTGGCCAGTTAACTTTGAAATCCAATTTCTTTTTCTTTTCTTTTTTTTTAAGACAGAGTCTCACTCTTGTTGCCCAGGCTGGAGTGCAATGGTGCGATCTCAGCTCACCATCTGCCTCCTGGGTTCAAGAAATTCTCCTGCCTCAGCCTCCCAAGTAGCTGGGATTACAGGCATGCGCCACCAGGCCCAGCTAATTTCTTTTTGTCTTTTTCTTTTTTTTTTTTTTTTTGAGACAGGGTCTCGCTCTGTCTCCTGAGTGCAGTGGCGCAATCTCGGCTCACTGCAAGCTCCGCCTTCCGGGTTCATGCCATTCTCCTGCTCAGCCTCCCGAGTAGCTGGGACTATAGGTGCCCTCCACCACACCCGGCTAATTTTTTGTATTTTTAATAGAGACAGTGTTTCACCGTGTTGGCCAGGATGGTCTTGATCTCCTGACCTTGTGATCCGCCCGCCTTGGCCTCCAGAAGTGCTGGGATTCCAGGCTTGAGCCACCACGCCCAGCAATTTTGTATTTTTAGTAGAGACGGGGTTTCTGCATGTTGATCAGGCTGGTCTCGAACTCCTGACCTCAGGTGATCCGCCTGCCTCGGCCTCCCAAAGTACTAGGATGAAATCCAATTTCTATACAGAAACATGAAGAAAAACAGAGATAGAGATGAGAGCGAAAAGCCTTAGGGAGAAGGAAACCTGGAGGCAGAAAGACAGAGACTGTGAGCCCTGCCTGCCCGCACCCCCTCCTCAGACAGAGCCGCCCTCTCCCCACGCCTATCTCCCACATCCTTGACACCTCCCTGCGAAAGCACTTGTCATCAAACCAGCTCCGTTACCTGTACCCCCAAACCACTGTGCTGGGCACTTTATCAGCATGAGCCCATTCAACCTGCTCTGCTCCCCTGGGAAGTGGGGGCTGGGATGACTCCCGTTTTGCAGAGGAGGAAAAACCAAGCCAAGATCACTTAGCTCGCATGGACCCTGACAGTGGTCCCTGCACTGAGGCTGGGAGCCCCTCAAGGGCAAGGACTAGGTCTGACTCATCTTTGTGTGTCATCTCCCACCTCCCATAACTCATCAAGCTAAATCCCTGTGCCTGGCTCTCCTCCCTCCTCCTCCCGCACCATATGGAGCCCATGGATCTGAATTCCCCTGGGCCTCCACGGTCCTCTCGGGACACCCCAGTAACAGCCCTTAACACTTTGCAGCCTGCTTCAGAATTCTGTATCTGGGTGTCTGACTTCCCCTCTCCTAGAATCTGAGCTCAAGAGGATTGGCGGGTGGGAGAAGCGTGATTTGGGCGGCAGAAAACCTCCTGCGTTGTTTCTATCAGTAACACAATTAGTGGTGATTTGGGCGGCAGAAAACCTCCCGCGTTGTTTCTACCAGTAACACAATTAGCGGTGATCGTGGGAGGATAAGGACCCACGGCTATTTTGGTCATCACTTTGAACCCATCATTGATTTTTTATTTGTTTATTTTATTTATTTATTTATTTATTTATTTATTTATTTATTTATTTGAGACAGAGTCTCGCTGTATCGCCCAGGCTGGAGTGCAGTGGTGCAATCTCGGCTCACTGCAAGCTCCGCCTCCTGGGTTCACGCCATTCTCCTGCCTCAGCCTCCCGAATAGCTGGGACTACAGGGCCCGCCACCACACCCGGCTAATTTTTTGTATTTTTTTTTTTTTTAGTAAAGACGGGATTTCACCGTGTTAGCCAGGATAGTCTCGATCTCCTGCCCTCGTGATCTGCCCGCCTCGGCCTCCCAAAGTGCTGGGATTACAGGCGTGAGCCACCGCACCCGGCCTATTTATTTATTATTTTTTAAGAGATGGGGGTCTCACGGCCGGGCGCTCGGTCTCACTTTGGGAGGCCGAGGCGGGTGGATCACGAGGTCAGGAAATCGAGACCATCCTGGCTAACACGGTGAAACCCTGTCTCTACTAAAAACTACAAAAAACAAATTAGCCGGGCGCGGTGGCCGGCGCCTGTAGTCCCAGCTACTCGAGAGGCTGAGGCAGGAGAATGGCGGGAACCCGGGAGGCGGAGCTTGTAGTGAGCCGAGATCGCGCCACTGCACTCCAGCCTCGGAGACAGAGCGAGACTCCGTCTCAAAAAAAAAGATGGGGTTTCACTATGCCACCCAGAATGGAGTGCAGTGGTGCCATCCTAGCTCACAACAGCCTCGAACTCCTGGGCTCAAGTGATCCTCCAGCCTCAGCCTCCCAAGTAACTGGAGCTACATGCATGAGCTACCATGCCTGCCTATTTTTCTTTTTTTAGACCTGTTCAACAAGAAGTAAGCCCAACTGGCCAGGCACGGTGGCTCACGCTTATAATCCCAGCACTTTGAGAGGCCAAGGTGGGTGGACCACCTGAGGTCAGCAGTTCGAGAGCAGCCTGGCCAACATAGTAAAACCCCCGTCTCTACTAAAAATACAAAAATTAGCCGAGCATGGTTGCACGTGCCTGTAATCCCAGCTACTTGGGAGGCTGAGGCAGGTGAATCGCTTGGACCCAGGAGGTGGAGATTGCAGTGAGCAGAGATTGCACCATTGCACTCCAGCCTGGGCAACAAGAGCAAAACTCCATCTCAAAAAAAAAAAAAAAAAAAAAAAAAAAAAGTAAGCCCAGCTAATTTTTAAATATTTTGTAGAGAGGAGCTCTCGCTATATTGCCTAGGCTGGTCTCAAATTCCTGGCCTCAAGTGATCCTTCTGGGCTTAGGCCTCCCAAAGTGCTGAAAGTATAGATGTGAGCCACCATACCCAGTCCTATTTATTACTTTTGTTTTTTTGTTTTTTTTAGATGATGTCTTGCTCTGTCGCCCAGGCTGGAGTGCAGTGGCGCAATCTCCACTCACTGCAACCTCCACCTCCCTGGTTCAAGCGATTCTTCTGCCTCTGCCTCCTGAGTAGCTGGGATTACAGGCACATACCACCACGCCCTGCTAATTTTTTGTATTTTTAGGATGGGTTTTCACTATGTTGGCCAGGCTGGTCTTGATCTCCTGACCTCGTGATCCACCTGCCTCAGCCTCCCAAAGTGTTAGGATTACAGGCATGAGCCACTGCACCCAGCCCCTGTTTTTTACTTTTTATGAGATAGGTTCTCGCCATGTTGCCCAGACTGGAGTGCAGTGGCTATTCACAGGCGGGATCCCACTACTGATCAGCATGGGAGTTTTGCCCTATTCCCTTTCTGACCTGGGCCAGTTCACCCCTCCTTAAGCAACTGGTGGTCCCCCACTCCAAGGGGTACCGTATTAATGCTGAACTGAGTGCAGACACCTAATTGCCATAGTGGACTACAGCCCAAACTCGTGAGCTCAACAGATCCTCCCACCTTAGCCTCTCAAGTAGCTGGGACTACAAACACATGCCACTGTGCCCGGCCCATCATTGATGCCTCATTGTGTGCTAGGCATTGTACTCACGTATAATTTTTTTTTCTTTTTTGAGACAGAGTGTTGCTCTGTCGCCCAGGCTGGAGTCCAGGGGCACCATCTTGGCTCAGTGCAACCTCTGCCTCCAGGGTTCAAGCAATTCTCCTGTCTCAGCCTTCTGAATAGCTGGGATTACAGGCATGCTCCACTATGCCTGGCTAATTTTTGTATTTTTAGTAGAGATAGGGTTTCGCCATATTGGCCAGGCTGGTCTGGAACTCCTGACCTCAAGTGATCCACCCACCTCGGCCTCCCAAAATGCTGGGATTACAGGCGTGGCCTGGCCACTCATATATAATTTATATCTGTGGCCTCACTGTGGCTTGTGGAGGATACAGTGACAAACTGCCAAAGTCTTCCCCCAGCCTTTGAGGCCCTGCAAGATATGGAAGGCCCATAGCCTCCCTGGCCTCGCATCCCCCCCTTCCCCTATCTCTCCACAGCTTCATCGTCATCAACCTTCTGGTTGCCCCAGGAATATGCTAAACTCAAACCAACCTCGGGACTTTTGCACTTGCTGTTTCCTCTGCCTAGAAATCCCCTGCCTCCCAACTCCAGGCATAACTGCTTCCTTCTTGTTTTTCTTTTTCTTTCTTTCTTTTTTTTTTTTTTTTTGTTCTTTCTTTTTTTGTGAGATGAAGTCTCATTCTGTCACCCAGGCTGGAGTGCAATGGTGTGGTCTCTGCTCACTGCAACCTTCACCTCCCTGGTTCAAGCAATTCTCCTGCCACAGCCTCCCAAGTAGCTGGGATTACAAGTGCATGCCACTATGCCTAGCTAATTTTTGTATTTTTAGTAGAAACAAGGTTTCACCGTGTTGGCCAGGCTGGTCTCGAACTCCTGACCTCAGGTGATCTGCCTGCCTCGGCCTCCCAAACTGCTGGGATTACAGGCATGAGCCACCGTGCCCAACCCTTCTTATTTTTCACATGTCAGCTCAAATGTCATTTCCTCAGAGGTAACTGCCCTGGATCTAGGGTCTCTAAATGAGCCTCCTGCTCCCTTTTTTTACTATATTATCCTGTCTGTACACCTTCTTGCTCTGTTGCCCAGGCTGGAGTGCAGTGGCATGATCATAGCTTGCTGCAGTCTCGACCTCCTGGGTTCAAGTGATCCTCCCACCTCAGCCTTCCAAGTAGCTGGAACTACAGGCGTGCACCACCATGTCAGGAGGATGAAAAATTTTGTTTTGGCCGGGTGCGATGGCCCACACCTGTAATCCCAGCACTTTGGGAGGCCGGTGTGGGCGGATCATGAGGTCAGGAGTTCCAGACCAGCGTGGCCAACATAGTGAACCCTCGTCTCTACTAAAAATACAAAAATTAGCCAGGCATTGTGGCGCGAGCCTGTAGTCCCAGCTACTTGGGAGGCTGAGGCAGGAGAATTGCTTGAGCCCGGGAGGCGGAGGTTGTCGTGAGTTGAGATCATGCCACTGCACTCCAGCCTGGGCAACAGAGCGAGACTTCATCTCAAAAATAAATAAATAAAAATAAAAATACAAAAAAATTAGCCGGGCGTGGTGGTGGGTGCCTGTAATCACAGCTACATGGGAGGCTAAGGCTGGAGAATTGCTTGAACCTGGGAAGCGGAGATTGCAGTGAGCCAAGATCGTGCCGTTGCACTCCAGCCTGGGCGACAAGAGCAAGACTCTATCTCAAAAGAAAAAAAAAAAAAGAAAGAAATTTTGTTTTGTAGCCACGGGGTCTTGCTTTGTTGCCCAGGCTGATCTCGCACCCCTACAATCCCCCTTCTTTGGCCTTTGAAAGTGCTGGGGATTAACAGGTTGAGTCACTGCCACACTGTTTCTGTATCATCATCTCTAAAATGGTGATTAAAATTGAACTTTTACTGGGTGCGGTTGGCTCACACCTGTAATCCTAACATTTTGGGAGGCTGAGACGGGAGGATCACTTTAGGTCAGGAGTTAGAGACCAGCTTGGCCATTATGGTGAAACCCTGTGTCTACTAAAAATACAAAAATTAGCCAGGCATGGTGGTGCACACTTGTAATCCCAGCTGCTGGGGAGGCTGAGGCACGAGAATCGCTTGAATCTGGGAGGTGGAGGTTGCAGTGAGCCAAGATCATGCCACTGCATTACAGCCAGGGCAAGAGTGAGTGAGACACATCTATTATTCCGGCACTTTGACAGGCCCAGGCCGAAGGATCACTTGAGGCCAGGAGTTTGAGACCAGCTTTGGCAATATAGCAAGAGCTCCTCTGTACAAAATATTTTTTTTTCTTTTTTTTTTTTAATTGATCATTCTTGGGTGTTTCTCGCAGAGGGGGATTTGGCAGGGTCACAGGACAATAGTGGAGGGAAGGTCAGCAGATAAACAAGTGAACAGAGGTCTCTGGTTTTCCTAGGCAGAGGACCCTGCGGCCTTCCGCAGTGTTTGTGTCCCTGGGTACTTGAGATTAGGGAGTGGTGATGACTCTTAAGGAGCATGCTGCCTTCAAGCATCTGTTTAACAAAGCACATCTTGCACCACCCTTAATCCATTCAACCCTGAGTGGACACAGCACATGTTTCAGAGAGCACAGGGTTGGGGGCAAGGTCACAGATCAACAGGATCCCAAGGAAGAAGAATTTTTCTTAGTACAGAACAAAATGAAAAGTCTCCCATGTCTACCTCTTTCTACACAGACACGGCAACCATCCGATTTCTCAATCTTTTCCCCACCTTTCCCCCCTTTCTATTCCACAAAACCGCCATTGTCATCATGGCCCGTTCTCAATGAGCTGTTTGGTACACCTCCCAGACGGGGTGGTGGCCGGGCAGAGGGGCTCCTCACTTCCCAGTAGGGGCAGCCGGGCAGAGGCGCCCCTCACCTCCTGGACGGGGCGGCTGGCCGGGCGGGGGGCTGACCCCCCCACCTCCCTCCCGGACGGGGCGGCTGGCCGGGCGGGGGGCTGACCCCCCCACCTCCCTCCCGGACGGGGCGGCTGGCCGGGCGGGGGGCTGACCCCCACCTCCCTCCCAGACGGTGCGGCTGGCCAGGCAGAGGGGCTCCTCACTTCCCAGTAGGGGCAGCCGGGCAGAGGCGCCCCTCACCTCCTGGACGGGGCGGCTGGCCGGGCGGGGGGCTGACCCCCCCACCTCCCTCCCGGACGGGGCGGCTGGCCGGGCGGGGGGCTGACCCCCCCACCTCCCTCCCGGACGGGGCGGCTGGCCGGGCGGGGGGCTGACTCCCACCTCCCTCCCAGACGGGGCGGCTGGCCTGGCGGAGACGCTCCTCACTTCCCAGACGGGGTGGCTGCCGGGCGGAGGGACTCCTCACTTCTCAGACGGTGCGGCTGCTGGGCGGAGGGGCTCCTCACTTCTCAGACGGGGCGGCCGGGCAGAGACGCTCCTCACATCCCAGACGGGGCGGCAGGGCAGAGGCGCTCCCCACATCTCAGACGATGGGCGGCCGGGCAGAGACGCTCCTCACTTCCTAGATGGGATGGCGGCCGGGAAGAGGCGCTCCTCACTTCCCAGATGGGGTGGCGGCTGGGCAGAGGCTGCAATCTCGGCACTTTGGGAGGCCAAGGCAGGCGGCTGGGAGGTGGAAGTTGTAGCGAGCCGAGATCACGCCACTGCATTCCAGCCTGGGCACCATTGAGCACTGAGTGAACGAGACTCCGTCTGCAATCCCGGCACCTCGGGAAGCCGAGGCTGGTGGATCACTCGTGGCTAGGAGCTGGAGACCAGCCCGGCCAACACAGCAAAACCCCGTCTCCACCAAAAAAATACGAAAACCAGTCAGGCGTGGCGGCGTGCGCCTGCAATCGCAGGCACTCGGCAGGCTGAGGCAGGAGAATCAGGCAGGGAGGTTGCAGTGAGCCGAGATGGCAGCAGTACAGTCCAGCTTCAGCTCTGCATCAGAGGGAGACCGTGGAAAGAGAGGGAGAGGAGGGAGAGGAGGGAGAGGAGGGAGAGGGAGAGGGAGAGGGAGAGGGAGAGAGCTATAATCATGTTACTGCACTCCAGCTTGAGCAACAGTGGGAGACCCAGTTTCTTAAGAAGAAAAAAAAAAAAGGAAAAAGTATCCCAGCACTTTGAGAGGTCGAGGCGGGCGGATCACAAGGTCAGAAGTTTGAAACCAGCCTGGCCAACATGGTGAAACCCCGTCTCTACTAAAAATACAAAAATTAGCTGGAAGTGGTGGCAGGCACCTGTAGTCCTAGGTACTCGGGAGGCTGAGGCAGGAGAATCGCTTGAACCCAGGAGGCGGAGATTGCAGTGAGCCAAGATCGCGCCTCTGCTCTCCAGCTCTGTTGCCCAGACTGGAGTACAGTGGCACGATCTTGGCTCACTGCAACCTCCGCCTCCCAGGCTCAAGCAATTCTCCACAAAATATTTTTAAAATATAAAAAAATAGGCCGGGCGCGGTGGCTCACGCCTGTAATCCCAGCACTTTGGGAAGACGAGGCGGGAGGATCATGAGGTCAAGAGATCGAGACCATCCTGGCCAACATGGTGAAACCCCATCTCTACTAAAAATACAAAAATTAGCTGGGCGTGGTGGCGTGCGCCTGTAGTCCCAGCTACTCTGAAGGCTGAGGCAGGAGAATCGCTTGAACCCAGGAGGCGGAGGTTGCAGTGAGTTGAGATTGTGCCACTGTACTACATCCTGGGCGACAGAGAGAGACTCCGTCTCGAAAACAAACAAGCAAACAACAACAACAACAACAACAAAATAGGGCTTTTGGTGAGGATAACTGAGTGCTTTGCCCATAGTGACTGCTGATTAAACGTTAGGTATTGTTATTTATTTTGTGTATGATTGTTTACCTCTTCCATTAAATGAACAATACATGAGAGGAAACAGGTTCACTTGGTCATTCCGAAAACTTCAGCACCTAGAACAGAGCCTGGCCCGTTAGGCACTCAGTAAACATTTTTGAATGAATGAATGAGGCAGGCGCGATTATGAGCCCCCACTTTCCAGATGAGGAAGTGGAGCTTTAGGGTCACGAAACCAGAAAGTGGAGGAGTCAGGATTCAAACCCAGGTCAATCTGCTTCCAAAACTTCTACTTTTCATCTCTGTGTCCAGAGGGAATTCTTTTTCGGCTCCGGACTTCACTTCTCCTGCCTATACTCTAGGTGTTTACCGTCGTTGGAGACTTGAGGAAGGCGGTCCAATATTCTTGAAATCCATTGTCGGGTTTTGTACCCTCCCCTTTTCCCCCACAACTTTCGAGCCATCTCTGCCTGACACGCGGGCTAGTCCAAGCCTCACAACTGGGCCTGTGCCAAAGCCCGGACTGGATAATGCGGTTGTGGGAGGCTAGGGCTCTAAGGGCGGAGCTAAGGGCCTGGGGCCGCAGACAGAGCGGTGGGGAAAGTTAGGGAGGGACTACCAGACCGCGGGGGGAGGGATTTAAATTCCGAGGCCAGAGCTAATCCTATAAGAAGGTCCTGTCCAGAGCTCTGGAGAAGTACTATACTATAAACCCTTGGCGGTTCAGGGGCGGTGCTAATGATTCCGTGGGTAGGAATAAAACTTTAGCACCCGCAAGATTCTGGGGGTGGGGCTAAGAGCCTGGGGGTGGGCCTAGATGTCATAAACAAGAGCTCCCTGGGCGGGTTTGGGGCTCTAAGGTCGGGCCCTGGCCTTACGGAGGGGGCTTTTGGAAAATCCAATGAAAGTCTGAAGAGGTTTTGGGGATAGTGGAGTGTCTTCCTCCACACCATCCTCCTCCCGGAGCTCGGGGCTGCGCTTCAGGCTGAAAGCAGGAAAGACCCTGCCCCTTCCAATCCCTCTGCATCCCTATTGGTGAAGGGCCCTGCGCGACAGGCTCTCATTGGTTCTGAACGGGCGAGGAGGGGGGTCTAGAGAGACTATACTCCGGTTGTGGGCGGGACCAGACGGTACCTAGGGGGATCCGGGCGCAGCCAATCCTGGCCCTAGGATTGTGTTGGGGGGCTTGGCAGGCGGTGTCCCGACCCCCCTTTCTGGGCATCCTGGGGATGACCCCAGCGCCGGGCCCGGCGCCGGCCGCCTGATGCCAGGCGAGCTGAGCTGGGGATGCTGGAACGAAGGGCGTTGCTATGGCAACGGGAGGCAGGGCCTGGTTGGGGGGACCGGGCCCGGGCTGGGACCGGGGGGGCCGGCGGTGGCTGTGGTGGGGCGATGGCGGAGCGCGGCCCGGCCTTCTGCGGCCTGTACGACACGTCCTCGCTGCTGCGATACTGCAACGGTGAGACCCCTCCTCAGTTCCGACCTTGGCCCCGCCCAAGGCTGGACCCATCTCTTCTTGCCCCAGCCTCCTCCTTGCAAGTCCCCAACCCCCTCCCTTGCTGAAGATCCCCCTTTTCTCTCCCTCAGCAGGACCCTGACCCAAGAGCAAGGTCCCTGGTCCCCAAAACCTAGATCCCAGCCCCCCATCCACTTGGATCCTTCTGTACTCCCGAGGTGGCTAGACGGAGAGGAGAGAAGGGGGCAGAACCCGAAGGAACCTGGGATTGGAAGGGGGAACGGCCTGGGGGTCGATTGGGCCTGGAACTCTGCCCTTTCTCTCTCCCCTCAAGCTTCTGGAATGCTCCCCTATCTCCATAGCAGGGGGACAGACAGAGGGGGTGGGGGTGGATTTGGTGTTGAGTTGAGGGCAGAGTGTGGGACTGGAAAGGGACGGCCAGAGGACTTTGCTTCTAGGATACCTCCCAAATCCTCTGGCCCTGGCCCTCCCATGCATTAGCACCATCCCTTCTCCCTAGACAAATGGGTGTGATACCAGAAGGACCACTGTGGGTGTCGGGCTCAGGTGAGGGGAGATAGGAGAAGAGGGGAGTTGGGAGGGAAAAGTGGGAAGTGAGGCCTGGTCTCTGGGAAAAGGCTGAGGATGGGGGGATGGTCAGGAGGGAGCGGAGGGCTTGAGTCACAGGGATGGGGATGGTGGAGGTGTGGGGGTTGGTAGGATGGGCTGGCCAAGGCCTGACAGTGCAGCTGGCCTCTCTGGGTGGGGCAGAAGGGTCAAGATGAAAGCACCTCTATTAACTCAGTTTGGAGGTTCAGTCCTCTGGGCACACACCCTAGTGCCAGGGACCACTGGAATTGGCAGGGGACCCAGAATGCTTATTTTGTCCTCCTCTGTCCCTCTAAGAGCCAGAATGACAGGGTGGCCATTCCTGTTGAGTATGGGTTCTTCCATTGAACGGCTGTGTGTCCGTGTAACAAGTAACGTCACCTTTCTGGGCTTCAGTAACCTTCCTCCTCCTCTCCTCCTAAAATGGATTATGCTACTACAACTACTAGAGTTGCCAAAAGCATTAGGTATCATAAAAATAGTTAATCCTATTCTGGATTTATCGAGCATCAACATGAGCCGGGAACGTGCTAAATGTTTTGCGTGAGCAGTGCCTGGCACATGTAAGCTCACAGTAACAGATGCCATTTTTCTGGTCGTATAATTAATGGTAGGTAGGACCAGGCTGAGCACAGGAGGTGATTGGGTCCCCAGCCCCCACCTACGGGCTGAGTGATCTTTGGCGTGTCTCTGCACACTCCTACTAGCCTCCTTCCTTAGTTTCCCGTCTGCAAAACGTGATGCCAACAAGACCCCTAGAGGTTTCCCCCTGTTACGAGTTCTAAGTCCTGACGGCTCACTCCTTCTGACCTCAGGAGGCTCCCACCTCCCTCTGCAGGTCCAGGCACCGGACCTGGGAGGCGCTGAGTGGGGGGCAGGGCGGGCAAGCCTCGGCAGGCGATTGGGCTACGAAGGGAAGGAGGGAGGAGCGGCGGCTGCACTGCGGAGCCCAGAGGGCCAGCTGCGCGGCCTGTGGACGCGGGATGGCAGGGGCGAGCTCCACGCCCTGTCCCCGTCTAAGCTACCACCTTTACTTCCACCAGGCTGGGAACCAGGGCTTCCTTGGTTGTGGTCAGCAATGAGTCTGGGTATGAGTATTCTGCGGGAAAAGGGGGAGAGGGGCCACTTCGGTCTCCGCCCCTCCCACTTTGGGAAAATGAGCGGGGTTGGGGGGGCGACTCGGGGAGTCATTTTGGCTGCACCCATAGGCTGGAGAGCCAAATCTGGGGCGCGGGGTACAGAGGCGAAATAAAGAAGGGGAACAGAAAAGAGGAATGCCTGCTGGGGAAGAGTTTGGTTGTCAATCCGGTCTGCATCTCCCTTGGGTCTTCTGGGTCTGCCATGCGCTGCCTGCAACCCCCAAGTCCGCCGCCAGGGGCCGCCGAAGCTCTGTCCTTGCAGCTGGCTCTAGGGTCGAACCCCAGGGTGAGGAGAGGAGGGGAAACGGGGAGGCTAGGCATGACCTTTTGGCTTGGAAAGTCTTAGAAACAGTGAAGAGACGTTGGTATTCATAACAGAATCTTCGTCGGAGGATGTTGGGGATCAATTCTAGAACTTTAGTGTCATTAGGAGTAGGTTGGTGTCATTTTGCAAATGCTCTTATCACTCATAGATACTTAACGTCTTAGTCATAAAATCAAAGAATCTTTTTTTTCTTTTTCTTTTTTCTTTTTTTTTTTTTTGAGACGGAGTCTCGCTTTGTGGCCAGGCTGGAGTGCAGTGGCGCGATCTTGGCTCACGGCAACCTCCGACCCCCCGGGTTCAAGCGATTCCCGTCTCAGCCTCCGGAGTAGCTGGGACTACAGGCACGCGCCACCACGCCCGGCTTTTTTTTAAATTTTATTTTATTTTTAATTTAATTTTATTTTAGTAGAGACGGGGTTTCACCATGTTGGCCAGGATGGTCTCGATCTCCTGACCTCGTGATACGCCCGCCTCGGCCTCCCAAAGTGCTGGGGTTACAGGCGTGAGCCACTGCGCCTGGTCACGTCTTAGTCATAGCATCTTAAAGCCAGAGCGAGAGGCTCCTGGGTTCACAGACTCTTAGAAAATAAGAGGGAAGGGACTTCCCCAAGGTCACACGGCCAGCGCGCTGTGGCAGAGAGGAGTGTGCGGATGGGTTGGAGAGCTGTGGGGATTTCCTTCCCCCTTCAGAGTCCTCTTCCTTGGCTCATGTCCAAGTGTCCCAGCCCCAGGTAGCGGGACAGGAAAGGGGCGTGGCTGGCCCCCCGCTTAGACCCAGGAAGGCGGGAGGGACCCCTTGGGCACTGGAGCTCCTGGGTGGCCCTGCAGCCGGCACTCCCCCGTCTTCCAGATGACAATTTGTCGGGCACGAGCGGTATGGAAGTGGACGACCGCGTGTCGGCGCTGGAGCAGCGGCTGCAGTTACAGGAAGACGAGCTGGCGGTCCTAAAGGCGGCGCTGGCGGATGCTCTGCGTCGCCTGCGGGCATGCGAAGAACAGGGAGCGGCGCTACGCGCGCGGGGCACCCCCAAGGGCCGGGCGCCTCCGCGCTTAGGCACCACTGCCTCGGGTATCCCCGTTAGACTGGAGGGGTGGGATGGGGAGGACCGGGGCCTGGTCCTTATACTCACCCTCTTCTGTCCCCTAACCCCATCCCTCCAGTGTGTCAGCTCTTGAAAGGCCTTCCCACCAGGACGCCCCTTAATGGCTCGGGACCCCCGCGGCGCGTGGGTGGCTATGCCACGTCCCCATCCTCTCCCAAGAAGGAGGCGACCTCCGGGCGCAGGTAAGGCACAAGGCCGGGACCCCCAGCCTCTTCCAAGACCTCGTGGGAGACAGAGGTGGTTTGTTTGCCTGAGCTCCAGCAGCAGAGGGTGCAGGGAGAATCTCGCTTGCTCACGGCACTCGCCTGCTGGCCTAGAAGGCTCTGCCCCCACCTGTGTGCTCTCTTTTAGCAGTGTCCGCCGCTACTTGTCACCAGAGCGCCTCGCCTCGGTGCGCCGTGAGGACCCCCGCAGCCGGACCACATCCTCCAGCAGCAACTGTAGCGCCAAAAAGGAAGGGTAAGGACTGGGGCGGCGTCAAGCCGCAGAAAGAGATAGGGAGGAAATGGTCGAGAAATGTAGTCATGCCCCAGGCCACGAGGTCGTAACCTAGAGTGGGGCCAGCTAGTTCAAAAGCGGGGACGGTGCCAGAGCCTTGGAGGGACCAATCTTGAGGTGGCACGGTAACAGTGGAAGGTCTGGGAGGGCGGAGTCAATATTGAGGGGCGTGGCCAGAGTTTTTAGAAGCTGGACGGTCAGGTCTACTGGGTGAGGAAGTCAGGGAGGAGCTTGGCTTATGGGCGTGGTTATTAAGGTACAGGAGAGGCCCCGTTGAGTTTCAGGGATGAAGTCAAGGCAGCAGCCACAGAGTTTCTACAAGGAAAGAGGGAGTCTGAGGAATTTAAGGGTGCAGCCACAGTGTTCGCCTGGGCGAAATTAAAATCTGGGGTACGGAGTAACAGAGGCTGAGACCAGGTGGAGGCATTCCAGATTCCAGAAGCTTTGACATCAAAATCGGGGGGCACTGCCAGGTTGAAAAGGGCGTGGCTTAAAGGTTGGGCGGGGCCGTAGGGGCGTGGTCAAATGCCAAGAGGTGCAGCCAACTTGGAGGCCTCGAAGGTATTCACATAAGGAATACGTGAAAATGGACGTAATCAGAATGCCTGGCGGGCCGGAGAAGGAGCGTTGGCGGGAGGTAGCAGTCAATTCTCAAGCAACTGAGTCAACTCAGGGACAGGGTTAGAAGGGAGGCTCAGAATGACAGGCGTGGTCAACTCCAGAGGCGGGGCCATACTGAAGATCTGGACAGAGTCAAAAACTAAGGCTATATAATTCTAGCAGTTTGGGAGGCGGAGGCGGGAATCATCGCTTGAGCTCAGGAGTTCGAGACCAGGCTGGGCAAAATAGCGAGCCCTCGTCTTTACTAAAAATGAAAATAAATTAGGCCTGGCGCGGTGGCTCACGCCTGTAATCCCAGCACTTCGGGAGGCCTAGGCGGGTGGATCACAAGGTCAAGAGATCGAGACCATCCTGGCCAACATGGTGAAACCCCCTGTCTATTAATAATACAAAAATGGGCGTGGTGGCGCGTGCCTGTAGTCCCAGCTACTCGGGAGGCTGAGGCAGGAGAATCACTTCAACCCGGGAGGCGGAGGTTGCAGTGAGCTGAGATCGCGCCACTGCACTCCAGCCTGCTGACAGAGCAAGACTCCGTTAAACAAACAAACAAAAAACAAAAAACAAAAAACAAAAAAAAAAAGAGAGAGAAAGAAAATAGCCGGGCGTGCTGGCCTTCGCTTGTAGACCCAGCTACTTGGGAGGCTGCGGCAGGAGGCTCACTTAAGCCTAGGAAATTCGAGGTTTCAGTGAGCCATGATCACGCCATTGCACTCCAGTTTGGTCGACAGAGCCACACCCTGTATCAAAAACAAAACAAAACAAAAATCACCCTAAGGCTGGAGTTATGGTGCAGTGGGCGTGGTCAGCGCTAGGAGGCCACGCAAGGGCAAGACCAAGGTCAAAAGCTGCACATTTCAACTCTGCTCAAACATAGCAAACACAAATACAGCGTTGTGTATACTCCAGGCACTTCCCAATAATTAACCAATTTCACCCTCGCAACTACCCCCGGGAGGTGTGAGTACTCTTATTTATTTATTTATTTTGAGACGGAGTCTTGTTCTCGTTGCCCAGGCTGGAGTGCAATGACACAATCTCAGCTCACTGTAACCTCTGCCTCCCGAGTTCGAATGATTTTCCTGCCTCAGCCTCCCAAGTAGCTGGGATTACAGGCGCCAGCCACCACGCCAGGCTAAGTTTTGTATTTTTAGTAGAGACGGGGTTTCACCACGTTGGCCAGGCTGGTCTTGAACTCCTGACCTCAGGTGATCTGCCCGCCTCGGCCTCCCAAAGTGCTGGGATTACAGGCATGAGCCACCGCGCCCGGCCGGGTACTCTTATTATCCCCATTTTTTAAATGAGGAAACCGAGGCAGAGGTTGGACGACCTGTGTACACTGCTAGGAATTAGCAGAACTGGGGTTTTAACTCAAGCAGGCGCGCTCCCGAGTCCATGTTCTCAACCACTCTCCCCCACCCACCCCGAAAGAACCTGGGATCGGGAGTCCACAGCCCGGGATGTGTGACCCGGTGGGACCCTCCGGCTCCAGGGGTGGCTGTGGAGGGCGGGGCAGGGGCGCGGCGGCCCGGGCGCCTCCCAGGGCCGGAAGCGGCAGAGCCGGTCCCGGCTCCACCCCCGGCCCCGAAGCTCCGCCACCCGCCGCCATGAGTAGCTTTGGAGCTGGGTGAGACCCTTTCGCAGACCACCCCCCATCTCCTCTCCGCGCTCCCGGGGCTTAGATCTCAGGTTTCACCCAACCCCTGGGACCCAGACCGGCGTGGGGACACGCCCCTTCCCTTAAACTCTCCCCGTTTCTCCCTCTGCTTGACGTTTGGTGTGCTGGGGGAACTGCGGGTGGGGGGCGCTGGGGAGCACCTTGCTGATTAGGAGGGAAGGGTCCTTGGTGACTCCCTTCTTCCAGGATCGCGTCCCTGCCACTTCGTGCTGTGTGATCTTTGGCGATCACTGCCTCTCTGGGCCTGTGTCTTAGGCTCTGCAAGATCAACCGAGCAAAGCACACGGCCTGCAGAGAGGCAGCGCTCTGCCCCTTACTCGGCCCCGTTTTCATCGGAGACCTCCGGGGAGCGGTGGGGGTGGAGGAATGGTTTCTCCCCTTTTCTGAACTGAATACTAAGACCCTTTTTTTTTCTTTGTCCTTTCCTGACAGCAAAACCAAAGAAGTTATCTTCAGTGTGGGTGAGTGGGGAGATGGGGAAGGGCTCGGTGGAAGCTTGCTTGTTGGGGTGACAGGCTGGAGCCAGAGGTCAGGAGTCTTGGCTACTGGGTCTTTGCCTCTCTGGCCTCAGTTTCCCTGCCTTTAAAAAAATAAATAAATAAAGCTGGAAGAGGAGAGGGAATAGGGATGGGGCTGGTGTCAGTGCCTGACCTCTGGGGGTGTCCTGGCAGAGGATGGCTCCGTGAAAATGTTCCTGAGGGGCCGCCCTGTGCCCATGATGATCCCAGACGAGCTGGCACCCACCTACAGCCTGGACACACGCTCGGAGCTGCCTTCTTGCCGGCTCAAGCTGGAGTGGGTGTATCCTTTTGCTGGAATCTCCTTGGTGCTCCCATCCCCCCAGGAGGAAATAGAAAGGCGGTCAAGGCAGCTCAGGCCTGTAATCTCAGCACTTTGGGAGGATCGTTTGAGGCCAAGAGTTTGAGACCTGCCTGGGCAACACACAAAACAAGCACAGCACGTTCAAGGGCTATGTGGCCAGAGTGGGATTGGTGCATTTGAGCAAAAAGAGTTGGGAATGGCTGGAAGCCCGGGCTCTGGAGTCTGACAGAGATGGGTTCAAACCCCAGTCCAGCCCGTACCTGGCCGTGTGACCCTGGAAAAGTCGTCTTGACTCTGAAAAATGAATTTTATGATCTCAGGTCCATAGACCTGTGAAATAATGTGTAAAGGTACTGAGCTCATAGTATGTGCCCCATGCACAGGGACTGATAAAACACTAACTCAGCACATTGGGAGGCCGAGGTGGGTGGATCACTTGAACCCAGGAGTTTGAAACCAGCCTGAGCAACATAGCAAGACCTCGTCTTTACAGGAAATAAAATAGCAGGCCGGGCGCGGTGGCTCATGCCTGTAATCTGAGCACTTTGGGAGGCCGAGGTGGGCAGATCACCTGAGGTCAGGAGTTTGAGACCAGCCTGACCAATATGATGAAATCCTGTCTCTACTAAAAATACAAAAATTAGCCGAGTGTGGTGGCATGTGCCTGTAAACCTAGCTACTCGGGAGACTGAGACAGGAGAATCGCTTGAACCCAGGAGGCAGAGGCTGCAGTGAGCCGAGATTGCCCCACTGCTTTCCGGCCTGGGCCACAAGAGTGAAACTCCGTCTCAAAAAAAAAAAAAAAAAAAAAAAAAAGAAAAGAAAAAGAAAAAAAAAATAGCCAGCCATGGTGGCATGCTCCTGTGGTTCCCAGCTACTCTGGAGGCTGAGGTGGGAGCATCACTTGAGCCTGGGAGGTCGAGGTTGCAGTGAGCCATGATTGTGCTATTGCACTCCAGCCTGGGCGACAGAGCGAGACTCCTTTCTCAAAAAAAAAAAAAAAAAAAAAAAAATCCAAAATAATAACTCAAGCACTTACTATCTGACAGACACTGTTGTAAGTTATTCCAGGTATGAATTTATTTTTTTACAACTAGTGGCCTCCAAGAGCTCTGAGGCCTACAGTTTGGAAATTATTATACCTCCTTTCCAGATAAGGAAACTGAGGTTATAGGTAGGAGACAACAATCCTGATTCTGGGACCCAAACTTTTTCCTAAAATCCTATTGAGCTTGGAGTCCACACCCCAGGAACCCGGTCCTTGTCTGCTTCTCTCTGGGCCTTGGTTTCCTCTTTGGAGGAGCCAGGGTGGTTGGTGAAATGGCCTGGCCTTCTGGGTGCCCAGAGCCTTCTCGAGGCAGCTGGAAATATCCCCTGGAATCTGTCCCAAATGTCCTGCCAGTAGGGCTTGATAAGCATCTGATGAGAGGTGGCTGAGACTGCAAAAGTGAGGACCTCAGATTGCTCCCCTTTGCAGTGACTGCAGGTCAGAGCAGTTTCATGGGGTCAGGATATATGTATATTGACAATCATTCAGATATTTTCTTGTTTTTGAGACACCCAGGCTAGAGTGCAGTGGCACGATCTTGGCTCACTGCAACCTCCACCTCCTGGGTTCAAGCCATTCTTCTGCCTCGGCCACTACAGTAGCTGGGTGGCATGGGCCACCATGCCTGGCTAATTTTTTTGTGTGTTTTTTAGTAGAGACAGGGTTTCGCCATGTTGGCCAGGCTGGTCTTGGACTCCTGACCTCAAGTGATCCACCTGCCTCGGCCTCCCAAAGTGCTGAGATTACAGGCGTGAGCCACCGTGCTTGGCCCATTCAAGATATTTTCTGAACATCTGAGACATAGGGCTGGGGACCCAGTGCTGACCATGACAGCATCTGCCTGCCCTCCTGGGGCATACAGTCTAGCATGGGAACAGACTCATTGAGAGTGACAACCCAGAGTGTGCAAGACTGGGATGGGGAATCCACAGGGACAGGGCTGACCCAGCCTGGAGTCATGGAGGGCTTCCTGGAGGAGGAGATACAGAAATGAAAAAAACAAAACAAACAAACAAAAAAAACAGCCCAATCTCAGCCACCATGGAACTCACAGTCTTATTGGGGAATATGAGCAGTTAACAAATAAACCAGATAACTATCAGCTTGGGCAACAAAGCGAGATCCCATCTCTACAGAAAATTTCTTTTTAATTAGCCAGGCAGGCTGGGTGCATTGGCTCATGCCTGTAATCCCAGCACTTTAGGAGGCCAAGACAAGTGGACTGCTTTAGCCCAGGAATTTGAGACCAGCCTGGGCAGCATGGCGAGACTGCATCTTTACCAAAAATATACAAAAAATTTGCTGGGCATGGTGGTGCATGCCTGTAGTCTCAGCTATTTGGGAAGCGGAGGCAGGAGGATCACTTAAGCCCAGGAGATTGAGGCTGCCTCTTCTGTCATTTATAAGGACACTTGTGATCGGATTTAGGGGCTACTCTGATAATCCAGGATGATCTCATCTTGAGATCTATAATTATATCTGCAAAGACCCATTTTCCTTGTAAGGTCACATTTGCAAGTTGTGGGGATTAAGAAACAGACATAGCCCGGGCGCGGTGGCTCATGCCTATAATCCCAGCACTTTGGGAGGCCGAGGTGGGCAGATCACCTGAGGTTGGGAGTTCAAGACCAGCGTGACCAACATGGAGAAACCCTTTCTCTACTAAAAATACAAAATTAGCCAGGCATGGTGGCGCATGCCTATAATCCCAGCTACTCAGGAGGCTGAGGCAGAAGAATCCCTTGAACCCGGGAGGTGGAGGTTGCCGTGAGCTGAGATCACACCATTGCACTCCAGCCTGGGCAACAAGAGCGAAACTCCATCTCAAAAAAAAAAAAAAAAAAAAAAAAAAGGAAACAGACATTCATTTTTTTTTGGAGTGGGAGGGGACCATCAGCCCACTACAGGGGTGAGAGTGGAAACAGAAAAACCTCATTCCAATGACCTTGTTGAGTCTGGTCCTCAGCCAGTGTGTGTGATGCAAAATACATTCCTCGGCTGGGCGCCAGCGGCTCAAACCTCTAATCCCAGCACTTTGGGAGACCAAGGTGGGTGGATCACCTGAGGTCAGGAGTTGGAGACCACCCTGACCAATATGGTGAAACCCCATCTCTACTAAAAATACAAAAATTAGCCTGGCATGATGGCATCTGCCTGTAGTCCCAGCTACTTGGGAGGCTGAGACAGGAAAATGGCTTGAACCCAGGAGGCGGAGGTTGCAGTGAGCTGGGATCATGCCACTGCACTCCAGCCTGGGTGACAGACTCTGTCTTAAAAAAACAAAACAGGCCGCGCGTGGTGGCTCACGCCTGTAATCCCAGCACTTTGGGAGGCTGAGGCGGGCGGATCATGAGGTCAGGAGATTGAGACCATCCTGGCCAACATGGTGAAATCCCATCTCTATTAAAAATACAAAAATTAGCTGGGTGTGGTGGCGTGTGTCTGTAATCCCAGATACTCAGGAGGCTGAGGCAGGGGAATCGTTTGAACCAGGGAGTCGGAGGTTGCAGTGAGCTGAGATTGCACCACTGCACTGCTGCCTGGAGACAGAGCGAGACTGCGTCTCAAAAAAAAGAAAAAATAAATAGGCTGGGTGCCGTGGCTCCCAGCACTTTGGGAGGGCGAGGCGGGTGGATCACAAGGTCAGGAGATCGAGACCATCCTGGCTAACATGGTGATACCCCGTCTCTACTAAAAATACAAAAAATAAGCCGGGCATGGTGGCGGGCGCCTGTAGTCCCAGCTACTCAGGAGGCTGAGGCAGGAGAATGGCATGAACCCAGGAGGCGGAGCTTGCAGTGAGCTGAGATCACGCCACTGCACTCCAGCCTGGGCGACAGAGTGAGACTCCATCTCAAAAAAATAAATAAATAAAAAAATTAAAAATAAATAAATAAATAAAAACAAAACAAACAAACAACAACAACAAAACACATTCCTTAACCAGCCCCTGGGTGGCTCCAGCTATGGCTACCGTGGCCGAGACTGCCGGGCCAACCTTTATTTGCTGCCCACCGGGGAGATAGTGTACTTTGTGGCCTCCGTAGCCGTGCTATACAGCGTGGAGGAGCAGAGGCAGCGACACTACCTGGGACACAACGATGACATCAAATGGTGAGATGTGGGACAGAGGGGACGGGAGGGAGCTGTGGCTGGAGATGGAGCTCCAGCCCCTGCCCCTCTATGCCTCTTTTCACATTGCTACCCTGTGGGGTTTGGGGCAAGGCTAAGCCTTTGCTCCCTCTCCAAAGCCACCAGCTGCCCTCAGGCTGAATTTAGTGGGAAAATGTGGATTGAGTATCAATATTTCAATATTTCAGGTGTTTTAGTTGGGTGTGGTGGTAAGCCCTTATGGTCCCAGCTACTCAGGAGGTTGAGGCGAGAGGATCACTTGAACCCAGGAGGTCGAGGCTGCAGTGACTGAGCCACCACACTCCAGCCTGGGTGAAAGAGCAAGCTCTGTCTCAAAAAAAATTCAGACAGTGAATTCACGCAATGCCTGGATCTTTTTCTTCTTTTGAAAATCTGGGCAGCGAGGTGGCTCACGCCTGTGAAAGCAGCACTTTGGGAGGCCAAGGCGGAAGGATCGCTGAAGTCCAGGAGTTGGAGGCTGCAGTCAGCTATGATCCTGCCACTGCACTCTAGCCTGGGGGACAGAGCGAGACTCCATCTCCTTTTTTTTTCTTTTTTCTTTTTTTGAGAACTAGTCTCACTCTGTCGCCTAGGCTGGAGTCCAGTGGCACGATCTCGACTCACTGCAACCTCCGCTCCTGGGTTCAAGCGATTCTCCTGCCTCAGTCTCCCGAGTAGCTGGAACTACAGGTGCCCGCCACCACGCCCAGCTAATTTTTGTACTTTTACTAGAGACAGGGTTTCCCCATGTTGGCCAGGCAGGTGTCAAACTCCTGACCTCTGGTGATCCGCCCGCCTCGGCCTCCCAAAGTGCTGGGAGACTCCGCCTCTTAAAAAAAAAAAAAACTGAATAGGCACTCCAGACAATTCCTGGTGGCTGGAGCAGGGTGGTGTCAGCCCCCTTAAATAAGTGTGCTCTCCTGGCCACTATGTGAGGTACAGACCTGCGTCCTGCTGGCATTTGAGTTAGAGGCCCCAGGCCTAAGTCTTGCTTCTGATCCAGCGCCAGCGCACCCGGAGGGCATCCGCTCACTGCTATTAATGCACTAAATACACGTTTATTGACTAAACTCAACCAGCCAATTTGTGGAATGAATGTCCTGGGTCTCTGTGAGCCTCTTCTCTCCCACTGAGCCCTGGTCTCTCTGTCCCTTCTTTCCGCAGCTTGGCCATCCACCCAGATATGGTCACCATCGCCACGGGACAGGTGGCGGGAACCACTAAGGAAGGGAAGGTAATGGAAGGGAGGGGAAAGCAGAAAAGAGTGCAGGACGCAGTTGTGGGGGACAAGCAGCTGGCACCCCCAAGGTAACAAGCCTCTCTTCCCTGCAGCCGCTGCCGCCCCACGTGCGCATCTGGGACTCAGTTTCCCTCTCCACCTTACACGTGCTGGGCTTGGGGGTGTTTGACAGAGCCGTGTGCTGTGTGGGCTTCTCCAAATCTGTAAGTCCTTCGCCCACCCTAACCCCGCCCCTTCGCCCCGAAAAGGAGGGCAAGTGCCCGCACCTTTTCACCCGCCCCTTGGGTTGAGGGCCGGGAATCCTGCTGGAGGCGTGGCCCGCCTCTGTGACGTCACAATGAGGGCGTGTCCTCACCCCAAGGGGCGGGTGAGTCACCGTGCCCGCCCAGCCCTCTCAGGCATTTTAAACCCAGTGCCTAGGGCCCAGCTGGTCCTTGCCCATTTGCAGGCGGGTTTTGGCATGTCCAGGCAGAGATAAGTACAGAAAGCGAGAGTATGCCTTTAGGAATTTGGAGAGCAGTTTGACAACACCACAACATCCAAGTGTGTGATTGTGGGCTTTTTTTTAAAAAAAAATCCTATTTTGGCTGGGCATGGTGGCTTGTGCCTGTAATCCCAGCACTCTGGGGGGCTGAGGTGGGAGGATCATTTGAAGTCAGGAGTTTGAGACCAGCCTAGCCAACGTAGTGAAGCCCGTCTCTACCAAAAACAGTACAAAAATTAGTCTGAGGTGGTGGCGTCCCAGCTACTCGGGAGGCTGAGGCAGGAGAATCGCTTGAACCCGGGAGGGGGAGTTTGCAGTGAGTCGAGATCGCGCCACAGCACTCCAGCCTGGGCGACAGAGCGAGACTCGTACTCAAAAAAAAAAAAAGGCCAGGTGCAGTGGCTCACGCCTGTAATCCTAGCACTTTAGGAGGCCGAGGCGGGCGGATCACAAGGTCAGGAGTTTGAGACCAGCCTGGCCAACATGGTGAAACCCCGTCTCTACTGAAAATACAAAAATTAGCTGGGCATGGCGGAGGGTGCCTGTAATCCCAGCTACTTGGGAGGCTGAGGCAAGAGAGTTGCTTGAACCTGGGAGGCGGAGTTTGCAGTGAGCCGCCGAGATCGCGCCATTGCACTGCAGCCTGGGCGACAGGGCGAGACTCCAACTAAAAAAAAAAAAAAAAAAAAAAAAAATTCTAATTAGCTGGGTGTACTAGTGTGGGCCTGGGCCTGTACTCCCAGATACTTGGGAGGTTGAGGTGGGAGGATTGAATGAGCCTAGGAGATCGAGGCTGCAGTGAACTGTGATCATGCCACTACACTCCAACTTGGGCGATATGGCAGGACGCTGACTTTAAAAAATAAATAAAAATTGGTCAGATGCGGTTCATGCCTGTAATCCCAGCACTTTGGGAGGCCAAGATGGGTGGATCATTTGAGGTCAGGAGTTCGAGACCAGCCTGGCCAACATGGTGAAACCCCATCTCTACTAAAAATATACAAAAATTAGCTGGGTGTGGTAATCCCAGCTACTCAGGAAGCAGAGGCAGGAGAGTCACTTGAACCTGGGAGGCGGAGGTAGCAGTGAGCTCAGATCCCACCACTGCACTCCACACTAGGGGACCGAGTGAGACTCTGTCTCAAAAATATATAGATAGATAGATAGATAAAAATCATATTTTACATTTTTATCATATTTGATTAAAATATTAGTCTTCAATGGATTAGGGAGTAAAAAACAGCCAGTCTCCTGCACAGATAGCTTAAGAGGCACTGGATTGGACCCTCACCGGTTTTCTGAGGCCTAAAGAAACATTTAAGAGCTTGGGGTAGGGGTAAGCCATATTGTTACCAAAGGTGTGGAGAAGAAAATAAAACCTTGCCAAATCAAAATTAACCTGTATTTAATGAAAGGTATAAAAGCCCAACATTGGCCAGGCGAGGTGGCTCATGACTGTAATCCCAGCACTTTGGAAGGTGGAAGCTGGTGTATCACCAGAGGTTAGGAGTTCAAGACCAGCTTGGCCAACATAGTGAAACCCTGTCTCTACTAAAAATACAAAAATTAGGAGGGCAGTGGTGGCATGTGCCAGCTACTTGAGAGGCAGAGACAGGAGAATCGCTTGAACCTGGGAGGTGGAGGTTGCAGTGAGCCAAGATCATGCAACTGCATTCCAGCTTGGGCAATAGAATGAGACTCAGTCTCAAAAAATAAAATAAAATAAAAAACAAACAAAAACCCAACATAATACCAACTTTGTTAACTGCTGAATTTCACCTACATCAGTCATTCTCTATATATGTAAATGCAAATGAGATGATGTCAGCAAGAATTCCTGGCTAGGGGTGCTGGCTGCAGAGAAACAATAGCTGAGGGCAAATGAAATGAGTTTATTAGGGATGAGTCATTTCAAGGCATAGTATGAAACCATTTCAGATGTCTTCACAGCTTCTAATGGAGGGTGTATTTTAATGTGTTTCCTGCAAAATGGCCAGGGCCTTTGAAGGTCTTTTTTTTTTTTTTTTTGAGACAGAGTCTCTCACTGTCACCCAGGCTGGAGTGCAATGGCGCAATCTTGGCTCACTGCATCCTCTGCCTCCCAGTTCAAGCGATTCTCCTGCCTCAGCCTCCCGAGTAGCTGGGATTACAGGCACCTGCCACCACGCCTGGCTAATTTTTTGTATTTTTAGTAGAGACAGGGTTTCACTATGTTGGCAAGGCTGGCCTCGAACTCCTGACCTCGTGATCCACCTGCCTCGGCCTCCCAAAGTGCTGGGATTACAGGTGTGAGCCACCACGCCTGGCTTTTTATTTTTTTTTAATATTTAAATTTGTTTTGTTTAAGAGACAGGGTCTCCCTATATTGCCTATGCTGGCCTCAAACTCCTGGACTCAAGCGATCCTCCCACCTACTGTGCCCAGCCTGAAGGTTTTAAAACAGGCCTGTGTGGTGAATGCCTTGGTGGGCATGGGGGGAGGATGGGCCCTGACTCCCCTTGCCTCTGTCCCCCTCCTCTCTCCTCCTCTTTAGAATGGAGGCAACCTGCTGTGTGCAGTGGATGAATCCAATGATCACATGCTCTCGGTGTGGGACTGGGCCAAGGAGACCAAGGTGGTGGATGTCAAGGTGAGGTGACTTTTCTCATCCCCTCCTGCTGGGTGCCACTGTGGGACTTTCCCAATCTCAGTGGTTAGGAGTCTGCAATCAGATAGACCCGTGTTTAAGCCCTGGCTTTACTCCTTGCTGGCTGTGTGACTTGAGCAAGCCGCTTGCCACCTCAGAGCCTTGGTGGTCTCATCTGTAATATGGGGATAATAGGCTGGGCAAGGTGGCTCACACCTGTAACCCTAGCACCTTGGGAGGCCGACATGAGAGGATTGCTTGAGCTCAGAAGTTTGAGATCAGCTTGGGCAACATAAGGAGACCTATCTCTACTTAAAAAAAAAAAAAAAAGGCCGGGCACGGTGGCTCACGCCTGTAATCCCAGCACTTTGGGAGGCCGAGGCAGGCAGATCACCTGAGGTCAGGAGTTCGAGACCAGCCTGACCAACATGGAGAAACCCTGTCTCTACTAAAAATACAAAATTAGCTGGGCATGGTAGCACATGCCTGTAATCCCAGCTACTCGGGAGGCTGAGGCAGGAGAATCTCTTGAACCCGGAGGCGGAGGTTGCGGTGAGCCAAGATCACACCATTGCACTCCAGCCTGGGCAACAAGAGCTAAACTCCGTCTCAAAAACAAAAAACAAAACAAACAGAAAATCTGGCACTTAAAAAAAAAAATTAACTGGGTGTGGTGTGCACCCATAGTCCCAGCTACTTCGGAGGCTAAGGTAGGAGGATCGCTTGAACCTGGTAGGTTGAGGCTGCAGTGAGCCATGATTGCACCATTACACTCCAGCCTGGGCAACAGAGTGAGACCCTGCCTCAAAAAAATAAATAGATAAAATAAAATGGGGATAATGGTAGCATCTTCCTCGTAGGGCCTTGGTGAGGATATGGAGATATGGGGTACGGTGGACCAGGCCCAACAGAAGGGTGGGTTTGAGGTGGCTGCTTGCTGACTCTGCAGTCCTCTGGTGTCTCGATTTCCCTCTCTGAGAGGTGGCCTATTTTAAGGATGAGGCATGGTGAGGGGAAGAGATACTTGCCTCAGGTTGCACACCTGTCCTGGGCTAGGGGAAGGAAACCTGGGTTTTGTTCTATTTATTTATTTATTTACTTACTTACTTACTTACTTACTTACTTACTTTGAGACGGAGTTTCGTTCTTGTCACCTAGGCTGGAGTGCAATGGCATAATCTTGGCTCACTGCAACCTCCACCTCCCAGGTTCCAGCGATTCTCCTGACTCAGCCTCCTGAGTAGCTGAGACTACAGGTGTGTGCCACCATGCCCGGCTAATTTTTGTATTTTTAGTAGAGACGGGGTTTCACCATGTTGGCCAGGCTGGTCTCGAACTCCTGACCTCAGGTGATCCATCTGCCTCTGCCTCCCAAAGTGCTGGGATCACAAGCGTGAGCCACTGCGCCTGGTGGAAACCTGGGTTTTGAATCAAGGCCCACTGTTTGGGGAAACAGAAATGGTGCGGAGGCTGTGCTCTGGAATTAGGGCTAGGTGAGCTGGGTTCCACACACAACTCTTGCCTAGCTGTGTGGCCTTAGGCAAATGGTTTACCCTCTCTGAGCCTCACTTTTTTTTTTTCTATTTGAGATGGAGTCTCGCCCTGTCACCCAGGCTGGAGTGTAATGGCATGATCTCGGCTCACTGCAACCTCCACCACCTGGGTTCAAGTGATTCTCCTGCCTCAGCCTCCCAAGTAGTTGGGATTACAGGTGCGCACCACCACGCCTAATTTTTTTGTATCTTTAGTAGAGATGGGGTTTCGCCACGTTGACCAGGCCAGTCTCGAACTCCTGACCTCGTGATCCGCCTGCCTCGGCCTCCCAAAGTGCTGGGATTACAGGTGTGAGCCACTACACCCGGCCCTCTCTGAGCCTCACTTTTTTTGTGAGACGGAGTTTTCCTCTTGTTGCCCAGGCTGGAGTGCACTGGCACGATCTCGGCTCACTGCAACCTCCGCCTCCCGGGTTCAAGCAAGCAACTCTCCTGCCTCAGCCTCCCGAGTAGCTGGGATTACAGGCATGCACCACCACGACCAGCTAATTTTGTATTTTTAGTAGAGACGGAGTTTCTCCATGTTGGTTAGGCTGGCCTCGAACTCCCGACCTCAGGTGATCCACCCGCCTTGGCCTCCCAAAGGGCTGGGATTACAGGCGTGAACCACCACGCCCAGCCTGAGCCTCACTTTTTAATTTGCAATGAGGTGGGCATAATGGTCTTGACCTCACAGGGAGATGGAGGATTAAAGGAGCTAATGATTGTAAAATGTTGAGCACAGTGCTTAGGGCAGAGGAGAGGAGCTCCAAGTGTCTGCTGTTTTGTTAATGATGAAGAAGATGATAATGCTTCGCTGGCTTGTCCTGCTTCCTGTACTTTAATTTACCGTATAGGAAAGGTACTGGCCAGGCGTGGTGGCTCACGCCTGTAATCCCAGCACTTTAGGAGGCTGAGGTGGGAAGATCACTTGAGGTCAGGAGTTTGAGACCAGCCTGGCCAACATGGTGAAACCCTATCTCTACTAAAAATACAAAAATTAGCCAGGTGTGGTGGCACGTCCCTGTAAATCTAGCTATTTGGGAGGCTGAGGCAGAAGAATCTCTTGAACCTGGGAGGCAGAGGTTGTAGGAGCCAAGATTGTGCTACCGCACTCCAGCCTGGGCAACAGAGCGAGACTCATATTCAAAAAAAAAAAAAAAAAGGCCGGGCGCAGTGGCTCACGCCTGTAATCCCAGCACTTTAGGAGGCTGAGGCGGGTGGATCACGAGGTAAAGAGTTCGAGACCAGCCGGGAAACATGGTGAAATCCTGTCTCTACTAAGAATACAAAAATTAGCTGGGTGTGGTAGCACCTGCCTGTAATACCAGCTATTCGGGAGGCTGAGGCAAGAGAATCGCTTGAACCCAGGAGGCGGAGGTTGCAGTGAGCAGAGATTGCACCACTGCACTCCAGTCTGGGTGACAGGGTGAGACTCTGCCCTGAAAAAAAAAAAAAAAAGAAAAGTTCAGGTGTGCAGCATACAACACAAACAGCCGTTTAGGGCAGTCCTGTGAGGGGCGGGTATAGTAGCCTTGGGGACTTTGAGGTCCTCATTCAGAATCTCCCCCACCCCCCAAAGTGCTCCAATGAGGCTGTATTGGTGGCCACCTTCCACCCCACGGACCCCACTGTGCTTATCACCTGCGGGAAATCTCACATCTACTTCTGGACCTTGGAGGGGGGCAGCTTGAGCAAGCGGCAAGGCCTCTTTGAGGTGAGTGCCAGGGGTTTGGGGGACAGGCTGGCCCTGAGAGAGGTAGTTAGGGACAGGCAGGGAGGTAGCAAGATCCCCCAGAGGGTGGCAGGGGTTTGGGATTACAGGGACGCTGAGATGTTGCCTGCTGGGGCCTCAGTTTCTTTCTCCATACCATGGTGATGATCCACCTTAACTCTGGAGTTAAGAGGGTGACCGGGCACCATGAGGTGGAAGGATCACCTGAGCTCATGGCTGCAGTGAGCCGTGATCAAATGATCACTCCAGCCTGGGTGATAGAACGAGACCCTATCTCAGAAAAAAAAAAAAAAAAAAAAAAAAAAAGTTGTGAGGATTCAAAGGGATGAAGAGTACAGCAGTTCCTAGCAGATAGTAAATGGTCAATAAATGGGTACTGTGGCAAGGTGGCTCTCGCCTGTAATCCCAGCATTTTGGGAGGCTGAGGGGGGAGGATCCCTTGAGCCCAGGAGTTCGAGACCAGCCTGGGGAACATGGTGAGACCTCATATCTACAAAAAATACAAAAATTAGCTGGGCATGGTGGTGTGCACCTGTAATCCCAGTTACCTGGGAGGCTGAGGTGGGAGGATCCCTTGAGCCCAGAAGTTCGAGACCAGCCTGGGAAACATGGAGAGACCTCATATCTACAAAAAATACAAAAATTAGCCAGGCATGGTGGTGCGCACCTGTAATCCCAGCTACCTGGGAGGCTGACGTGGGAGGACCGCTTGAGCCCAGGAGGTTGACTGCAATGAGCCATGATGGTACCACTGCACTCCAGCCTGGGTGACAGAGTGAGATCCTGTCTCAAAAAAAACAAAAACAAAAACAAAAACAAAAACAGGGGTGCTGCGGTTGTCGATATGATGGATAATCAGAGAACTCAGAGGCTGCCTGGCTGAGAGAGCCACAAGTTGAGTGGGAAGCAGAGGGTGGGAAGACACAGGGCTTCCTCCCATAGGGCTCATTGCCTTTGGTGAGAGATGGGGCTTCCACCCCAAAAGGGAAGCCCAGAGAACACTGGGCACGGAGATGAAACAGAGACACTGAGAAGGTGGAGTGAGGCAGGGAATGGGACCTAGAGAGACAGACTGGAGGTGAGGAGGGAGGAGGAGAGACAGGATGAATGAGGCGCCGACAGGAGGGGAGAAGTCAGGGGGACCAGGCTGGGTGCGGTGGCTCACGCCTGTAATCCCAGCACTTTGGGAGGCCGAGGCGGGTGGATCACTTGAGGCCAGGAGTTCAGACCCGCCTGGCCAACATGGCAAAACCCCATCTCTACTAAAAAAATATGAAAATTAGCCAGGCGTGATGGTGGGCGCCTGTAATCCCAGCTACTTGGGAGGCTGCAGCGGGAGAATCGCTTGAACCCGGGAGGTGGAGGTTGCAGTGAGCCGAGATCACGCCACTGCACTCCAGCCTGGTGACAGAGCGAGACTCCGTCTGAAAAACAAAAACAAAAACAAAACAAAATTAGCCGGCCATGATGGCGCAGGCCTGTAATCCCAGCTGCTTGGGAGGCTGAGGCAGGAGAATCGTTTGAACCCGGGAGGGGGAGGTTGCTGTGAGCCGAGACATGCCACTGCACTCCGGTCTAGATGACAGGTGAGACTGTATCTCAAAAGAAAGAGTCAGGGGGACCAGAGAGAGGGCAGGAAGTGGGCCCAGGGGTAGGAAAGCAAGACAATTGTGGTCAGAACCTCTAGGCCACCGAAGCACTGCAGGCCGGATGGAGGCAGGTGGGAGAAGGGATGCTCCACGCAGAGCCTTACCCTAAACGCATAGATAGAGGGGATTGCCTGGCCACGGTCCTGGGTGACAGATGACCTCTGGGAGGCTACCTGCTTCAGTGACGCTCTGACACCTTCCTTTCCTCCCCCACCTTAGAAACATGAGAAACCGAAGTATGTGCTGTGTGTGACCTTTTTGGAAGGTGGCGACGTGGTCACGGGGGACTCTGGGGGGAACCTCTATGTTTGGGGCAAAGGTCAGTGTCACCCCATCTGTTTGGTTCCCAATCCAGTCTTCTGAAACACTCCTGGCTCTGCCTCCCTTCGTGGAATTCTGCTTGTGTGAAATGAGTGTAAATGGATGTCCGATTCCAACACCCTCGTCAAGGTTCAGCTCAAGTATCCCTATCTCCAGGAAATCTTTATTGACTCCCCCCTGCCTTGCCCTCTGGAAATCCCTTGTTAGGGATCAAGTCCAGATTATCAATGAATGGGTTAGCTCAGTTGTGTTTAGATGATGAATGGATGGATGGGTGGATGGAAGGAAGGACGGATGGGTAGATGAATGGATACATGGACAAGTGCTTTGTCCCAGCGTGTGGATCAATGAATAAGTGAATGAAGGAATGAATGAAGGTGTGATCCTAGGAAATGGATGGAAGAATAAGTAAATGAATGTGTCATCCTCCTTAAAGGGAGAGTGACTGGGTAAAGGAACAAATGAGTGGTTGTTACCACTAATGGCTAACTATGTTAGTGAATAGGTTTTGTCTCAGGCAGTGGATCTATACAGCAATGAATGAATGAGTGAATGAGTGAGTGAATGAATGAATGGTTGTTTCAGCCAACAGATTAATGTGTTATGAAGAACAGATTGTTCCAAGAAGTTAATCAGTGATTGGATGAATAAATGACTTGTCTTAGCCAATGGTTGGGTGAAGAAATACTTGCTCCAACCAATGGATGACTTTATTAACAAACTAATGGGTTGAGGCTGGGACAGTGGCTCATGCCTGTAATCCTAGCACTTTGAGGGGCTGAGGCAGGAGGACTGGTTGAGCCCAGGAGTTTGAGACCAGCCAGGGCAACATAGTGAGACCTCATCTTTACTTTTAAAAGTTTTTAGGCTGGGTGCGGTGGCTCACGCCTGTAATCCCAGCACTTTGGGAAGCCGAGGCAGGCAGATCACATGAGGTCAGGAGTTTAAGACCAGCCTGGCCAACATAGCAAAACCCCATCTCTACTAAAAATACAAAAATTAGCCTGGCATGGTGGCGAGCACCTGTAATCCCAGCTAGTCGGGAGGCTGAGGTGGGAGAATCACTTGAACCCTGGAGGTGGAGATTGCAGTGACCAGAGATGGCACCACTGCACTCCAGCCTAGGGGACAGAGCAAGACTCTGTCTCAAAAAAAAAAAAATTTTTTTTTAATAAAGAATTTTTTTTTAAGACAGGGTCTCACTCTAGCGCCCAGGCTGGAGTGCAGTGGTTGCCATCACAGCTCACTGCAACCTCTGCCTCCCAGTATCAAGTGATCCTCCTGCCTCCCAAGTACCTGGGACTACAGGTGCCCACCACCAGGCCCAGGTAATTTTTGTATTTGTTGTAGAGATGAGGTCTCGCTATGTTGCCCAGGCTGCCCTCGAACACTTGAGCTCAAGTGATCTCGGCTCACTGCAAGCTCTGCCTCCTGGGTTCACGCCATTCTCCTGCCTCAGCCTCCCAAGTAGCTGGGACTACAGGTGCCCGCCACCACACCCGGCTAATTTTTTGTATTTTTAGTAGAGACGGGGTTTCACCGTGTTAGCCAGGATGGTCTCCATCTCCTGACCTCGTGATCCGCCCACCTCGGCCTCCCAAAGTGCTGCGATTATCGGCATCAGCCACCGCACTCGGCCAGCCTGCGCTCTCTCTCTTTTTTTTTTTTTTGAGACGGAGTCTCGCTCTGTCGCCCATGCTGGGGTGCAGTGGCGCAATCTCAGCTCACTGCAAGTTCCACCTCCCAGGTTCACCATTCTCTTGCCTCAGCCTCCCAAGTAGCTGGGACTACAGGTGCCCATCACCACTCCCGGCTAATTTTTTGTATTTTTTTAGTAGAGATGGGGTTTCACCATGTTAGCCAGGATGGTCTCAATCTCCTGACCTCGTGATCCGCCCCCTTCGGCCTCCCAAAGTGCTGGGATTACAGGCATGAGCCACCGAACCCGGCCGCCTGCCCTCTCTTTTTAAAAAATTGTCTTTATTAGATTGGGTGCCATGGCTCACACCTGTAATCTTGGCACTTTGGGAGGCTGAAGCAGGCAGATCACTTGAGTCAAAGAGTTCGAGACCAGCCCGGCCAACATAGTGAAACCCTGTCTCTACTAAAAATACAAAAATTAGCCAGGTGTGGTGGCACATGCCTGTAATCCCAGCTACTCCAGAGGCTGAGACATGAGAATCGCTTAAACCCAGGAGGCAGAGGTTGCAGTGAGCCAAGATCATACCACTGCACTCCAGCCTGGTCGACAGAGCAAGACTTTGTCTCAAAAACAAAATAAAACAAAACAAAACAAAACAAAGCAAAACAAAACGAGAGAGGGCAAATGAATGGATGAGAGGTGGGTTGATGGATGGATGGCAGGGTGGCTGACTGGATGGATCAGTAGAGAGATGGGTGGATGAATGGCTAGGGTGATGGATGGATAGATAGTCTGGTGGATGGATGGGTGATGAATGGATGAGTCGATAGTGTTCATCTAACAGACCAGTAGATAAGTGAGTGGATGGATGGATGGGTGGGTGTATGGGTCAAAGGGTAGATGGGTGGATGGGTAGATGTTAGTGCAGATGGTTTAATGAATAGATGATAAGGTATTGTATTTGAGTGGGTAGGTGGCAGGTGCTTGGGTGGTTGGGTGGGTGGAAGAGCAGATAGAAAGGTCGAAAGGTGGGGCCGGGCATGGTGGCTCATGCCTGTAATCCCAGCACTTAGGGAGGCCAAGGCGGGTGGATCACTTGAGGTCAGGAGTTCGAGACCAGCCTGGCCAACATGGTGAAACCCATCTCTACGAGAAACAAAAAATTCGCCAGGCATGGTGGTGGGCGCCTGTAATCCCAGCTACTTGGGAGGCTGAGGTAGGAGAGTCACTTGAACCCAAGAGGCAGAGGCTGAAGTGGGCCGAGATAGCACCAGTGCACTCCAGCCTGGGCAACAGAGAGACTCCGTCTCAAAAAAAAAAAAAAGGTGGAAAAGTGGGTGAGAATGGATGGACATAGGCTTGAGAGTTCAAGATGCTTTCAGGGGTCAGCATAGGGGTGGCTTCTCCCTGTTGACCCTGCCCCTGGCCACCCTGCAGGTGGGAACCGTATCACACAGGCGGTGCTGGGCGCCCACGACGGCGGCGTGTTTGGGCTCTGCGCCCTGCGGGACGGGACGCTGGTGTCTGGAGGGGGCCGTGATCGGCGGGTGGTCCTCTGGGGTTCTGACTACAGCAAGCTGCAGGAAGTGGAGGTGAGGAGGGGCAGTGGGCTCAGATGGGGGTAGAGAGGCCCCCCCCGATCTCACCAGGGCTCCCAACGCCAGACCCTCCTCCCCACAGTATGTCACCCCACACCCACCCGTGTGCATCCTACTCATCTTCCCTCTTATCTGTCCACCCAGGTCCCTGAGGACTTTGGCCCTGTGCGCACCGTGGCAGAGGGCCACGGAGACACACTGTACGTGGGGACCACCCGCAATTCCATCCTGCAGGGCTCCGTGCACACAGGCTTCTCACTGCTGGTCCAGGTGCGCCTCTCTCCTCTGCACCCCTCCCCTCTTCCCAGCTCTTTCCCTGGCCTTCCCTGCATCATCCACTCCCCCTCCCCACTCCCAGTTCTCCTCACCTCCCTGCTCTGTCCCTTCTCTGACCTGGCCCTGACCCAGGACCCCTTCCCAGGATCCAGCAACCAAGAGTTTAACTCCAAGCACAGCAGAGGGGCCCCAGGCCCCTGCTCCAACTGTGCTGCCTCCTGCCACTCTGATTGGGGGTGGCACCCTTCAGGTTGGTGAGTGTCCCTACAGGTTGTCCCACAGCTGCAGACACCCTGGCCACACACCTCTCAGACTCCAGCTCCACGGATTGGGGAAGGTCCTGCTGGAGTCTGCTTGCATTTCTTCTCGAAGCTCAAACGCCTGCTCCTCCCTTCCTGGCCTCCTCCCTCCCTTCCTTACCCCTGACCCAATTAAAGAACTCACCTACCGGGAAGCACTATATTTATACTTTTTTTTTTTTTTTTTCATTTTTGAGACAGAGTCTCGCTCTGTTGCCCAGGCTGCAGCGCAGTGGCTCAATCTCGGCTCATTGCAAACTCTGCCTCCCGCTTCAAGTGATTCTCCTGCCTCAGCCTCCCGAGTAGCTGGAATTATAGGCATGTACCACTACACCCAGCTAATTTTTGTATTTTTAGTAGAAATGGGTTTTCACCATTTTGGTCAGGCTGGTCTCAAACTCCTGACCTCAAGTGATCCACCCACCTCAGCCTCCCAAAATGCGGGGATTACAGGCATGAACCACTGCACCCAGCCCATACTATTATATTGGCTATTATAATTATTAATCATAATATTAATATTACTTTGGGAGGCCGAGGCAGGCAGATCACTTGACATCAGGAGTCAAGACCAGCCTGGGCAACATGGTGAAACACCATCTGTACTAAAAATACAAAACATTAGCTGGGCATGGTGGCGTGTGCCTGTAATCCCAGTTACTCAAAAGGCTGAGGCAGGAGAATTGCTTGAACCTGGGAGGCAGAGGTTGCAGTGAGCTGAGATCCTACCACTGCACTCCAGCCTGGATGACAGAGTGAGATTCCGTCTAAAAAAAAAATTTGTTATAAATATTAATAGTTAGACATTTCCATTTTGTGACCACATTCTCTGAATTATCCTCATGTTTAGCATTTTATTTATTTATTATATCACCCAGCCTGGAATGCAGTGATGCCATTTCAGCTCACTGCAACCTCCGTCTCCTGGGCTCAAGGGATCCTCCTGCCTCAGCCTCCCAAGTAGCTGGGGCTACAAGTGTGCACCACCACAACTGGCAAATTTTTGTATTTTTTGTAGAGATGGGGTTTTGCCATGTTGCCCAGGCTGGTCTCGGACTCCTGAGCTCAATCTTCCTGCCTCAGCCTCCCAAAGTGTCGGGATTACCGGCGTGAGCCACCGCACCTGGCCAGCATTTTCCATCCATGATTTGAGTGAGCACAGGAATGCTATGAGGCATACATACCAATTGGCCCCATTTTACAGGCGATCAAACTGAGGTCCCAAGGAGATGTCACCTGCCTAGATGACTGCGCTCGGTCAGTAATAGAAAGCCGAAGGTCAGAGCCATCAGGTTTAGTGCCCTCCATGAGGTCCCTCAGACTTCTGGGCTCTGTCTGGATGCAGGCAGACTCCAGAAGCGCCTTCCCAGATCCTTGGAGCTGGAGACCTGGGAGGTGTGTGGCCAGGGTGCAGCCTGTCTGACCCCTGAGATCAAGCTCTGAGCCACCATGCCCTCCTGCCTCCCATTGTGCAAAGAAGAAAGCAGAGGTCCCTGGAGAAGGGGCAGGATTTGCCTTGAGTCACACACCAGGGCATGGGTTCAGATGCCCAATTGAGGCCCCCTTCAGACATACTGGGAAAGGTCTTCCCTGGGTCCCGCTGGGGCAGGGTGAGTTGCTGGGGCTCATCTAGCATTTGTCTGGCATTAGTGTTGAGTGGGAAAAGGCCAGGGCTGCTGTCTCCATCCTGCTGTCCTCCCTTTCCACCAGGGCCATGTGGAAGAGCTGTGGGGCCTGGCCACACACCCCAGTCGGGCCCAGTTTGTGACCTGCGGGCAGGATAAGCTGGTGCATCTATGGAGCTCAGATTCCCACCAGCCCCTGTGGAGCAGGATCATCGAGGTAAGGGGCCCGGGGACTGGAAAAGCACCATTCTAACAGAACTACCTTTCCCCCTGTGTCAGGGCTCAGCACATTAGACTGAAACCAAACAAGGTCTTTTTTTTTTTTTCTTCGAGGTGGAGTCTCGCTCTGTCACCCAGGCTGGAGGGCAATGGCACGATCTCGGCTCACTGCAACCTCCGCCTCCCGGGTTCAAGTGATTCTTCTGCCTCAGCCTCCCGAGTAGCTGGGATTACAGGTGCACACCACCATGTCCAGCTAATTTATGTATCTTTAATAGAGACAGGGTTTCACCATGTTGGTCAGGCTGGTCTCGAACTCCTGACCTCGTGATCCGCCCGCCTCGGCCTCTCAAAGTGCTGGGATTACAGATGCCAGCCACCAAGCCTGGCCCAAACAAGGTCTTTTTAAGCAGGGTGGGGGTTTCATCTAGGGAACTGGGTGCTTAGAAGCTCTCTCAGAAGGGTTGGAGGAGTAGGTTCTTGACTGGAAGGGAGCCCAGGACGACACCGAACCATCCTGTCAGGGGTGCCGCCATGAGGAGGGGGGAGTCAGGAGCCGCTGAGTTCAAGGAAGGTGTGACCGCTGCAACAGTCAAGTGTAGAGCTACACTGTCCCATAGGGTAACCACTGGCCACACATGGCTATTCACAATTAATTAAAATGTAAACAGAATAAAAATTTCAGCTGGGTGTGGTGGCTGACACCTGTAATCCCAGCACTTGGGAGGCTGAGGCAGGTAGATTGTGTGAATCCAGGAGTTTGAGACCAGCCTGGGCAACATGGCAAAACCCCATCTTTACAAAAAATGAAAAAAAAAAAACAAAAATTAGCCGGGCGTGGTGGTGGGCGCCTGTAATGTCAGCTACTTGGGAGGCTGAGCCAGGAGAATCGCTTGAACCCAGGAGGCGGAGGTTGTAGTGAGCTGAGACCGTGCCACTGCACTCCAGCCTGGGCAACAGAGTGAAACTCCATCTCAAAAAAATAAATAAAAATTTAAAAAATAAAAAACAAAAATAAAGTCTTAAAATTCTAGATGCCCTTTGTCCCAGCATTCCCACATCTAGGAAATTATCTAAAGAAGTCGTCTTGGATGAATAAAGCTGTGGGAATTTAGAAGAGGAGTAAGGAGGGATCCCGGGACAGGAGTGACAGGAGGAATGGTTTCTGTTCAGGTTAACATGCTACAGAAATGTAAAGAGGAATGGCTGCCATGGTGTCTGGGGTGGGGGTGTCCCAAAGGGCAGCAGAGGGAGGGGAGAGCCCTCATGCAAAGATTAGACTTGGCCCTGAGGCAAGAGAATGTCCAGATGGACATGGGACCCCAGCTCTGAGCCCTGCCTCTTCTCTCTCCCTTCTCAGGACCCTGCCCGCTCAGCCGGCTTCCACCCCAGTGGCTCTGTCCTGGCTGTGGGTACAGTGACTGGCAGGTAAAGCTGAGGAGAGCATTTCGGGAGGCCTTCTCTGCTCCCTGGGGAACTGGCCCTTCTTCCCTCTTTCCTACTTTCCCAAATCCCACTATTTACCGAGCCCTGATCCCTCAATATTCCTCTGGCTCACTGCAGCCTCTGCCTCCCAGGTTCAAGCGATTTGCCTGCCTCAGCCTCCCGAGTAGCTGGGATTACAGGCGCCCACCACTATGCCTGGCTAATTTTTTTTTATTTTTAGTAGAGACGGGGTTTCACCATGTTGGCCAGGCTGGTCTCGAACTCCTGACCTCAAGTGATTCACCTGCCTCAGCCTCTCAAAGTGCTAGGATTACAGGCGTGAGCCACCGCCACTGTACCTGGCCTTGTTTTGTTTTGTTTTTTGGGGGGACAGAGTCTTGCTCTGTCGCCCAGACTGGAGTCCGGTGGCGCGATCTCAGCTCACTGCAACCTCTGCCTCCCGGGTTCAAGCAATTCTCGTGCCTCAGCCTCCTAAGTAGCTGGGATTACAGGCACGTGCCACCACGCCTGGCTAATTTTTGTATTTTTAGTAGAGACGGGGTTTTGCTATGTTGACCAGGCTGATTTCGAACTCTTGACCTCAAGTGATCCACCCGCCTCGGCCTCCCAGCGTGCTGGGATTATAGGCCTGAGCCACCGTGCCCAGCCCAGGTCACTTCTGGGGTCCCTCTGATCCCTCCCTTAGACCCCACAGATTGCGGCCTCTCTCTGTCAGATCAGCTCACCCCTCCTCCCCCCACCACGCCCTCTCCTTCAAGATGGCTGCTGCTGGACACGGAGACCCATGACCTGGTGGCTATCCACACAGACGGCAATGAACAGATCTCAGTGGTCAGCTTCTCCCCAGGTAAGCGGCAGGCCTGGGACACCCAAGCGGCAGGGCCAGGGGACAGAGGCTCAGAGCTCTTGGCAGGGGGAGGGGTGGAGCCTGCGAAGCGAGGCCTAGGAGGGATGCAGTGGGGATGGAGCTGGGGACTGTTGAGGGGGCTGAGTCTGGGCGAGGAGGGGATGGAGCCTGGGTGCCTCCTCATAGCCCCCCTCCCCCTCCCCCAGACGGGGCGTACCTGGCCGTGGGCTCCCACGACAACTTGGTGTACGTGTACACGGTGGACCAGGGCGGCCGCAAGGTCAGCCGCCTGGGCAAGTGCTCGGTGAGTGGGCAGTGGCCCCCAGCCCGCGCCGCCACCCCGCCCAGGGGGTGCAAAATTAACCAATTTTCTACCTCAAGGGAGCGCAGCTTCAACACTCAACTGATTCTGCCCTGATCAGAGCAAGGAGTCTTGGCCACGTCCACACATTCACCACCTCGTGTGTTCTAAGCCCGCCCCTTTGTGTAGCCCCGCCCCCACGTGCTAAGCCCATCTGTGTAGCCCCGCCCCTCACGTTCCGAGACCGCCCCTCACGTTCCGAGACCGCCCCTCTGTGTAGCCCCGCCCCTCAACATTCAAAGCCAGCTCCTCCGTGTCTAGCCCTGCCCACCTGTTCTAAACTCCCATTGTGTTCTAAGTGCTTTTTGTCTAGCCCTGCCCATCACAGTCTGGCCCCGCCCACAGTATTCTGGCCCTGCCCCCATACTCCAAAGGCCTGTGTATCCTTCCTTTAGTCCCCTTGTGTTCTCGCCCTACCTCTGTATTTGACTTCCACTTTCCTGATTTAATCCTGTCCCCCTCTCCTTGGTTCCGCCCTCTGCAGCTCTAACACCATCCCTTCCCTCCCCCGCAGGGCCATTCCAGTTTTATCACCCACCTGGATTGGGCCCAGGACAGCAGCTGCTTTGTCACCAACTCCGGGGACTATGAGATTCTGTACTGTGAGTTCTCCGGGACCCAGAGACATTACTTCCTCCGTCTCATTTGCAGACTTCCCTGAGTTCTGGGAGGGGAGGGAGGGGCTTCAAGCCTCGCTCCCTTGGTATTCAAGGCTGGTTCTGATTTGGAATTTAGGGACCGCTGGCTTCTCATTTTCTCCCTGGTATACCCCACTTTTAGTCAACTCCTCCCCTTTCCGGTCGGATGGGTAGGATGCAGGTTTCTTTTTTTACATTTTTAAATTTTTAATTATTATTATTATTATTATTATTATTATTATTATTTTGAGACGGAGTCTTGCTCTGTCCCCCAGGCTGGAGTGCAGTGGCGCGATCTCGGCTCACTGCAAGCTCCGCCTCCCAGGTTCAAGTGATTCTTCTGCCTCAGCCTCCTGAGTAGCTGGGATTACAGGAGCACACCACCATGCCCGGCTAATATTTGTATTTGTATTTTTTTTTTTTTGAGATGGGAGTTTCCCTCTTGTCTCCTAGGCTGGAGTGCAATGGCACGATGTCGGCTCACTGCAGCCTCCGCCTCCCAGGTTCAAGCGATTCTCTTGCCTCAGGCTCCTGAGTAGCTGGGATTCCAGGTGTCCACCACCACGCCCAGCTAATTTTTAAAATATTGTTAGTAGAGACAGGGTTTCGCCATGTTGACCAGGTTGGTCTTAAACTCCTGACCTCAGGTGATCCGCCTGCCTTGGCTTCCCAAAATGCTGGGATTACAGGCATGAGCCACCACACCTGGTCTAATTTTTGTATTTTTAGTAGAGATGGGGTTTCACCATCTTGGCCAGGCTGGTCTCGAACTCCTGACCTCAGGTGATCCAGCCAGATGCTGTGGCTCATGCTGCCTCCTGGGATTACAGACGTGAGCCACCATGCCCGGCCAGATGCGGGTTTAAAAGTAGATGCTCCTGCTTACGCTGCGGGCTGTGAAGACCCCAGCATGTGATGCCTTCTCAGCCAGTCCTGACAGGTAGAATGAGCCCTGGGACCTTAGCCTCCTCTGTCTTGGACCTCAGCTCCGATTGTCTAAGAAAGGGATGGGTTTACTGGGTAGTTCTTCCAACTCTGAATGTCTCCTCCCATTTTCTGCCCCAGGGGACCCGGCTACCTGTAAGCAGATCACCAGTGCGGATGCTGTGAGGAACATGGAATGGGCCACAGCTACTTGTGTCCTAGGGTTTGGGGTGTTTGGTGAGTTCTGGAATGAGAGAGGTCTCACTGAGGACAGTAGTTCTGAGAGACATCCCCGCTGGTGGTTTCCAGAGTCTTACTGCTTACCTCCAGTGTGGGAAGCTCACTGCTTTACTGCATGTGGGCTGTATTTGTGTAAGAGGAAAGGGTAGGGTGAGATGACTCATTAGAGCTGTAATAAAATGAAACCAAATGGGCGTGGTAACTGGCCAGGAGAGATCCACACTGCCGGTGCCCTAGCCACCCATTCATTCAGGCACGAATGAAGCAAACACATATTCCCTGAGCAGTTCTGTGCCTGCCGTGGGCTTGGCAGTGACCATGACTGACGGCCCTGCTCTCCTGTGGCTCTCAGTCCAGTGGGGGAGGCAGACTTGTCCCCAGACAGTGATGACCCAGAGTGAGCAGGTCTGAGACAGGGAAACCCAGGGTGGGGCATCTGGCCTACTCTTGGAGGGAATCAGGGAGGGCTTCCTGGAGGAAGAGACATCTGAGCTAGGACCTGGAGGATGAGGAGTTACTTTCCAGGGCAGTGAAGAAGGAAAGCAGTCTCTTGGCAAAGGGAATAGTACATACAAAAGCCCACGCGTGACACAGAACTTGGCATTTGGAGAAATGCAGGGAGGCAGGGTGGCCAAATCATTACAGAGTTTAACAGGAGCACTGATGAGGGATGAGGCTGGAGCAGTGCATGGGGCCTGCTGAGCCTTAGAACCACAGGCTTTCTTCTAAGATCACCAGGGAGCCATGGAAGGGTTTTAAGCAGAGCAGGGGCAGGCTCGGATTCACATTTTAAGGTAATTCTGACTCATATCCTCGGATAGATACAGGCTAGGTCGGAACAAATTAAGGTGGCTGGAGTGGCAATCTGCTCCTCTTGGCGGTCCCTGGCTCCAGCTGACATCTTACCACTTCCCTTCATCTTGCCCACAGGGATCTGGTCTGAGGGGGCGGACGGCACTGATATCAACGCTGTGGCCCGCTCTCATGATGGGAAGTTGCTGGCTTCAGCTGATGACTTTGGCAAAGTTCACCTGTTTAGCTACCCCTGCTGTCAGCCTCGAGTGAGTCCCTTGGGGAGATGGGGATGGACGGGGGTAGCAAGCAGGGGTGGGGACAAAATTCAGGCAGCTCTGGTCCAACCCCACCCCTTCTCTGAGCCTCGGTTTCCCCATCTGTACAAGGAGGACAGTAGTCTTGATCCCAAGGGCCTTTCTTAACCCCAAGGTGGATGAATTTCAGTGTGTCATGGTGAAGACCTGGTTCTCTGAAGTTCTGAGCAACTGCAATTCTGAGCTCTTTGGTTCTTTTATCCTTGTTAACTCAGTAAATATTTATTGAGCACCTACTATGTACCTAGGCACAGGATATACAACCAGATCTTATGAGTTTTTAAGGGAGGCCAAGGCCAGTTGCAGTGGCTCACACCTGTAATCGCAACACTTTGCAAAGCTGAGGCAGGAGGATTGCTTGAGGCCAGGAGTTCAAGACCAGCCTGGGCAACAAAGTGAGACCCCATCTCTACAAAATACACACAAAATTAGCTGGGCATGGTTGTGCATGCCTGTAGTTCCAGCTACAAGGAAGTCTGAGGTGGGAGGATTGCTTGAGCCCAGGAGGTTGAGGCTGCAGTGAGCCATGATTGCACCACTGTACTCTAGCCTGGGCGACAGAGCAAGACTTTGTCTCAAAACAAAGACAAAAACAAAAAAAAAAGCTGGACGTTAATTTTACCATTCTCTGGTTCTAACAGAAGAGGGATTGTTTCAGCATTTTCCTAGGAAATTTTCATGCATAAAAGCAGAAAGACTAGTACAGTGACTCCTCCTGTACCTGTTACCCATGTTCAACTATTACCAGATTTGGTATATTTATTTCATTTGTTTCTTCTTTCTCCTTTCTCTTCTTTTTTTATTTTTTATTTTTGAGACAGGGTCTCACTCTGTTGCCCACGCTGGAGTGCAGTGGCATGGCACAATCTCGGCTCACTGCAGCCTTGACCTCCTGGACTCAAGCGGTCCGCCCACCTCAGCCTTCTGAGTAGCTGGGACTACAGGCGTGCACCACCACACCTGGCCAATTTTTGTATTTTTCATAGAGATAGGTTCTCTGTTGCCCAGGCTGGTCTTGATCTCCTGGGCTTGAGCAATCCTCTCCACCTTAGTTTCCCAAAGTGCTGGGATTACAAGGCATGAGCCACAGTACCTGTCCTGGTCTGTAGTTTTAAGAAACTGCATATGTGGCCGGGTGCGGTGGCTCAAGCCTGTAATCCCAGCATTTTGGGAGACCAAGGTGATGGATCACCTGAGGTCAGGAGTTTGAGACCAGCCTGACCAACATGGTGAAACCCTGACTCTACTAAAAATACAAAAGTTAGCAAGGCGTAGTGGCAGGCGCCTGTAATCCCAGCTACACAGGAGGCTGAGGCAGGAGAATTGCTTGAACCCAAGAAGTAGAGGTTGCAGTGAGCCAAGATCACGCCACTGCACTCCACTAAGCAACAATGCACTGAGCGATAGAGTGAGACTTTGTCTCAAAAAAAAAAAAGAATACAAAAATACAAAAATTAGCCAAGCCTGGTGGTGCACGCCTGTAATCCCAGCTACTGGGGAAGGTGAGGCGGGAGAATTGCCTGAACCCGGGAGGCAGAGGCTGTAGTGAGCGGAGATCGTGCCACTTTACTCCAGCCTGAGCGACAGCAAGGCTCCGTCATAAAACAAAAACAAAAACAAAAAAACCCACACACACGAAAACGCATAGGTTATCTTTTAGCCCTCTAAATTGAGCATTCATGCCTAAAAAAATAAGGATAATTCTGGCCAGGCCCGGTGGCTCACGCCTGTAATCCCAGCACTTTGGGAGGCCGAGGCAGGCGGATCACCTGAGGTCAACAGTTCGAGACTAGCCTGGCCAACATGGTGAAACCCCGTCTTTACTAAAAATGCAAAAAAATTAGTCATGGGTGGTGGCGGGCACCTGTGATCCCAACTACTCAGGAGGCTGAGGCAGGAGGATCACTTGAACTTGGGAGGCGGAGGTTGCAGTGAGTTGAGATTGCACCACTGCACTCCAGCCTGGGCAAAAGAGCGAGATTCTGTCTCAAAAGAAGAAGAAGAAGAAGAAGAATTGTTACATATCCACAAGCCTCTGACCACTCCTAATTAACATTAATTTCTTCTTCTTTTTTTTTTTTGAGACAGAGTTTCACTCTTGTTGCCCAGGCTGCAGTGCAATGGCGCGATCTTGGCTCACTGCAACCTCCGCCTCCTGGGTTCAAGCGATTCTCCTGACTCAGCCTCCTGAGTAGCTGGGATTACAGGCATGCACCACCATGCCCGGCTAATTTTGTATTTTTCAAATAGAGACAGGGTTTCTCCATATTGGTCAGGCTGGTCTTGAACCCCCAACCTCAGGCGATCTGCCTGCCTCGGCCTCCCAAAGTGCTGGGATTATAGGCGTGAGCCACCACGCCCAGCAACATTAATTTCTTACATGCCTCATCCCTAGGAAGGCAAAAACAAAACGTTAATTCCTAAATATGATCTCATAGCCAGTACATATTCATATTTCCCTGATGTGCCCCAGACTGGCCTTCTATGGTTGGTTTGTTTGAACCAGGGTCCAAACTACATTTGCTTATGTCTCAAATCCCAGCATGTAGAATAGCCTTCCCCACGTGCATGCTATTTCTTCTATTTATGCCATTAACTTGCTGAATAAACCAATTCAGTTGCCCTGCTGGGTTTTTTGTTTGTTTTTGTTTTTTTGACAGAGTCTCCCTCTATCGCCCGGGCTGGAGTGCAGTGGCACGATCTCGGCTCACTGCAACCTCCGCTGCCTGGGTTCAAGTGATTCTCATGCCTCAGCCTCCCAAATAGCTGGGACTACAGGCGTGTGCCACCACGCCCGGCTAATTTTTTTGTATTTTTAGTAGAGACAGGGTTTTACCACGTTGGCCAGGCTGGTATCGAACTCCTGACCTCAAGTGATCTCCCCAACTTGGCCTCCCAAAGTGCTGGGATTATAAGCATGAGCCACCACGCCAGGCCTAATTTTGTATTTTTAGTAGAGACGGGGTTTCACCACGTTGGCCAGGCTAGTCTTGAACTCCTGACCTCAAGTGATCCACCCCCACCTCGGCCTCCCAAAGTGCTGGGATTACAGGCGTGAGCCACCATGCCCAGCTGTTCTGTTGGTTCTTTTTTGTTTGAGACAGAGTCTCACTCTGTCACCAGGCTGGAGTGCAGTGGCACAATCTTGGCTCACTGCAACCTCCGACTCCCTGGTTCAAGTGATTCTCCTGCCTCAGCCTCCGAAGTAGCTCGGATTACGGGCATGCGCCACCACACCCAGCTAATTTTTATATTTTTAGTAGAGAACGGGGTTTCACCATATTGGCCAGGATGGTCTTGATCTCCTGACCTTGTGATCCGCCTGCCTCGGCCTCCCAAAGTGCTGGGATTACAGGCGTGAGCCACCACGCCTGGCCTCTGTTGGTTCTTAAACAAAGGGCTTATTAGCCCTGGTAACACTGGGACACCCCATTGCTATAAAAGGAAAAAGAATTAGCCAGGTGTGGGGGCGCATATCTGTGATCCCAGCTACTTCTTGGGAGACTGAGGTGGGAGGATCCCTTCAGCCCAGGAGGTCAAGGCTGCATTGAAGCTGTGCTCATACCTAAGTGACTTCACTCTAAGTGATTAAAAAAAAAAAAAAAGAGGAAGAGCAGAAAAGAACCGGGTCAAGACAAGAGGACCATGATGGGGTGGCATTGTCCCCACTGACATTTCTTCACTTACTTCTTTCCTTGTAACAGGCCCTCAGCCACAAGTACGGTGGACACAGCAGCCATGTGACAAATGTGGCCTTCTTGTGGGATGACAGCATGGCCCTGACCACAGGGGGCAAGGACACCAGTGTGCTACAGTGGCGGGTGGTCTGATGCGGCCAGGGAAGAGTCAGGTGTCAGGGCAGGAATTCTATTTTCGGGAGATGTCTATTGCCGAGTAGAGTAATATATACCCAGAGTATGTCTATAGCAGAGGGGGTTATGGGGGCGGGAGGGTAGACTGACATACAGAAGTCTCTATTTATCCGGGTGGGAAGAGGGAGTCACATCGCTTTGGGGATCCATTGGTGTTTGGTTTGGGGTGTTTTTTAAGTTTTTTCTTTTATATCATCCAGAAATAAAGACACGTACACTAAGGTGTGTCAGGGTCTATGTATTTGTACGGTATGTGCCTACACAGTTGTGTATGTGTATGGATGTGTGTGTGTATTAGTGTATTAGCCCGTTTTCATGCTGCTGATAAAGACATACCTGAGACTGGGCAATTTACAAAAAAAAAAGAGGTCTATTGGACTTATGGTTCCATGTGGCTGGGGAGGCCTCACAATCATGGTGGACGATGAAAGGCACATCTTACATGGTGGCAGACAAGAGAAGAGAGCTTGTGCAGAGAAACGCCACTTTTGAAAACCATCAGATCTTGTGAGACTCATTCGCTATCAAGAACAGCATGGGAAAGACCTGCCCCGTGATTTAATTACCTCCCACCAGTTCCCTCCCACAACGCCTGGGAATTCAAGATGAGATTTGGGTGGGGACCCAGCCAAACCAGATCAGTGTGTCACAGTGCTTATGATGAGGGACCATTGTTACTTAGGTCTTCATTGGATGCAAGCAACAGAAACCATCTTGCTCTAACTTAGATTAAAATAAAACTTTCTGGCTGGGTGCGGTGGCTCACATCTGTAATCCTAGCACTCTGGGAAGCCGATGCAGGTTGATCACCTGAAGTTAGGAGTTCAAGACCAGCCTGGCCAACATGGTGAAACCCTGTCCCTACTAAAAAATACAAAAAAAATTATCCGGGTGTGGTGGCGGGCACCTGTAATCCCAGCTACTCAGGAGGCTGAGGCAGGAGAATGGCTTGAACCTGGGAGGCAGAGGTTGCAGTGAGCCGAGATCATACCACTGCACTCCAGTCTGGGTGACAGAGTGAGACTCTGTCTCAAAAAAATTAAAATAAAATTTTTTTTTTATTTGAGATGGTGTCTCGCTCTGTCGCCCAGGCTGGGTGCAGTGCCATGATCTTGGTTCACTGCCACCTCTGCCTCCCGGGTTTAAGCGATTCTCCTGCCTCAGCCTCCTGAGTAGCTGGGAATGCAGGTGCATGCCACAACACCTGGCTACTTTTTGCATTTTTTTTTCTTTTTTCTTTTTTAGACGGAGTCTCACTCTGTCGCCCAGGCTGGAGTGCACTGGTGCGATCTCGGCTCACTGAAAGGTCCGCCTCCTGGGTTCATGCCATTCTCCTGCCTCAGCCTCTCGAGTAGCTCAGACTACAGGCACCTGCCACCATGCCCGGCTAATTTTTTTGGTATTTTTAGATGGGGTTTCACTGTGTTAGGTAGAATGGTCTCAGTCTCCTGACCTCGTGATCCGCCCGCCTCAGCCTCCCAAAGTGTTGGGATTACAAGCATGACCCACTGCGCCCAGCCTGTATTTTTTAATAAAGAGTTTCGCCATGTTGGCCAGGTTGGTCTCGAACTCCTGACCTCAGGTGATCTGCCTGCCTCAGCCTCCCAGAGTGCTGGGAATACAGGCATGAGCCACCACACCGGGGCTGATCCTTCACTTTTTTAAAAGCCAGCACCCTCTACAGTCACATTGTCTTAGGTGCCAGCCATTTGAACCCTCCCTTTCTGAACTTGTCCACGGGCGAACTCCTCATCAGCCAGCAGTGACCAGACCTATGCTGGAGATAGGAGACCAGTGAGACCCAAGCCATCACCACCCTTAGGGCAGAAGGGACAGGGAGGGAATTTGTTACCCGTCTCCAGGGACAGGCAGAGTTCCCAGAGGAGCTGTGGTTCAGAGGAGGGGGCCACAGCCACTGTGGGACTAAGGGAAGCAGAAAGGGGCCCAGGAAGTGAGTGTACCCTGACTCTCTCCACCGACCCTGTGGATGGAGTTTGCACTAGGCCTATCCTATCACCCTTAGGTCTAGAAGACAGTTTTCTGCCGCTCTTGGGTCAAAGCCTCCTCTCCTCCTCCCCTCACTCCCCACCTTTTGTCCCTTCCCCATTGCCCAGGTTCTGGGAAAGTGGCCCAGCGCTGCGGAAGCGGCCCTTTCATCGGGCATCCGGGTGCTCTTTCGACCCCTCGTGGCCAGTCTTGGACCTGCATGGAAAAATGTGCCAAGAAAGTTCTGCTGGAAAAGTGCTGGTGATTCTCCACGTGACCCTCCTCCGCGCCCCCAGGGTCACTCTCAGCCTTCCTTCCCCAGCTCGGGGCCCTGGGAGACCGCCGTGTGCAAATTCTATCGGCAGGGTCGGTGGAGAGAGGTCAGGGTATTTGCTTCCTGGGCCCCTCCCTGCATCCCGCACTCACAGTGGCTGTGGTTCCCCTCCTCTGAGCCGCAGTTCCTCTGGGAACTCGAGCTGTCCCTGGAGACGGGTAACAGACTCCCTCCCTGTCCCTTCTGCCCTAGGCTGGCGATGGCTTCGTGCCCACTTCGGATGGTCCCCTGGGGCCGCCCCATCCTTTGTGGCTTTCTCCACTCTGCCCATCCCTCTATAAACTGCCCATAAATGCTCCCAGTTAAACTCGGAGTGGCCACTTGCTTCCCTCCAGGACCCTGATCGAGTCTCAGCATAAATTTAGGATGAGCCAGAGAGAGAAGGGGACTCTAAGCCCACCAATGAGCATTCAGAATTTATCTTTTTATTATTATTAGTTTTTGAGTCAGTCTCACTGTGTTGCCCAGGCTGGAGTGCAGTGGCACAATCCCAGCTCACTGCAACCTCTGCCTGCCAGGCTCAAGCGATTCTCATGTCTTAGCCTCTCGAGTAGCTAGGGCTGCAGGTGTGCGCTACCATGCCCAGCTAATTTTTGTATTTTTAGTAGAGATGGGGTTTTGCCATGTTGGCCAGGCTGGTCTTGAACTCCTGGCCTCAAGCAATCCACCTGCCTCGGCCTCCCAAAGGGCTGGGATTACAGGCGTGAGCCACTGTGCCCGGCCTGAAGGAAAAAAACATTTATTCCTGGCCTGGCGTGGTGGCTCACGCCTGTAATCCCAGCCCTTTGGGAGGCCGAGGAGAGCGGATTACGAGGTCAGGAGATCTAGAACACAGTGAAACCCTGTCTCTACTAAAAAATACAAAAAATTAGCTGGGCGCGGTGGCGGGCGCCTGTAGTCCCAGCTACTCGGGAGGCTGAGGCAGGAGAATGGCGTGAACCTGGGAGGCGGAGCTTGCAGTGAGCCAAGATCGCACCATTGCACTCCAGCCAGGGCGACAGAGCGAGACTCTGTCTCAAAAAAAAAAAAAAAAAAAAAAAAAAACATTTATTCCTATGAGTGTTGTTGGTCTCTTGAGTCTTCGTTAACCTGCTCACTTTGGCTGGGTTTGGTGGCTCTGGTAATCTCAGTGCTTTGGGAGGCTGAGGCGGGAGGATTGCTTGAGCCCCAGAGGTAGAGGCTGCAGTGAGTTATGATGGAGCCACTGTACTCCAGCCTGGACAAAAGAGTGAGACCCCATCTCTTAAAAGAAAAATCCCTGAGAGGAAGGGGGTAATGTGGTTCACAGAGGTAAAGTCACCTGTCCAAAGCCACACAAGATTATAAGAATAGCTATGTTTTTGTTTGTTTTATTAATTAATTAATTTATTTATTTTTGAGACAGAGTTTCGCTCTTGTTGCCCAGACTAGAGTGCAATGGCACGATCTTGGGTCACTGCAACCTCCACCTCCTGGGTTCAAGTGATTCTTCTGCCTCAGCCTCCCGAGTAGCTGTGTTTACAGGCATGTGTCACCACGCCCGGCTAATTTTGTATTTTTAGTAGAGACAGGGTTTCTTCATGTTGGTCAGGCTAGTCTTGAACTCTTGACCTCAGGTGATCCGCCTGCCTTGGCCTCCCAAAGTGTTGGGATTACAGGCATGATCCAGTGCACCTGCACTATTTATTTATTTTTTGAGATGGAGTCTTGCTCTGTCGCCCAGGCTAGAGTGCAATGGCGCAATCTCGGCTCACTGCAACCTCCACCTCCTGGGTTCAAGCAATTATCCTGCCTCAGCCTTCCGAGTAGCTGGGATTACAGACATCCACCATCACACCCAACTAATTTTTGTATTTTTAGTAGAGACGGGATTTCGCCATGTTGGCCAGTCTGGTCTTGAACTCCTCACCTCAAGTGATCTGCCCACCTCAGCCTCCCAAAGTGCTGGGATTACAGGTGTGAGACACCGCACCTGGCCGATATCCTGAGTCTTGATTTGGGTGTTTAATTACATGGTGTATCCAATTTTCAGGATTCCTTATATTCTTCCCTTAAGATCTGAACATTTTAATCAAATTTTTTGAGACTAATTGTTAATTAAATGTAATTTTTAATTACATTTATTTTTTAATCACGGCTAATTTTTATTTTTTATTTTTTTTTGTAGAGATGGGGGTCTCACTTTTTTGTCCAGGCTGGTCTCAAACTCCTGGGCTCGAGTGATCCTCCCGCCTCAGCCTCCCAAAGTGCTGGGATTACAGGCATGAGCCACAGAGCTTAGGTGCCCTTTCTTCCCCCTCTGTTTCCCAGGCTGTAGTGCAGTGGTGCGATCTTGGCGCACTGCAACCTCCGCCTCCTGGGTTCAGGTGATCCTCCCACCTTGGCCTGCGCAGTAGCTGGGACCACAGGCACGCACCACCCAGCTGGCTAGTTAAAAGAAATTTTTTTTTTGTAGAGACAGAGTCTTGCTATGTTGCCCAGGTTGATCTCAAACTCCTGGCTTCAATTGATCAACCTGCCTTGGCCTCCTAAAGTGATGGGATTACAGGCATGAACCACCATGCCTGGCCTACATTTTAATTTAATTTAAAAATAAACACAAAAGAGCTGGGCGCGATGGCTGATGCCTATAATCCCAGCACTTTGGGAGACCTAGGCAGGCTGATCACCTGAGGTCAGGAGTTCGAGACCAGCCTGGCCAACATGGTGAAAACCTGTCTCTACTAAAAACACAAAAAGTAGCCGGGTGTGGTGGTGTTCACCTGTAGTCCCAGCTACTCGGGAGGCTGAGGCAGGATAATCACTTGAACCTGGGAGGTGGAGGTTGCAGTTAACTGAGATGGCACAATGGCACTCCAGCCTGGGGGACAGAGCAAGACTCTGTCTCAAAAAAACAAAAAACAAGCCAGGTGCCGTGGCTCATGCCTGTAATCCCAGCACTTTGGGAGGCCGTGGCAGGCAGATGACCTGAGGTCAGGAGTTCGAGACCAGCCTGGCCAACATGGTGAAACCCTGTCTCTACTAAAAACAAAAAAATTAGCTGGGTGTGGTGGTGCATGCCTGTATACCCAGCTACCAGAGGCTGAGACAGGAGAATTGCTTGTACCCGGCAGGAGGAGGTTGTATTGAGCTGAGATCATGTCCCTGCACTCCAGCCTGGGCACAGCAAGACTCTGTCTCAAAAAAAAAAAAAAAAATCAAACCTGACAGCTATCATTTTTTAGTGTTATATGCCACATCTATCTGAAGTCCCTTGACCAATAATGAATTCTCATGATTAGTTTATGAAAGATGTGATGTTAATAATAAAAATAAGCTAATGTTTTAGGAGCACTTATCATTCATTTGTTCACTCCCTGAAAACAATGTTTTTTGTTTTTTGTTTTGAGATGGAGTCTTGCTCTGTCACCCAGGCTGGAGTGCAGTGGCGCGGTCTTGGCTCACTGCAAGCTCCGCCTCCCGGGTTCATGCCGTTCTCCTGCCTCAGCCTCCTGATTAGCTGGGACAACAGGCGCCCACCATCACATCTGGCTAATTTTTTTGTATTTTTAGTAGAGATGGGGTTTCACTGTGTTAGCCAGGATGGTCTCCATCTCCTGACCTCGTGATCCGCCTGCCTCAGCCTCCCAAAGTGCTGGGATTACAGGCGTGAGCCACCACGCTCGGCCAGAAAACAATGTGTTTCACACCTATCACCTGCCCAGCAGTCTTCTAGGCAACAGACATGCAACAGTAAACAAGCCAGACACAAAAATGACACTCTTCCTAGTAGGAAGGCAGACAACTAGAAAAAAATAAGAGAATGTTGCCTTCCCCAAAGGGTAGGGGAAAAGTGAGGCAGAGAAAGATGGGGAGTGTTGGGGTCTGGTTGGCATATTTTACAGACTTGATAGCATTGACACCATTAAATGAGACCGCCAGGAGAAAAGGACCATGATGGCCGGCCTCGGTGGCTCAGGCTTATAATCCCAGCACTTTGGGAGGCCAAAGCAGAAGGATGGCTTGAGCCCAGGAGTTTGAGACCAGCCTAGACAACATAGTGAGACCCCTGTCTATAGAAAAAAAAAATTTTTTAAATTGGCCAGGTGTGGTGGCACACGCCTGTAGTCCCAGCAACTCAGGAGGCTGAGGTGGGAGGATCACTTGAGCCTGGAAGGTTGAGGCCGCAGGGAGCCATGATCGTGCCACTGAACTCCAGACTGGGCAAGAGAGTGAAAACCTGTCTCAAAAAAAGAAAAAAGGTGGGGCACGGTGGCTCACGCCTGTAATCCCAACACTTTTTGGAGGCCGAGGTGGGCAGATAGCTGGAGCTTAGGAGTTCGAGACCAGCCTGGCCAACTTGGTGAAACCCCGTCTCTATTAAAAATACAAAAATTAGCCGGGCGTGGTGGTGTGTGCCTGTAATCCCAGCTACTCGGGAGGCTGAGGCAGGAGAATCGCTTGAACCTGGAAGGCAGAGATTGCAGTGAGCCAAGATTGTGCCACTGCACTCCAGTCTGGGCAACAGAGCATGACTCTGTCTCGAAAGAAAAGAAAGAAAAAAGCAAAGCAAAGCAAAGCAAAGAAAAGAAGGAAGCAAGCAGGCACCATGAGTGACCACCTTGATTCAAAGAGGAAACTGAGGCACGGAGATGTCACTAGCCTAAGGTCTGACCAAGAGTCAGGCTGGAAATGCAACCCCAGAGCTCCTTCTAGGGGTGGCCCTGACTTTGGAGTTGGGGACCTAACAGAACCCTTTATTCTCTCCGTTGTTGGGGAGGAAGATGCAGAAGGTTAATGACCAGAGGATGAATGACTGAAGCCTGGGGTCTCTAAGGGAGGAAATGGCTTAACCCAGGGAAGGTCAGTAGCGGGGGCCTCCTCTTCCCATAGCCGAGGACCTGATAAATTTGGGGGTGTGTGGTTGGAGAGAGGGGACCTTCCAGCTGGGGACTTGGAAGGATTCGGGGGTGTTCCAGTAGCAGATGAGCCTCACCCGTGGCTGGAGGCGTTTAATGGGGTGAAGCCTGAAAGGGGTTAAGGGGCAGCGGCAAAGGTGGGGTTAATGGGGGCGGGCCTGGCCGGGGCGGGGCCTCGGCTGGCGGCTCTGGCCCGGGGGCCGGGAGGAGTAGCCGCTGTTCTGCCCCGCGGGGGCATCCGCTGGGTCCCCGCGCCGTTGTCAAGACCGGGGACCTGGACGCAGCGGAGAGAGGTGCCGCCGCCCGCCCCGTCCAGTCGCCGCGCGCAGGTAAGTGCCGGGTCCTCCCCGGCTGCCCGCGATGCTGCGGGGTCTCACTAGGTTGCCCTGCTCGTGGCGAGACCGCTCCTCCCCGCCCCCTCGGGGGCTGCCTCAGTCTCCCGCGCCGTCTCGGTGCCCGCCCCCTCTGTTGCTCTCCCTGGCTTTGCGTCTGTCTCCAACTCCCGCCTGATGTCTCTGTGTCTGTGGTCCCTCTGCCTCTGGACGTGTCTTTCCTTCTGTGTCTCTGGATGTCTCTGTCTTTTTCTTGATCTCTGCCTCTCTGTCTCCGTCTGTCTGTCTCTGTCTCTCTGTTTCTGGGTCCCACCTCCCTCTGCCCCTGCCTCTGCCTCACCCCCGTCTGTTGTGGGACCTCTGCGGATGTCTCTGACTCTATCTCCATCTCTCCCTGTCTCTGTGTATCTCTTTGCTCTCTCCCTTCCTGTCTCTTCATCTCTATTGCCCTGTCTCTTTCTCTCCGTCTCTTATAACACTGTTTTGGCACCTTCAGCTCTGTCTTCTCTCCTTCCAAATCCTCCGCATCCCGGAACTTTCCTCTGGGCTGGGAACCTGCTTGGGAGTGGGGTAGGGGGCAGGAGGCTTGTGACCTGGGGCAGGCGGACTCTAAGTGACACCATGATCCCAGCGCCCCCTTCACGGAGCCACCCCACTGCCCCTCAGGTCGCACCCAGCCCGCCCGCCAATTTCAGGAATTCCTGCCTGGGGGGTGGACTTCCTCCCCTACTTCCTCTCTTCCAGGATTTGGCTGGGTCACCATTAACTCTTTCCTGCTTCCGCCTCACTCTCCCCCCTGGAACTGGACAACCCCTCCTCCCAAACTAGGCTGAGGAATAGCTCTAGGATATCTGTGAGGCATCGGTTGTGGGATGTGTGTGTGTGCGTACTCAGGCTGGATATGCATTGGGGAATTTGTTTGGCGCAGAAGTGGAGAGGATGGGGCCACACCCCCCAGTTCCCCCTCCAGAGCCCACCATCAGCCCCCCTCCTCCTGAGCCCACCAAGGGGGTATCCGCCCCCACCTCTGTCTTTGTAGATGAACTTGACTTCAGGTTTGGGGTGAGGATGAGGAGGTTTTCTTTTCTGGGGGAATCCCAGCTGAAGAGGATGAAAGACCCATAGGGGCTCCTGGAACCCTGGGAATCCTATGATCAAGTACCTTGAATGTGAACATCTTTGAATGGAAGGGCCCAGATGGAAGAAGCATTGGAGGGGAGGCCTGGGAATTCCAGATCTTTCCAATCAAAGGTCCTGGGGATACTGGAGTCCTTCAATCCAAAAAGAGGAGTGTTGAAATCTTGGCACGTTTCAGTGATGGCAGCTGAGAGCTGGAAAGGGTTTGCGGAGCCACCTAGGCCAACTCCCCCTGCCCCCATTTTATAGATGGAGAAACTGAGGTCCAAAAGCAGAAGTCCCCACAGTGAGTCAGTGCCAGGCTGGAGGGTTGGGACCCCAGTTTTCAACTGAAGCCCAAATCCACAGAGCTGGCTTCTTCTGCTACCACTAAGTCGGATTAATTTGGGGAAAGAGGTCTTCTCAATGAGGAGGGAGAGATGCCAGGGTGAGTAGAAATGGCTGGAATCCAGAAGGGAGGGTTTTAGAAGCAGAGGAGAGAAAATATTTCCAAAACCATGGTGGTGGGGAGGGAGAGGGGCAATAGTTGGTTTGGGTGGAAGGGGTGGAGTTTCGGGAAGAGAGGGAGGGAGGTGGAGGGGAACCGGGATTAACTCCAGCTTCAGTCTCCTGACCCTCCGCCTGGAGCCCACCGTTCCCTCGGGGACAGGGCCTATAATTTGGTTTGTGTCTAGACAAATAATAACTCAGCTGGTGTGAGCGGGGAGGGCTGAGGCTAGGCCCACTAGCGAAAGGGTAGAGAGGCGGCCTGGATATAGCATGTCACCCCCAGGTGGTGAGAATTTAGGGGCCAGGTGGAGGTGGTGACTAACACGCCCCTCTCTTCCCTCCATGAAGCCATAATTTCTTAGAATTCTGCACAATCTTAGAAATCAGGCTGCTGGAATGTTCAAAAGCAGGCGAGAGAAGGGGGGAAAGAAAAGGAAGTGGGGCTCACCGTATTTAGTGTATGTTCCCATTTCTGTAAAAGAGAAAAGGGAAATACATATTCCTGTTTGCTGGGGAAAGATAAAAATCACTGAGCGTTTAATAATAGATTATGAAAGTCATAGAATGCTTAAAAAAATCATAGCGTGTTCTAACAATAGAACTTTCGAATCTTGGAATGTGACACTCCTAGAATATTGGAAACTTAGGGTAGGTACTTACAAAGCCACGATGTAATAAATAGAATGAAAGAAGAGTAACGCTCTAGAATGTTATAATAGAACATTCAACTGCGAAGTGAACTAAGGATAGAACCTGAAGACTGCAGAACCATAGAGACCTAGAACGTCAGAGAGGCCATCTAAGGACTGGTATCCCTAGTAGGCAGTGTGGGCTTTGGGGGCACAGAGACCCTCTCGGTTGAAACAGGGATACTGAGGTGCAGTGGGGCCGTTAGGGTAGCCCGATTGCCCCCTGGTTTCCGCCGGCCGCCAGGGCACCAGGTGGGGAGCGAGGACCAGTGATCACATTTCGTCCCTAATGAGCAGACCGGAGCTGGCTGGTCCCTTGGGGCTGCAGGGAGAAGGCGGGGAGGGGGGGGTGGTGGGAGCAGGAGCCCACAGAGGAGGAAAAGGGGGAGGTGAGATAGCCTGGTGGCATCGGGGACAAGGCTGGTGAGTGAGCCCAGGGGTGCTGGGGGATGCGGGGGGCTGTAGCACTTCTCCCTCTTGTCCTCAAAATCCTCCAAGTTTTTCAGCTTTGCTGGATTTTGGGGTGGCTGGCAGGATGCGGCAGCCGAGGCTGCTAAAGTTGGGGGGGCCAGGTCTTCCTAGTCTTTCCTGTCCCCCCACCATCTCTCCATCCTTGGGTATATTTCTCTTCCCCCCGACTCTCTGGAAGGGGCCAGCAGGGACCCAAGAAGTGGGGGCCTGTGGGACAGACAGGGGGAGCTTCTTGTGGATGTGAGATTTGGGGGTTTACCCCCTCAACAGAGCCTAAGGGGCAGAACTTAGATCCCAACCAGAGAGGGTCCTGGAAGGGGAACGGGGTTATGGGGATCAGGTGATGGAAGGTCGCTTGCTTTCTTTGTGGGGAGAAGGTCGTATCTTCTAGTAGGTTCTCAGAGGGGCCAGAGACGCTCAGAAAGACTTGAGAAAAATTACAGAAGTTCAGAGAGTGAAGAGAAAAACCTCAGGGGAAGGGAAGCTGTTTAGTTAACAGCGACAGGAGGTTTGCCCAGTCTTGAGACATCAAGTGACTTAGACAACTGCCTTGCTGCTGCGGGCCTCGGTTTCCCCATCTGTACCAGGAAGGGGTCAGAAATAGCCTCACACTCCCAGCTGCCACACATACGTCGGCTGCACTGTGGCGTTCTAAGAGTCTGACGTTCCATGCTGACTTTTGGGGTTTCCACGTTGGGCAGATCTCACGTGGGGAAGAAGAGAGGGCTGTCTGGGCACCCCTCCCCCCCATGTCCAGCATCCGCAAGATGCCAGCAGGTTGGGGAGGAGGGGTGGGAGGGAGGAGGGGTGAGAGCTGGACCGGTTCCCCCTTGAGGAAATTAGCAATGGGAAGTGTATTTCCTCCTCTGGCTGCCGGAAGTGTCTCCTGCCCGGGTACCCGAGTTAGGTCAGCAGAGCCCTGGGGGTCGATAGAAAGTGGGGCAAAGGGGACTTCTAGCCCTCGGTGGGTGTCTCCTGCCATGAAGAACCGGTTTATTTCTTGTCTCAGCCCCCTAGTCCCCGTGGAATAATAATAATCGTTCAAATACTGCATGTTACGGAGCTGATATCGCATTCTAGCAAGGACGTTCCGGTCTGTGATGTGATGACTATAAAGCCTGTGCCCCCTTTTACAGAAGGGAGAAACTGAGGCTCCTGGAGACCTAATTCTCTAAATGTCACAGGAGGAAGGGAGAGACTAGGGGCAGAGAGATGGGGAGAGAGAGGGCAGAGGAGAGGGGAGGGAGGTTATTTTGAGTGACTTGGTCTGGGTGGGAGGTTTCAAGTGGAAGGGAGGGACTGGATCACACTGTTCCAGCCTGGAGTACGCCCCCACCCATCCCATCTCCACAGGACCCACAAGCTTCTGCCCAAGAGTCTGGGGTGGGGGAGGCAGCTCTGCCGCTGAGGACCCCACAGGGGGCAGGACTTACTGAGCACGACTCAGCCCTGACCTTTCAAAGTCAATTAAGAAGCGGATAGATCTTGCCCTTTCCAGCTCTCCCCTGACCACCTCTTCCCCTGGGAATGGACTCCTCTCCCTCCCTTCCCCCTCCTCCCCATGCCCTTGTTTGAGCCTGGGGTGGGGTGGGGCAGCCTCATGGGCAGAGAGTATGTTTTTACTCCATGCCTCTGGCCTCTGCAAAGCTTCTGGAATGGTTTTTGCCATTGGCAAATGGCTCTGTGCTCCCTGACCATGACCTTGGTAATTTATTGAGCACCTACTGTATGCTGGGCCTGTCCTGGATGCTGGGGATACAGCAGTCAACAAGGCACACAAAGTCTCTGCCCTCCTGGACAACCTATTCTAGGCAGACAGACACAAACAAAACAGGGTGATGTGAGGAGAGGGTCCTGGGGCAGGGGAGAGTCGGGGACTGAATGGAGAGGGACTCCCGAGGAAGTGAAGGAGGGAACGGAGCTACTCAGACTATCTGAAGGAAGAGCAGTGGCTCACATCTGTAATCCCAGCACTTTGAGAGGCCAAGGTGGGTGGATCACTGGAGAACAGGAGTTCGAGACCAACCTGGCCAACATGGTAAAACCCCATCTCTACTAAAAATACAAAAATTAGCTGGGCATGGTGGTGCACACCTGTAATCCCAACTACTCAGGAAGCCAAGGCAGGAGACTCACTTGAACCCAGGTGGCGGAGGTTTCAGTGAGCCGAGATCGTGCCACTGCACTCCAGCCTGGGCGACAGAGTAAGATTCTGTCTCCAAAAAAAAAAAAGAGCATTCCAGACTGAGAGTATGGTAAGTGTGCAAAGGTTTGAGGCTGGAAAGAAGGTCACTCACTGGCCTTGAGACTGCTGAGGCAGGAAGGAGAGGTGAGTGAGATTGGCTAGGCTGCCCCAGCAGGTCAGACAGAACCTTGTGACTCCGGATGAGGAGTCTGGATTTTACCGCAAGTCCATTCAGAAGCCATTGGAGGGTTTCAAGCAGGGAAGTAACAAGAACTAGGCTGCATGTGGTGGCTCATGCCTGTAATCCCAGCACTTTGGGAGGCCAAGGCAGGAAGATCTTTTGAGCCCAGGAGTTGGAGACCGGCCTGGGCAACATGGGGAAACCCCATCTCCACAAAAAATAGAACGATTAGCCAGGTGTGGTGGCACACACCTGTAGTCCCAGCCACTTACGAGGCTGAGGTGGGAGGATGGCTTGAGCCCATGAGGTCAAGACTGCAGTGAGTCAAGATTGCACTACTGCATGACAGAGTGAGACCCTGTCTCAAAAAAAAGAAAGAAAGAAAGAAAAGAAAAGAAGAAAAGAAAGAGCTGATTTTCATGATAGAAAGATCTTGCCCGGGCGCGGTGGCTCACGCCTGTAATCCCAGCACTTTGGGAGGCCAAGGTGGGTGGATCACCTGAGGTCAGGAGTTCGAGACCAGCCTCACCAACATGGAGAAACCCTGTCTCTACTAAAAATACAAAATTAGCTGAGCGTGGTGACGCATGCCTGTAATCCCAGCTACTCCAGAGGAAGAGGCAGGAGAATCACTTGAACCCGGGAGGTAGAGGTTGTGGTGAGCCAAGATTGGGACATTGCACTCCAGCCTAGGTGACAAGAGTGAAACTCTCCATCTCAAAAAAAAAAAAAAAAAGAAGAAAAGAAAAGAAAGATCTTTCTGGCTGCCATATGGGAAGTGATTTGAAGGAAGCCAGAGTAGCCCAGAAAAGCAATGGTGATGCTACTGCAATGATCCCAGCGAGTGATGACGCTGATGCTGACGCAGAGTGGACAGTGGCAGGCGTTTGAGAGAGACGCACACAGATTCAGGAAGCACTGGGGAGGTGGAGCCCAGAGGACTTTCCCATGGAAAGATGCTCTGGCATCTGGGAGGCTCCCATGGACCTCCTTCCGTCCCCTCTCTGGGGATTGGTTTCCTCATTTGTCAATAGACTCCACCTTAAACTCCATTTTTAACATGTTTTAAAAGTGCATCCTGGGGATTCTTCAGAGGTGGCCTCTCCACCCCCACCTTGTTTCACCAGAGCAGCTAGCAGCTCACCCTTTTCACTGTTTTAGATTGGTTTCTGGTTAAGATCTTGTTGGGGGAAAAAAAAAAAAAGCCAGGTTTCACGTCCAAAAGAACTAAACCAAAAGACCCCTGGATGGAATGGCTCCTGAAGCTGCCTGTGACTCTGGACTTGGCTCTGCTTCTCTGCGGGGTTGATGATAGTCAGGGGCTTGGTCCATGAATATCCTTTGCCCTGTGTATGCAGATCTTCCCAGAACAAAGTGGGTGACAGGCTCAAGGTTCTCACTCAGGAAAATTGCGGGGGAAAGGGCAGAGACAGTGAAGAGAGTGGTCCCTGAGGGAGGAGACTGCTGGCGCTAACCCCAGGGCTTCCCCATGCTCCCTGATCTTGATCTTGACCTTGACTGTTCCCAGCAGCTCCTGGCTCTCCCCTTTCCCTTACTCCTCTGCAGCTTTGGTTCCCAGTCCCCACTGGCAGCCCAGGGCCCTTTTCTGTCCAGTTATTTTTTATTTATTTATTTATTTATTTATTTATTTATTTATTTATTTAGAGATGGAGTTCGCTCTTGTTGCCCAGGCTGTAGTGCAATGGCACCATCTCAGCTCACTGCAACCTCTGCCTCCCGGGTTCAAGCAATTCTCCCACCTCAGCCTCCCAAGTAGCTGGGATTACAGGCATGTGCCGCCACACCTAGCTTATTTTGTATTTTTAGTAGAGACAGGGCTTCTCCATGTTGGTCAGGCTGGTCTCGAACTCCCGACCTCAGGTGATCCTCCCGCCTTGGCCTCCCAAAGTGCTGGGATTACAGGCGTGAGCCACCGTGCCTGGACTTCTTTTTTTTGAGATGGAGTTCCTCTCTTGTCTCCCAGGCTGGAGTGCAGTGATGCTATCTCAGCTCACTGCAACCTCTGCCTCCTGGGCTCAAGCAATCCTCTCGCCTCAGCATCCCGAGTAGCTGGGATTACAGGTATGTGCCACCACGCCCAGCTAATTTTTGTATTTTTAGTAGAGACAGGGTTTCACCATGTTGGCCAGGCTGATCTTGAACTCCTGACCTCAGGCGATCCTCCCGCCTTGGCCTCCCAAAGTGCTGGGATTACAGGCATGAGCCACTGTGCCTGGCCTGTCCAGTTATTCTGGGGTGGAAACTGAAGCACAGGCTGGAGATGAGGACTGAGAGCAGAGATGGCTGCACTCTAGACATCAGGACCTTGGACAGGTCTTGGAACAGCTCTGTGCCTCAGTTTGTCAAAGAGAAAGAACAACTACTTTCCTCATAGGAGTCTTGAAAATTTCAAAGAAGTAATATCCATAAATTGGCCGGGCATGGTGGCTCACTCCTATAATCCTAGCATTTTGGGAGGCCAAGGTGGGAGGATCTCTTTTTTTTTTTTTTTTTTTTTGAGACGGAGTCTGGCTCTGTCACCCCCGCTGGAGTGCAATGGCGTGATCTCAGCTCACTGCAACCTTCGCCTCCCAGGTTCAAGCGATTATCCTGCCTCAGCCTCCTGAGTAGCTGGGACTACAGGTGTGCGCCACCATGCCCAGCTAATTTTTGTATTTTTAGTAGAGACAGGGTTTCACCATTTTGGCCAGGATGGTTTTGATCTCTTGACCTCATGATCCGCCCGCCTCAGCCTCCCAAAGTGCTGCGATTACAGGGAAGGATCTCTTGAGCTCAGGAGTTCAAGAGACCAGCCTGGGCAACACAGGAAGACCTGCATCTATTTTATATATATATATATATATATATATATATATTTTTTTTTTTTTTTTTTAAGCCAGGCATGGTGGTGCATGCCTGTGTTCCCAGCTACTTGGGAGGCTGAGGCAGGAGGATCACTGGAAGCCCAGGAGGTTGAGGCTGCTGTGAGCTGTGATCGTGCTACTGCATTCTAGTCTGGACAAAAGAGCAAGACCCTGTCTCAAAAAATAAATAAATAAAAAGAAATAATATGCATAAAAATGCCTGGAATGGGATCTGCTATGTAGTAGGGCTCAATTAACGTTTGCTGTTATTATCCTTGTTGACAAGAATGGGATTCTTGGGTAAGGAGTGGGAGGCTGGCCCCAGCCCTGGCCCTATTGCTGCCATGCTGTGCATCCTTAGGGAGGTGACTCAGCCTCTCTGGGCCCCTTCTCCCTGTCTGTGACATGATAGAGTTAGACTAGTCTGGCATTTCCTGAAGCATGATATGATACCTGTGCCAGTTTTACAGGAATTCTGCAGGAAAATGCTAAAATCTGAGTTGGGTCATTTTTTTCCCTTTTTCTCTTTCTTTCTTTCCTTTTTTTTTTCTTTTTTTTCTTTTCTTCTTTTTTTTTTGAGACAGAGTTTTACTCTTTTGCCCAGGCTGGAGTGCAGTGGTGCGATCTCAGCTCACTGCAACCTCCGCCTTTTGGTTTCAAGCAATTCTCCTGCCTCAGCCTCCTGTGTAGCTGGGATTACAGGCACGTGCCACCACATCCAGCTAATTTTTGTATTTTTAGTAGAGATGGGGTTTCACCATGTTGGCCAGGCTGTTCTTGAACTCCTGACCTCGTGATCTGCCTGCCTCGGCCTCCCAAAGTTCTGGGATTACAGGTGCGAGCCACCACACCCTACCTTTTTTTTTTTTTTTTTTTTTGAGACAGGGTCTCACTCTGTTGCCCAAGCTGGAGTGCCGTGGTGTGATTATAGCTCACTACAGCCTGAATCCCCTGGGATCAAGTGATCCTCCTACCTCAGCCTCCCCAGTAGCTGTGACTACAGGTATGTACCACCACACCTGGCTAATATTTTTATTTTTATTTTTTGTAGAGACTGGGTCTCACTGCATTGCCCAGGCTGGTCTTGAACTCCTAGGCTCAAGCGAACCTCCCACCTCGGCCTCCCAAAGTGTTGAGATTACAGGCATGAGCCACTGCACCCGGCCTGAGTTGGGTCTTTATTCTAATATCTGTCAGGGGAAAATATGCCTGACACCTCAAATCTGTGTTTTCAGAGAGTGGTTGCTTAGGATGGGGCTGAAGTAGGCATTGTTGGGGTGTCCAGTCTCTGCAGTTCACAGCAATTATGGTGAGGAGTGTGGGGAGAAGAAGGTTGGAGTGTCCATGACTCCCTCACTGCTGTCCTCTCTCCCAACAGGCACTGCAGTCAGCGGTGAACTGACTTCATCCCAATCCCTCAGCCCCCACCAGGACCAGTCTGGAGTCCCTCCCCTGCCCCCATTGAAATTTCCCTTCCGTCCCCAAACTTACCTCTGATCTAGACCTTACTCACCTCCTTCCTGTTTCCTAAGACTCCTTCCTGCCGTCCACAGACCGAGCCTTTTATCTTTGTCCACCCTGTGCCAGACACCTCCTTTTCCAGAACCTTCTCCTTACTGGTGACCTTACTTATCTCTGTTGCTTTCTGGGGTCCTAGGAAATGCCAGCACTCCCACCCACATTGCCTGAACTTTCCAACACTCCCTAACTGCGCTGTGTCCTATCTCAACACTTTCTCATGTATTTCTTGTGTCTTCTAGAACATTCCCCCGCCATTATTACTTCAATATGGCTACACATACTTCCTAATTGCCCTGCAAACCATCTCCTTCTCACCATTGCCCAGCGATGCTTTCGTCTCCTCCATAAACACTCCCGGAGACCAATTTTTGTGTCACCCCCATACTCCCTCGTTGACACACTGACTCCATACATAACCTCCTTGAAAAACCTCTTTATTAATCTCACCATCCTCCAGACTTCCCTCCTGTCATAATTCCATCCCTCCTCCAACTTTTCCCTCTCAAGCTCTGCCCTTCCCAGCCCAGCCCAGCCTACCCAACCTCATCTCTTCCCTGTAGACCACATCCCACCATGTTCCCCTGAGCCTCCAAGGAAGGGGCTCAGGGGGCCCCATGGCCTCCCGCTCCCTGTGGCCCCACAGCCCCCGTGGGCCAGGGGAAGCGCCCCAGAAGCCGAAGTGCCCACCATGGGCAACCACACGTGGGAGGGCTGCCACGTGGACTCGCGCGTGGACCACCTCTTTCCGCCATCCCTCTACATCTTTGTCATCGGCGTGGGGCTGCCCACCAACTGCCTGGCTCTGTGGGCGGCCTACCGCCAGGTGCAACAGCGCAACGAGCTGGGCGTCTACCTGATGAACCTCAGCATCGCCGACCTGCTGTACATCTGCACGCTGCCGCTGTGGGTGGACTACTTCCTGCACCACGACAACTGGATCCACGGCCCCGGGTCCTGCAAGCTCTTTGGGTTCATCTTCTACACCAATATCTACATCAGCATCGCCTTCCTGTGCTGCATCTCGGTGGACCGCTACCTGGCTGTGGCCCACCCACTCCGCTTCGCCCGCCTGCGCCGCGTCAAGACCGCCGTGGCCGTGAGCTCCGTGGTCTGGGCCACGGAGCTGGGCGCCAACTCGGCGCCCCTGTTCCATGACGAGCTCTTCCGAGACCGCTACAACCACACCTTCTGCTTTGAGAAGTTCCCCATGGAAGGCTGGGTGGCCTGGATGAACCTCTATCGGGTGTTCGTGGGCTTCCTCTTCCCGTGGGCGCTCATGCTGCTGTCGTACCGGGGCATCCTGCGGGCCGTGCGGGGCAGCGTGTCCACCGAGCGCCAGGAGAAGGCCAAGATCAAGCGGCTGGCCCTCAGCCTCATCGCCATCGTGCTGGTCTGCTTTGCGCCCTATCACGTGCTCTTGCTGTCCCGCAGCGCCATCTACCTGGGCCGCCCCTGGGACTGCGGCTTCGAGGAGCGCGTCTTTTCTGCATACCACAGCTCACTGGCTTTCACCAGCCTCAACTGTGTGGCGGACCCCATCCTCTACTGCCTGGTCAACGAGGGCGCCCGCAGCGATGTGGCCAAGGCCCTGCACAACCTGCTCCGCTTTCTGGCCAGCGACAAGCCCCAGGAGATGGCCAATGCCTCGCTCACCCTGGAGACCCCACTCACCTCCAAGAGGAACAGCACAGCCAAAGCCATGACTGGCAGCTGGGCGGCCACTCCGCCCTCCCAGGGGGACCAGGTGCAGCTGAAGATGCTGCCGCCAGCACAATGAACCCCGAGTGGCACAGAATCCCCAGTTTTCCCCTCTCATCCCACAGTCCCTTCTCTCCTGGTCTGGTGTATGCAAATTGTATGGAAAAAGGGCTGTGTTAATATTCATAAGAATACAAGAACTTAGGAAGAGTGAGGTTGGTGTGTCACTGGTCAACCTTTGTGCTCCCAGATCCCATCACAGTTTGGCGATTGTGGAGGGCCTCCTGAAGGAGGAGATGAGTAAATATATTTTTTTGGAGACAGGGTCTCACTGTGTTGCCCAGGCTGGAGTGCAGTAGTGCAGTCGTGGCTCACTGCAGCCTCCACCTCCTGGGCTCTCCAGCGATCTTCCCACATCAGCCTCCCGAGTAGCTGGGACCACAAATGTGAGCCACCATGCCTGGCTAATTTTTGTACTTTTTGTAGAAATGGAGTCTCACTATGTTTCCCAGGCTGATCTTGAACTCCTGGGCTCAAGAGATCCTCCTGCCTTGGCCTCCCAAAGTGCTCAGATTAGAGATGTGAGCCGCCATGTCTGGCCAGATAAATTAAGTCAAACATTTGGTTTCCAGAAAATAAAGACAAATAGAGAAGGTTAGATTTTTTTTTTTCCAACAAGTGGATAAAAGTCTGTGACTCGGGGGAAAGTGGAAGGAGAAATGCAGCCGATATAGAGTCATTATGTTTGCAAAGCCCCTGGTCATACAGGCCAGGGAACATAAGACCGCAATTCTAAGTTTCTAGATAAACAGCGATCTCCAAGTCAAGACTGAGGATGAAGAGGGAGAATGTCAGAACTCAAGTGAAGGGCAATCAGGGCAGACTGCCTGGAGGAGTGATGCCAGAAGGTTTGGGAAGAAGGTGTGGGACAAGAAGAAAGGGTATTTATTCATTCATTCAACAGAGGTTTATGTAGGGCACTGTGCTGGGTGGGGCTGGGGACACAACAATGACTGAGGCAGCCTGGCCTTGCCTTCACAGGGCTCACCATACACAAGTAAATAAAAAATATGTAATGTTTGGAATTGCTAAATGGGAAGGGGACATTTTTCTATGTAAAGCCAGTTGAGGGAACAGAGGATGACTTGGAGTCTGATCTGGAGGAGGGCAGAGAAGGGCTTGCTGAGGTGGCTTTCCAGCAAAGACTTGAAGCATGGGCGGCACTCAGCCTTGTGGCTGTTGTGGGAAGAGCATTTCAGGCAGAGGGAACTGCAGGTGCAAGGGCTCTGGGGTTAGACAGTGTCTGAATTTTGGGCCGGGCGCAGTGGCTCACGCCTGTAATCCCAGCACTTTGGGAGGCCAAGGCGGGCGGATCACCTGAGGTCAGGAGTTCGAGACCAGCCTGGCCAACATGGTGAAACCCCGTCTCTACTAAAATACAAAAAAAAGTAGCTGAGCGTGGTGGTGGGTGCCTGTAATCCCAGCTAGTTGGGAGGCTGAGGCAGGAGAATCGCTTGAACCCGGGAGGCAGAGGTTGCAGTGAGCTGAGATTGTGCCACTGCACTCCAGCCTGGGTGACAAGAGCGAAACTCCATCTCAAATAATAATAATAGAGTGTCTGAATTTTGAAAGATAGCAGGTATGGCAGTGTGGCTGGAGAGGAGGTAGAGAGGACGAGAGGAAAGGGGAAATGAGACAAGAGAGGGGACAGCAGGTCGTGTGGGGCCATGTAAATCCTAGTGAGGACTCTGCCTTTTAATCTGAGATAAATGGGAGCTATGAGGGGGTTCTCAGTAGAGGATGAAGGTGATTTGACTTAAGTATTAACAGTATCCCACGGGCTGTTGAGTGGGGAGTAGAATATGGGAGATTGGCTGGGCACAGTGGCTCAAGCCTGTAATCCCAGCACTTTGGGAGGCTGAGGCAGGAGGACTGCTTGAGGCCAGGAGTTTGGGACCAGCCTAGGCAACATAGGGAGACCCAGTTTCTACAGAAATTTTAAAAATTAGCCGGGCATGGTGGTATGTGTCTGTAGTCCCAGCTACTTGGTAGGCTGAGACCGGAGGATCACTTGAGCCAGGAGGTGGAGGCTGTGATGAGCAGTGATTGCACCACTGCACTCCAGCCTGGGCGACAGAGCGAGACCCTGTCTCAAAATAAAAAAGGAATATGGGAGACAAGGATAGAAGTCAGGAGCCCAGTGAGGAGGTGACTGCAGGAGTCCAAGAGGGAGGTGCTGTCAGTTGGGCCGGGTGGGTGGTGGTTGTGGATTTAACAAGGAGCAGTGATCAGCTTTTGGAGTTTTATTTTTGTTTGTTTATTTATTTATTTTGAGACAGAATCTCGCTCTGTTGCCCAAGCTGGAGTACAGTGTCAGGATCTCGGCTCACTGCAACCTCCGCCTCCTGGGATCAGGCAACTCTTGTGCCTCAGCTTCCTGAGTAGCTGGGATTACAGGCATGCACCACCACGCCTGGCTAATTTTTGTATTTTTAGTAGAGACGGGGTTTCTCCATGTTGGCCAGGCTGATCTTGAAATCCTGGCCTCAAGTGATCCTCCCACCTCAGCCTCTCAAAGTGCTGGGATTACAGGCTTGAGCCACCGTGCCCAGCCTTGGATTTATTTTAATGGAAGAAGCACAGGGGCCAGAGGGATTATGAAACACGAGTACCTCACTCATTCCAGGAAAAGGGTGACTAGGGGCTGTGAGCAGAAAAAACTTCCAGGAAGGATCCCAGGCCCTAGTCTAGGGCGGTCACCAGAGAGGCCAGGCAACCAGTCCAAGGTCCCATGGCTGGTGAGTCAGCGCTGGAGCCATCTTGGGTTCCCTCTCCCCTCCCCATCTCTGCTTGTGTTCCCATGCCCCAGGATGGCCAAGGCTGCCCTCCCTCCCCTGGTCTCAGGGGTCACCAGGAATGGCCACTGTTCCATGACCAGGCTGGAGAGCAGGAAGAAGCACCCAGCTCTGAAAAGGCCTCACCCTTCAGAGAAGGTCTCCTCTCCTCTTCCTCCTTACGGGTGTGTAAACAGACTCCTGAGGTGTGAAGATTCACTCACAACCCTCCTACCACCCCGCTCCCCCGGGCCCTCCTCTCCCTTCACAAAGGTTCCCAGAAGACTTTCCCGGGAACCCTTCTCAGAGAAAGGAAGAAGGAGGAGAGGAATAGGGGGAAAAATGCACTCAATGATTTTTCTGGGGTGGAGGGAGCACAGAGATGGCGGAAATCAGGGCTTTGGTGTTGGTGGGCTGGAGGGCTAGAGAAGAGAGGGAGGCCTGGGATCTGGGAGGCCTAGTAGTCTTCCCACCCCATCCCACTGCTGTAAAGCTATGGGAATGGAGGTGATGGGGCCAGAATTTTTCTTTTCTCTCTTTTTTTTTTTTTTGAGACTGAGTTTCGCTCTTGGTTGCCCAGGCTGGAGTGCAATGGCGCGATCTCGGCTCACCGCAACTTCCGCCTCCTGGGTTCAAGCAATTCTCCTGCCTCAGCCTCCCGAGTAGCTGGAATTACAGGCATGTGCCACCACGCTCTGCTAATTTTGTATTTTTAGTAGAGACGGGGTTTCTCCATGTTGGCCAGACTGGTCTCAAACTCCTGACCTCAGGTGATCCACCCGCCTCGGCCTCCCAAAGTGCTGGGATTACAGGCGTGAGCCACCGTGCCTGGCCAATTTTTTTTTTTTTTGAGATGGAGTCTCACTCTGTTGCCTAGGCTGGAGTGCAGTGGCGCCATCTCGGCTCACTGCAAGCTCCGCCTCCTGGGTTCACGCCATTCTCCTGCCTCAGCCTCCCGAGTAGCTGGGACTACAGGCGCCCGCCACCACGCCCGGTTAATTTTTTGTATTTTTTTAGTAGAGACGGGGTTTCACCGTGTTAGCCAGGATGGTCTCGATCTCCTGACCTCATGATCTGCCCACCTCAGCCTACCAAAGTGCTGGGCGTCAGCCACCACGCCCGGCCAATTTTTTTTGTTTTGTTTTGAAACAGAGCCTCGCTCTGTCACCCAGGCTGGAGTGCATTGGCACGATCTCGGCTCACTACAACCTCCGCCTCCCGAGATCAAGTGATTCTCCTGTCTCAGCCTCTGGAGTAGCTGGGATTACAGGTGTGCGCCACCACGCCCAGCGAATTTTTTGTATTTTTAGTAGAGATGGGGTTTCATCGTGTTGGCCAGGCTTGTCTCGAACTCCTGACCTCACATGATCCGCCTACCTGTGCCTCCCAAAGTGCTGGGATTACAGGCGTGAGCCACTGCGCCCGGCCTGGGGACAGAAATTTTATGTTTTTTGAGACAGGGTCTTGTTGTGTTGCCTAGGCTGGAGTGCAGTGGAGCTCATGGCTCACCACAGCTTCAACCTCCCAGGCTCAAACGATCTGTAAAATGGGAAGGGGGCTGGTCCCAAATGGATGATGGACCTTAGGTAGTCCCAAGTTTCTGCATACCTTCCGTGTGGAAGGGACCCTGGAAAAGGTTGTTTTTATGGAATCCTGGCATTCTTAGTAATTCAGAATATCAGGGTTCACACACACACCAGCACCATCAGTAAAGATGAGGAAACGCAGGTCCCTCAGTGCCAGGAGCTTGACAAAGGACACTCAGAGAGTCAGACTGGATACCAAAGAAGTCCAGAGCCCCCTGATTCTGTGTCCTGAATGTATGTTTCCTCCTACACACCACTCCTCTGTTCCTGTTTTCCTTTTTTTTTTTTTTTTTTTTTTGAGACGGAGTCTCGCTCTGTCGCCAAGACTGGAGTGCAGCGGCGTGATCTCGGCTCACTGCAACCTCTACCTCCCAGGTTCAAGCGATTCTCCTGCCTCAGCCTCCAGAGTACCTGGGATTACAGGTGCCCGCCACCATGCCCGGCTAAATTTTTTTTTTTTTTTAGTGGAGATGGGATTTCACGATGTTAGCCAGGTTGGTCTCAAACTCCTGACCTCAGGTGATCCACCCTCCTCAGCCTCCCAAAGTGCTGGGATTACAGGCGTGAGCCATGGCGGCCAGTCCTCTGTTCCTGTTTTCTTCTGTCCCTCTGCCTCCGAGAATCTCTCAATTACCCATCAGCACTCCATCATCCAGGAATTTCTCTCAACCCCTTCCTGACATTGTTTATATGATTTTACTCCCTGCTGGGTAAGAAAGGACAGTCTGGGACATGTCCTTAAATTTATTTCTGAACTAGCTCCCTGGGGAACCTACCTCCTAATGAAGGAAGTTGGGTTGCTTGAGAACGGGTATGGTTTTATTGGCCAAGATGCCAGGCTATCAACCTCTGCAGGAACCTTGTGCCACCCCCTGCCCTGCTCTGGGCCTCAGTTTCCTTGTCAGTTACTTGGGAAAGGGTTGGATTCGCTGCTTCTGGGGGTGAAATGCACCCTCAGGCTGGATTTAGCATTAATAATGCAATCATGACCTGTATAGTAAGAAGGGCTATTTACTGAGCGCTTAACTATATGAATGGCACCATTCTAACCACTTCCCATGGTCCACTGTTTTACACTCAAGATTAGCATAGAAGCCTCACAACAACCCAAAGAGGCAACTGCTATTAGGATTCCCATTTGGTAGACGGTAATACTGAAGTCCAGAGAGGTTATGCCACTCATCTAATATTACACAGCGAGGAAATGGCAGAGCTGGGATCCCAGCCAAAGTCTGTATGACCGCGCGGCTTCCTCTTAATCCCAATGAGAGCCCTAGCTTGCAGAGGAAGGTGTATTTGGGGCTCATAGGACTAATTAGGACTAATTAAGAGCCTCCTTTGGGTGGGGACGCCAACTCGGAACGTGACATCACGAAGGAGTACAGTGACGTTGGCCAAGGCGGGCGTGGGAATCCACACGCCTTCCAGCATCCGTTTAACGGCACCGCCCCCTGACCCGCCTCACTTCCGTGTATATTTGCATATTCAGCGAACGGACGTCGCTACGCCAGCGTCGACGGGGTGACGTCAGGATGCGCCTCTGAAGTTTCCCTCGAGCGTACGTACATACGTACTGACGCACGCATGGCCACGAGAGGGCGGGGGAGGAGTGAAGAGGTTGAGGCGCCCCGCCCAGTCAGCAAGGTTGCGCGTGCCCTGTGAGACCGCCAAGATGGTGGTGGGCGCGTTCCCTATGGCGAAGCTGCTATACTTGGGCATCCGGCAGGTCAGCAAGCCGCTTGCCAACCGTATTAAGGAGGCCGCCCGCCGAAGCGAGTTCTTCAAGACCTATATCTGCCTCCCGCCGGCTCAACGTGAGTCTGACCCGAATTCCCTCCAACCTTTTTCCTTTCTCCAACCCCTGTCAGGTGGTTGCTTAGGGGATGGACTTCTGTCTACGACCAATCACAGCCCGAACCGGCAAAGTCCAGTGGCCAATAGTGGGGGGTTTCTGATAGAGGGGCGTACGGGTGGCCCAGTAGTGAGGGCGGGGCGGGGCGTAAGGGGCGGGTCAAGGAGCCACCACGCGAGTAGGAAATGCCAGCCGATAAAGGAAGAGAGCGCTTGGAGACTGATGCCCTGTTAAACCAATAGTGTGAGAGATGGGAGAAATTTGGACGGGGCTTTCCAGGATAGAGGAGCTAGGGGAGGGGCTGAGGAGAAACCGGACGGGGTCCTTTGCCCGGCTGTCCTTGGGCAACTTCATTTCAAAAGCGGCACCGTGTGCCTCAGTTTCCCCACTGATCTAGGAGGTGCTTGTATATCCTCCGTTTAGGACGTCGACGTGCCTCAGTTTTACTGTAGTCAATAAGTCTGGATTAGGGGCATGGTTCGGGGGTGAAGTCTGGGTTCTGGAGACATGGCCTGGGAATCCGGAAAAGGACTTTGAGCCAGAGAGGACATTCATCTGTGTACTCATTAATGCGCTCATACGCCGTCCTTTCATTCGGTTGACAGACTATGCGGCCTTTTTGCTCAGCACTGGGAGATATACTCCTGATCCATCACTGTCAACCCAGAGTGGTCGGGAAAGTGGGAGCCCCGGAGCTCAGAGGAACTGGCTGACCCAGGGACCTGAGGCCAGCAGGGCTGCCTAGAGGGGGCCGCCCGAGCTCAGATCTAAAGGGCATAGTAAGGTCCGGCGCGGTGGCTCACACCTGTAATACCAGCACTTTGGGAGGCCGAGGCGGGCGGATCACATGAGGCCAGGAGTTCGAGACCAGCCTGGCCAACATAGTGAAACCCGGTCTGTACTAAAAATACAAAAATTAGCTGGGTGTGGTGGCGCACACCTGTAATCCCAGCTACTTGGGAGGCTGAGGCAGGGGAATCGCTTGAACCTGGTAGGTGGAGGCTGCAGTGAGCCTAGATTGTGCCATTGCACTCCAGCCTGGGCGACACAGCAAGACTGTCTCAAAAAATAATAAATAGAAATAAAGGGCTTAGTAAACACCCAAAATATAAACTACTTTAAAAAGGTGATCTTGCCGGGCGCGGTGGCTCACGCCTGTAATCCCAGCACTTTGGGAGGCCGAGGTGGGCAGATCACGAGGTCAGAAGATGGAGACCATCCTGGCTAACACGGTGAAACCCCATCTCTACTAAAAATACAAAAAAATTAGCCGGGCGTGGTGGCTGGGCGCCTGTGGTCCCAGCTACTCAGGAGGCTGAGGCAGGAGAATGGCGTGAACCCGGAAGGCGGAGCTTGCAGTGAGCCGAGATCGTAACACTGTACTCCAGCCTGGGTGACGGAGCAAGACTCCGTCTCCAAAAAAAAAAAAGGTGATCTGTGTTGTGCTACGTGGGACATAAAATAAGGGAATTTAGCATCATTGGCTGGGTCAGAGAACCACTGAAACCGCCTTTGCAAAATTATGACTGACACAGCGAAAGAGATCTAAGTTAACTTACTCCATCTTGCTTCTAACCTCCAAGCTATCCTTGTTCATTCCTGGGCAAAGGCTGAACTAACTTTGGGAGAGATTTAGTTTGTAGTTTATAGTTTAAACAAACATGGTAACAGCCCTTTCCCAAAGCAGACCTCCTTCTTGTCTGGCGACTGGATTGCCTTTGTAGGACTAACATTAGCCACAAGATTAGAAATTATGGTTTAGGAGTCATGCAGCTGGAGGGTACAAGATTCTGACCCTCCCTAAACTGCTCCTAAGATCAGTGCTTGAGATATTTCACAGACCCTGCACTTGATGGATCAGCTGGCCTTACCCAGATCAATAAACTGGCCCATCTGATCTTGTGGCCCCCCAACCCAGGAACTGACTGAGCGCAAGAAGACAGCTCCGACTCCCTGTGATTTCATCTCTGACCAATCAGCACTCCTGGCTCACTGGCTTCCCCTCACCCATCAAGTTATCCTTAAAAACTCTGCTCCACCGAGATCGCACCACTACACTCCAGCCTGGGCGACAGACCGAGACTCCGTCTCAAAACAAAAACAAAAAACAAAAAAACTCTGCTCCAGCTGGGCCCATTGGCTCGCATCTGTAATCCTAGCACTTTGGAAGGCTGAGGGGGGTGGAGCACCTGAGGTCAGGAGTTTGCAACCAGCCTGGCCAGCATGGTCAAACCCCGTCTCTACTAAAAATACAAAAGTTAGGCGGGCTTGGTGGCGGGCGCCTATAATCCCAGCTACTCGGGAGGCTGGAGCATGAGAATCGCTTGAACCCGGGGATGGAGGTTGCAGTGAGCCAAGATCGCGTCACTTCATTCCAGCCCAGGCGAAAGAGTGAAAATCCATCTCAAAAAAAAAAAATAAAATAAAATAAAAATAAAATCTCCCTGAATGCTCAGGGAGACTGATTTGAGTAATGGTAAGACTCCTGGCTGGGGCGCGGTGGCTCACGTCTGTAATTCCAGCACTTTGGGAGGCCGAGGTGGGTGGATCATGAGGTCAGGAGTTCGAGACCAGCCTGACCAACATGGTGAAAACCCGTGTCTACTGAAAATACAAAAATTAGCTGGGTGTGGTGGCGCACATCTGTAATCTCATCTACTCAGGAGGCTGAGGCAGGAGAATTGCTTGAACCTAGGAGGTAGAGGTTGCAGTGATCCGAGATTGCACCACTGCCCTCCAGTCTGGGCAACAGAGCAAGACTGTCTCAATCTCAAACAAACAAACAAAACACCCTCCCGCACAGCCAACTCTGCGTGAATTACTCTTTGTCTTGCAGTTCTCCTCTCTTGATGAATCAGCTCTGTCTAGGCAGCGGGCAAGGTGAACTCCTTGGGCGGTTACACACCATTCATCCCTCCATCCATTCATTATTTCCTTTAGCTGGTATTTTGTGAGCCTCTGCCCTGTGCCAGGCCTTGTGCTGGCAATGCTGGCGAAACAGCAGGGACCAAACCAGCACCAATCTGTGCCCTCAAGGAATTCCTAGTCCTGCGGGGGACAGACGTATCCCCCAACAGTGGGCAGAGCTGAGATGGGGGAGCCCACTGGGCACCTGACATGGCATGGGGTTCAGGGAGGGCTTCCTGGCAGAGGAGACATCTGAATTGGGACCTGAAGGGTGAGGACAACACCAGGACAAGGCGTAAGGAAAGCACTGGGGCAGAGGGAGGAGCACACACAAAGCCCACATGATTAAGGGAGTGCACTTTTTTTCCCCCTCTGTAAGTTTGGATGCTTAAAGTTTGCTTTCCAGGGCCCGGAATTCTTGGTTGTTCGGTGTTTGGTGGGGTCTTTGTTGGGGCTGCAGCTCTTAGAATGGGAAAGTATTAGATTTCACAGTTACCAAAGTGCTTTCCTGTTAGCCATCTCATTTGACCCCCACAACTGTTTTGTCCCCATGTCCGGAAAGAGGAATGACTTCCTCTGGTTTATAGAAGGGAAAATGGAGGTGTTGAGGGCAGCAGTTAATTGCTCAGGTCATACGCAGAGATTTGTGCCAGAGGCGAAACTTTGGACACTGAATTCCTAGACCCAGTTTGTTTCCTGTCTCTGCCTGTCTTCCAAACACTGTGACATTCTTAGCGTTGTGGTTTAGAAAATGGCTTCTGGAGCTGGGCGCAGTGGCTCATGCCTGTAATCCCAGCACTTTGGAAGGCGGAGGTGGGTGGATCATGAGGTCAGGAGTTCAAGACCAGCCTGGCCAACATGGTGAAACCCTGTCTCTACTCAAAATACAAAATTAGGCAGGTGTGGTGGCGCACACCTGTAGTCCCAGCTACTTGGGAGGCTGAGGCAGGAGAATTGCTTGAACCTGGGAGGCAGAGGTTGCAGTGAGCCAAGATCACACCACTGCACTCCAGCTTGGGCGACAGAGCGAGACTCTGTCTCAATAAATAAATAAATAAATAAATAAATAAATAAATAGGCTTCTGTGCTGGGCGCGGTGCCTCCCACCTATAATCCCAGCACTTTGGGAGGCCGAGGCAGGCAGATCACCTGAGGTCGGGAATTAGAGACCAGCCTCACCAACATGGAGAAACCCCGTCTCTACTAAAAATACAAAATTAGCCAGACGTGGTGGCGCATGCCTGTAATCCCAGCTACTCGGGAGGCTGAGGCAGGAGAATCGCTTGAACCCAGGAGGTGGAGGTTGCAGTGAGCCGAGATCACGCCATTGCACTCCAGCCTGGGCAACAAGAGTGAAACTCTGTCTCAAAAAAAAAAAAAAAAAGGCCGGGTGCAGTGGCTCGCGCCTGTAATCCCAACACTTTGGGAGGCCAAGGTGGGCAGATCACGAAGTCAAATTTCAAGACCTGCCTGACCAACATGGTGAAACCCCTTCTCTACTAAAAATACAAAAATTAGCTGGGCGTGGTGGCACGCGCCTGTAATCCCAGCTACTCGGGAGGCTGAGGCAGAAGAATCACTTGAACATGGGAGGCGGAGGTTGCAGTGAGCCGAGATCGTGCCACTACACTCCAGCCTGGGTGACAGAGCGAGACTCCATATCAAAAAAAAAAAAAGAAAAAAAAAAAGAAAGAAAATGGCTTCTGGAGTCAGACTGACATAGGTTTGAATCCCTACCCAGACTGGTGACTTTGGGTACGTCATTTAGCCCCTCTTAGCTTCAATTTCCGATTCTGTACATTGGGTATTATGTAATGGTCACATTAACTGGGCTTGTACTTTGTGCCACGGCTTGTCTGCAGCACCTTCCAGCCTCTGGCACTGGGTCCTCACCAGTTATGATGAGGTAGATACTATTATTATTATTATTATTATTTTGTGTATATACTATGTATGCATTATGCTGTAAATAATATTTATTGTGTTGTGGTGAGGATTAAGTAAATGGATATAAAATGTTAAGTCAGTGCCTGGCATAGGGTCATGGCTGTCACGTAGATGTTATAGATACAACAGGCAGGAAAAAGCAAAACATCTTGCCCTCAGGTACCTTACATTCTTGTGGAGGAAGCCAGACAATAAATGAAATAAATAGTTGGCTGGGCCCAGTGGCTCATGCCTGTAATCCCAGCACTTTGGGAGGCTGAGGCTGGTGCATCACTTGAGGTCAGGAGTTTGAGACCAGCCTGGGCAACATGGTGAAACCCCATCTCTACTAAAAATACAAAAATTAGCCAGGTGTGGTGGCAGGCACCTGTAATCCCAGTTACTTAGGAGGCTTAGGCAGGAGAATCACTTGAACCCAAGAGGCAGAGGTTGCAGTGAGCCGAGATTGCACCACTGCACTCCAGCCTGGGTGACAGAGTGAGATTCCATCTCAAAAAATAGTTAAAAGATGAAGTATATTAGATAGCAATAATTGCTCTAGGAAAAAAATCAGGGTTGTAGAACAAGGAGTATTTAAAGGAAGGCTATAAGCCTAGATAGGATTGTCAGGGAGAACTCACTGAAAATATGCCAAGGAGGGAGGGAACGAGCAGCATTGCCATCTGGGGGAAGAAACGTTCCAGCCCAGAGGATCCCGCATGCACACAGGACCTGAGGCATGAGCGTGCCTGGCACACAGGACAGAGGAAACTGATGACGGGAAAGGGGGACAGTTTGTATGGGGCCTGTGGGTCACTGCAAATGCCTTGGCTTTACTCTGAGTGGAACAGGACTTACTGGAGGGTTCTGTGCAGCAGAAGGACAATATCAGAGTTCTGTTTTATTTTATTTTATTTTATTTTTTGAGACAGAGTCGCACTCCGACACCCAGGCTGGAGTGCAATGGTGTGATCTTGGCTCACCACAACTTCCGCCTCCCGGGTTCAAGTGATTCTCCTGCCTCAGCCTCCCGAGTAGCTGGGATTACAGGCATGCGCCACCACGCCCGGCTAATTTTGTATTTTAAGTAGAGATGGGGTTTCTCCATGTTGATCAGGCTGGTCTCTAACTCCCAACGTCAGGAGATCTGCCCGCCTTGGCCTCCCAAAGTGCTGGGATTACAGGCATGAGCCACCACGCCTGGCCCGGGAGCAGAGTTTTTAAGGATAACTTGGTGGGTGAGGGGAAGCCAGTGAGCCAGGAGTGCTGATTGGTCAGAGATGAAATCATAGGAATTCAGAGATGTCTTGTGCTCAGTTAGTTCCTGGGTGGCGGTGGGGGAGGGGGAGGGCGGGCACAAGATCAGATGAGCCAATTTTTTGATCTGGGTGGGGCCAGCTGATCCATCAAGTGCAGAGTCTGCAGAATATCTCAAGCACTGATCTTAGGAGCAGTTTAGGGAGGGTCAGAATCTTGTATCCTCCAGCTGCATGACTCCTAAACCATAATTTCTAATCTTGTGGCTAATGTTAGTCCTACAAAGGCAATCTAGTCACCAGGCAAGAAGGAGGTCTGCTTTGGGAAAGGGCTGTTACCATGTTTGTTTAAACTATAAACTAAGTTTCTCCCAAAGTTAGTTCAGCCTTCACTCAGGAATGAACAAGGACAGCTTGGAGGTTGGAAGTAAGATGGAGTCAGTCAAGTTAGATCTCTTTTGCTGTGTCAGTCATAATTTTGCAAAGGCAGTTTCAGGATTACAGGCGTGAGCCACCACGCCTGGCCTCAAAATCTAAAATATTTACTCTCTGCCCCTTTACAGGAAGAGTTTTCTGACCCTGCTCTAGAATAGTATCCCTGCCCTTGTTTTTTGACATTGACATTGGAGCCAGTCCTCTGATTGATAGTGTGTCCCGATGTCTGGAGTCTCCTGATTGCTTCCCCGATTGGATTCATGTTGAACATGTTTGGCGGGAACACCACAGACTCGAGGTGCCTCCTAAGGACATCCCTTCAGGGGACTCCTGAGGTCTATTTGTTCTGTCATTTGTGATGGTGATTTGGATCGCTTGGTTAAGGTGTAACCATGTCAAGAACCTTTCCTTTTCCTCTTAGTAATGAATAACCAGTAGATTTGTTTACAAGGTAGAGCCAGCAGGATTTCCCATGGATTGGGTGTGAGACAGCCGACTGGAGGAGGGGCAGGTTGGACAGAAAGACCTGGAGCTCAGTTAGGGACAGGTCGAGTTGGAGATGCTACCAGATATTGCAATGTACTGGCTTCTTACATTTACACCTTTTAATTACATCATTAGTGTCTTCACACTGCTGATTGCCCTTTGCTGTGGCCCCCAGCCATGGTGATTGGAATTTCCCAGGGTGCACTGGCGGCCCTGCTTTCTCTCAGGTCAGGCGTCCTGAGCTGACCAGCAAATCCAGTATCTGTACCTTTGGCTGAGATACTTTTGACTCAGCAGGCTGCGCCCAGCTGTCTCACAGGAGAGGCTGGAGCAGTAGCTGTGGCTGCCTGAGGAAAGAACAGTACATGCTAGAAGCATAAATCATCGATGATGCACCCTGTTGGGGAGGCAAAGATCTTTTTAAACACAGAATTCCTTTGTTTAAATTATTTTAACCCAAAAGTAAAGGAGGTTGGTGATGTTAGGCAGGTTGAGGCCATGCCTGCAAAGTGCACTTTTGGTGCTCCCAGGGAGGCTGTGAGATATCTCTGGGCAGTAGGAAAATTCCAGCTCATCTGTGTTTATTCCTTTGGCGCGCACTGGTCCTTTTTCTGGTTTATCACACACAGTAGGCAGTAGAGTGACTGGTCCCCCAAAGATGTCCACATCCTTATCCCAAGAACCTGTTGAATATGTTACCATGCACAGCAAAGGTGACTTTGCAAATGTGATCAAATGAAGGATTTGGGGATGGGGAGATGATCCTGAATTATGCAGGTCAGGTCAGTGTGATCACAGGGGTCCTTATAAGGGAAAGAGGGAGGCAAGAGAGGGAATGATTTGAGGGATGCTGCCCCGCTGGCCTTGAAGATGGAGGAAGGGAGGCATGAGCCAAGGAATGCGGGCAGCCTCTGGAAGCTGGAAAAGCCGAGGAGATGGATTCTCCACTGGAGACTTCAGAAAGGAACACAGCCCTGCGGACACCTTGAGATTAGCCTAGTGAAAGCCATTTTGGACTTTTTTTTTTGGGGGGGGGGGGATGGAGTTTCATTCTTGTTGCCCAGATTGCAGTGCAGTGGCACGATCTCAACTCACTGCAATCTCTGCCTCCTGGGTTCAAGCGATTCTCCTGCCTCAGTCCCCTGAGTAGCACCCACCACCACACCTGGCACCCACCACCACACCTGGCTAATTTTTTGTATTTTTAGTAGAGATAGGGTTTCACCATGTTGGCTAGGCTGGTCTTGAACTCCTGACCTCAGGTGATCCACCTGCCTTGGCCTCCCAAAGTGCTGGGATTACAGGCGTGAGCCACTGCGCCCAGTTTTTTGTTTTGTTTTGTTTTGTTTTTTGAGAGGGGGTCTCACATGGTCGCCCAGGCTGGATTACAGTGGCATGATCTCAGCTCCCTGCAACCTCTGCATCCCGGTTTCAAGCGATTCTCCTGCCTTGGCCTCCTGAATAGCTGGGATTACAGGCGCATGCCCTAATTTTTGTATTATCAGTAGAGACGGGGGTTTCACCATGTTGGCCAGCTGGTCTTCAACTCCTGACCTCAGGTGATCCACCCGCCTTGGCCTCCCAGAGTGCTGGGATTACAGGCGTGAGCCACCACAACTGGCCCCCATTTCAGACTTCTGACTTCTGGAACTGTAAAATAATAAATTTAGGGCAGGTGCGGTGGTTCATGCCTGTTATCCCAGCACTTTAGAAGGTCGAGGCAGGAGGATCACTTGAACCCAGGGGTTCAAGACCAGCCTGGGCAACAAAGCGAGACCTTGTCCCTACTAAAAATAAAAAACAATTAGTGGGGCATGGTGATGCATGCCTATAGTTTTAGCCACTCAGGAGGCTGCGGCAGGATTGCTTGAGCCCAGGAGAATGAGGCTGCAGTGAGCTGTGACCGCACCCCTGCACTCCAGCCTGGGTGACAGAGCAAGACCCTGTCTCAAATAATAATAATAATTTGTGCTGTTTTAAGCCACTGCATTTGTGGTAGTTTGTTATAGTGGCCGTGGGAAACAGATACACCATGATCATTCATTCAGGTTGCTGAGGTCATTTTTTCAGAAGTGCTCAGCTCTGTGGCCATTCTTATGAATTTAGGCCATGGACTTGGTTTCAGTTTTCTTTTTCTACATAGCCATCTGATCCAAAGCTTGGTGGCTTACCGTAGTAACTCTTAGCCAGGTGCAGTGGCTCATGCCTGTAATCTCAGCACTTTGGGAGGTTGAGGTGGGTGGATCACTTCAGGCCAGGAGTTCGCGACTAGCCTGGGCAACATGGCAAAACCCTTTCTTTACTAAAAATACAAAAATTTAGCGGGTACCTGTGGTCCCAGCTTCTCAGGAGGCTGAGGCAGGAGAATCGCTTGAACCTGAGAGAGGTGGAGGCTGCAGTGAACCGAGATCGTGCCACAGCACTCCAGCCTGGGCAACAGAGCAAGACCCTGTCTCAAAAAGGCAAACAAACAAAAAACCCAGTCACTCTTAGTTTCTGTTACCTTTGTGGCTTGCCTGGGCTCAGCCGGACAGTTCTTTTGCTGGTTGCTGCTTGGCAGGCTCTCATCCAGGTGCAGGTGGAGGTGGCTGGGCTGGAGTCATCTGGAACTGGCACTGGGACTGGGGAGTTGGTTCCCTCTCAGCGTAGCCTCTGGGCCTCTCTTCTCCACGTGGTCTTTCCTGCAGGGTAGCTGAATATCTCACATGGCTGCTCAGGACTCCCCAACAGCCAGATTTTCATGAGGGAAGAAGCAGAAGCTGCAGGTTATTTAAGGGCAAGGCCTGGAATCTTCCAGCGTCATTTCCACCACACTATTGGTCAAAGCAGCTCCAGGCACAGACCACAGTGGGTGTGGGAAAGAACTGCACAGGGTGTGATACGAAGGGGTCCCTGATGGCACAGTCTGCCACAGAGTAGGCACTCTTGGCTTCGGATCTTGGCACTGCTGCTTATTAGCCATGTGACTTTGAGCAGGCAGCTTGACCTCTATGAGCCTCCATTTCCATATTTATCAAATGGGATACTAATAGAACTTATCTCCCAGGATTCTTGTGAGGATGCAGCAGGATAGTGGATAGGCGAGCCCTGGCCCGGGACATGCCCATCTGGTTGCTACTACAGGCTACAGGGGGTATACATGGAATCCGTTTTTTTTTTCTTTTTTTTTTTTTTTTTTGAGACAGAGTCTTGCTCTGTCGCCCAGGCTGGAGTGCAGTGGCACGATTTTGGCTCATTGCAAGCTCCGCCTCCCGGGTTCACGCCATTCTCCTGCCTCTCAGCCTCCCGAGTAGCTGGGACTACAGGCGCCCGCCACCACGCCCAGCTAATATTTTTTGTATTTTTAGTAGAGACGGGGTTTCACCATGTTAGCCAGGATGGTCTCGATCTCCTGACCTCGTGATCCGCCCGCCTCAGCCTCCCAAAGTGCTGGGATTACAGGCGTGAGCCACTGCGCCCAGCCCCCTTTGTTTTTTTTGAGATGGAGTCTAACTTTGTTGCCCAGGCTTTTGCCTTCCTGAGTAGCTGGGATTACAGGCGCCTGCCACCACGCCCAGCTAATTTTTGTATTTTTAGTAGAGACGGGGTTTCACCATGTTGGTCAGGCTGGTCTCCAACTCCTGACCTCAAGTGATCCGCCCGCTGTGGCCTCCCAAAGTGTTGGGATTACAGGCGTGAGCCACCGCACCCAGCCGGAATCCCTTCTTGTCATTACTGCCCAAGTGCCAAAACCTCTGCTTCTAGATAAAGACTTCGTGCACTCAGATCCTTGCCCTGCTGTTTACGTGGTGTGTGTCCTGCATGAGTCCCTCTGCCTTTCTGTACCGAATAGCACTTAACCTCATAGTTCTGATGTTCCCTCAGCACCATTCAGTAAACAGTGTTTACTGTTTACTGTTTGCAGCGCGGCCTCGAACCAGGCTGCCTGCTTATCTGTCCCCGCTCTGCCACTTTCTGTGTGACCCCAGGGAGAGTTATTTAACCTCTCTGGGCCTCAGTTTTATGCTTGTAATTGGGTTGTTATGTGGATATTAAGATCCATAAAACATAGAACTGTACCTGGCCCTCAAGTACTCTGTACATGTTTATTTACTTATTTATTCATTTTATTTGTTTATTTTTTGAGACAGAGTTTCGCTCTTGTTGCCCAGGCCGGAGTGCAGTGGCGTGATCTCAGCTCACCGCAACCTCCACCTCCTGGGTTCAAGTGATTCTCCTGTCTCAGCCTCCCGAGTAGCTGAGATTACAGGCATGTGCCACCATGCCCAGCTAATTTTTTGTATTTTTAGTGAGACGTGTGAATATAAGATGAGATTTGGGTGGGGACACAGCCACACCGTATCACTTGGCCTGGGGGATGGGGACTATGCTGTGGGGGAATTGGGCAGGCAACAGCCTTGTGTAGAACCAGGTCTCTGGCAAGGTACCTGGTGAACTAGAAAAAAACCTCCGTCTGAAGGCACACAAGCTTTGCCCTAGGTAGAGACTGATACATTCTCCTCTGAGAATTTGTAGCCACTGACTGTCCCTCATGTGGGCTTGGGGCCTCTTTGAAAGGTCCTGGAAGTTGCAGGCTGAGAATGAACCCCTAGGGGTACCTAATTGTATCTAAGCACCTGGCAAGGGCAAACATAAACTCTTCCTGCCTGTGCTCTCTCTGCCCAGGCCTTGGAGAAATCCTTCAGATAGAGTTCCAGCACATACAAGCTCACAGTAAAAAAAAAATATATATAGATAGATATATATCGAGATATATATCTATATATATAGTATGATATATATATCTATATATAGTATGATATATATAGATATATATCGAGATATATATCTATATATATAGTATGATATATAGGTATATATTGAGATATATCATATATATAGTATGATATATATAGATATATATCTCATATAGATATATATGATATATATCGATATATATATTTATATACATATATCATGATATATATGATATATATCAATATATATATTTATATACATATATCATGATATATATCCATATATGATATATATATCATATGATATATATATCTCATATCTCATATATGATATATATCTCATATATCTCGATATATATGATTATTATATGATATATGATATATATCATATATTGATATACATATATCATGATATATATCGATATATATCGATAATCTCATATGTTGATATATATGAGATATATATCGATATATATCTCATATATGTCGATATATATGAGATATATATCGATATATATCTCATATATGTCGATATATATGAGATATATATCGATATATATACTATATATATTTTTATTTTTTATTTATATGAGATATATAATCATATATATCGATATATATGAGAGATATATATATATCTCATATATATATCAGACCAACCTGACCAACATGGAGAAACCCCGTCTCTACTAAAAATACAAAATATATATATATATCAATATATATTGATATATATATATACACCACATGAAAAAAGCAGCCACCATGAGCGAGAGCCAGCAGAAAAACATGGCAGGTCACAGCCTGCAAACGTGGAATTATCAGATGTGGATATAAAATACCTAAGCTTATCTGTTAAGAGGATAAAAGAGAAGGATATTAAAACACAAGTAAAATGAAAAATTGCCAGGAAGCTGGAAAAAGAATTAAACAAAACTTCTAGAAAGGACAGCTACAACAGTTGGTGTTCAGCTCTCAATAGAAGGGCTAACTAACCACCAGGTTAAACACAACTGCCAAGAGGATTGGGGAGCTGAAAGGTGCACAATATGGAGGAAAACTAGTGAGCTTTCTGGGGCACTTCCAGTAGATGCCCAGGAGTGCTACCTGCAGGTCCTGATTTGGTGGACGTAGGGAAGGGGTGGACGTGTTTATTTTTAGCAGTCTCTAGAGTACATTCTCACACGCACCAGTGTTTGAAAATCACTTTGCTGGAGTTTATTTATAATCACCAGAGCGTCACATCAGTTATATTATATGGCAGCCAGGCTGCTGCTGGTGACCTCCAAACATTTATTATTATGTTCTCCTATCAAGGAAACACTTCTGAGGTTCCTTCCCTAGCATATATGTATGCACGTGTGTACACATATGTAAAATTATTTAGCAGTCAGCCAGGCACGGTGGCTCATGCCTGTAATCCCAGCACTTTGCGAGTCCAAGGCGGGTGGATCCCCTGAGGCGGGGAGTTCAAGACCAACCTGAACAACATGGAGAAACCCCGTCTCTACTAAAAAAATACAAAAAATTAGCTGGGCATGGTGGCGCATGCCTGTAATCTCAGCTACTTGGGAGACTGAGGCAAGAGTATCGCTTGAACCCGGGAGGTGGAGGTTGCGGTGTGCCAAGATCGCACCATTGCACTCCAGCCTGGGCGACAGAGCAAGACCCTGTCTCAAAAAAATAAAATAAAATAAGTAAATAAATAAATAAATGAAAGTATTTAGCAGTCATGTATAGCGCTAACATATAATAGTATGGTTATATTATATGCATTTAAAAACATACACAAAAATTAGAGGGATGAAACGAACATAAAAATTTTTAAAATAAACTTATTTATTCATGCCCCCCCCCCCCAAATAGTTTTGCTGTCACCGAAAACATTTTCCTATGCAGACATTATTAAGTAAATTTGGAAACTCTTGGTGAAACCCTCTGTGAGAGTCTGGCTTTGAATTTTTTTTTTTTTTTTTGAGACAGAGTCTCACTCTGTCGCCCAGGCTGGAGAGTAGTGGCACAATCTCGGCTCGCTACAACCTCCACCTCCCAGGTTCAAGTGATTATCCTGCCTCAGCCTCCCGAGCAGCTGGGATTACAGGCTTCTGCCACCACACCCGGCTAATTTTGTTTTGTTTTTGTTTTTTTCCCCAAGATGGAGTCTCACTCTGTCGCCCAGGCTGTAGTGCAGTGGTTCAATCTCAGCTCGCTGCAGCCTCCACCTCCCAGGTTCAAGCAATTCTCCTGCCTCAGCCTCCCAAGTAGCTGGGATTACAGGGGTGTGCCATTATGCCCAGCTAATTTTTTTTTGTATTATTATTGGAGATAGGGTTTCACCATATTGGCCAGGCTGGTCTCGAACTCCTGACCTCAGGTGATCTGCCCACCTCAGTCTCCCAAAGTGCTGGGATTACAGGCATGAGCCACCGCTCCCAGCCAGCTTTGACATTCTTTGTATGTGGCTGTCACAGCTGGCAAAGACCTAACTAAGGCACATAGTCTCAGATGGAAGAAGTGTGTCATTGGCTGCGTTTAATCTCGCTGCTCCTTTTTTAGTCCCACCCTTCATTATGCAGAGGCATTTGCTGGAATTTGCTCATGTACTCATGGCTAAATCTTCTGGCCGATTTCTGAACAGGGATCTTTTTCAGAAGCCCCTGTGTAGAGGGCTGGCTGATTTGCAACCTGAGTGCATCCCAGGGAATCTACTTGCGCTGGCTGCAAGCAATATGCCAAGTGGACAGGAGAGGGCGCCCGTGTCAGCCTGGGGATGGCGCCTGCCTGAGAAAGCACCAGAGGCCATCTCGGTCATTGACCCCGGTGTATCTCTGTATTAGTTTGTGCTCATCTGTAATTAATTGAAAACCCAGCCAGTAAATGTCAATCAAACCTTAAATCAAAAGGGTGTTTTTTGCTGGCTTTTCAGTAAGCCCTGAGGAAGGCCTGTTCTTGGTTGGTTTGGTGGCTCAGTGGTGTCATTGGGAACCTGAGGACTCCATCTCTGCTGTGTTGGTGCTCAGGCAGTCCTCATGGCCTCAGTAGGGCTGCTGCGGCTCCAGGCATTGTGCCTTTATGTTTCATAAGGGAGGAAGTCTATGCGTGTGTGTATGGAGGGGCGGGTGGTCAGGTAAGTGAGGGTAACGCTTCAAGGAGGAAAATCCTTTTCCAGAAGCCCCCAGGAAACTCCCCTCACTGCCAGCTTACCACAACCGGGTCACCTCCCACCCCTTGGTGTATGGGAGGTTGCAGTGGTGAGTATCGGCTTCTAAACTCTAATGGAGGTGGGGAGGATGGAATTACTAAGACAGTAGAGAATAATATAAAGTAGCACTGGTAATCAGACGCACTGAAGTTGTTCTGAAATCTTTTTTGTTTATTTTGAGACAGAGTCTTGCTCTGTCGCCCAGGCTGGAGTGCAGTGGCGCGATCTCGGCTCACTACAACCTCTGCCTCCTGGGTTCAAGTGATTCTTCTGCTTCAGCCTCCTGAATAGCTGTGACTACAGGTGCCCGCCACCACGCCCAGCTAATTTTTGTATTTTTAGTAGAGACGGTGTTTCACTATGTTGGCCAGGGAGGTCTTGAACTCCTGACCTCAAGTAATCTGTCTGCCTTGGCCTTCCAAAGTGCTGGGATTACAGGCGTGAGCCACAGCGCTCGGCCCTAGCCTCTCTGTTAATTGCGTCCTCTGAGCCTTAGAAACCCCTGAGTATCCTCTATACCAAGTTGAGTTGGTCTCTCCAGGCCTGGGAGGAGAGTAGAGGTGGGGATCATTTTCTGGGGTGTGGCTATGCTTCAGTCCATTAGGAGGCTGAGTAATTCATTCACTCAACAAATCTTTATTTAGTGCCTGCTGTGTGCCAGGAACTGTTCTAAGAGGCATGACTCAGTAGTCAACAGAACAAAGATCCTTGCTCTCATGGGGCACATTTGAGGGTATTAGTTACCTGCCTAGTGACCCCAGGGCACAGAGGGGTGCCTCATCCCGGATTTCCTGCCAAATTCCCAGGCTGAATCCAGTGGTCCACCCTGCGTCACATCCCCATCCCAGCACCGTCTCTGTGGCCCAGGGAAAGCAGTGCCCTAATTGGCCAGGCTCAGGAGTGGGGTTACCTCCTCCTGAATCCCTTGAACCAAAAGTTGGGGAGATAGGATCCCCCAGGATGCTGGGCAGATGGAACCAGTCATGCCCCTCTGGTAACTGGAGCATTGTGTGTTACTGCAGTCTCGGGTTGCTGTAATGGAAAGATCAAGCCAGGTCTGTGGGAGGAAGCACTGCCTATTGCGGCCTGCACAATTCTGTTAATACTTGGAGCACTGTTAGGGCAAGCTTAAAACTGGCTGGATTGGGCGGGGGCACAGTGGCTCACACCTGTAATCCTAGCAATTTGGGAGGCCGAGGTGGGCGGATCACCTGAGGTCAGGAGTTCGAGACCAGCCTGGCCAACATGGTGAAACCCCATCTCTACTAAAAATACAAAAATTAGCCAGATGTGGTGGGGCATGCCTGTAATCCCAGCTACTCGGGAGGCTGAGGCAGGAGGGTGGCTTGAAACCAGGAGGCAGAGGTTGCAGTGAGCCGAGATTGTGTCACTGCTCTCCAGCCTAGGTGGCAGAGCAAGACTCTGTCTCAAAAAATAAATAAATAACAAAATAAATAAATAAATTGACTGGATTGCCAGGTGGGGTGGCCAACACCCGTAATACCAGCATTTTGGGAGGCTAAAACTGGAGAATCACTTGACCTTTGGAGGCTCAGGTTGTAGTGAGCTGAGATCGTACCAGTGCACTCCAGCTTGTGTGATAGAGTGAGACTGTGTCTCAAAATAACAGTAATAATCATTGTCATCATCATCATCATCTGACTGGATCACATCTGGGGAAGTGCAACCAGGGCAGAGACTGGCTTGAAGCTACGTTTACCCTGAATAATAATTTATTGACTGATAATAACAGCTTTTATTTAATATGCTTTCCATTATCTCAGCAAATGATCTTAACCACCTTATTTAGGGAGTTTATGACCATCCTGGTTTTATGAGTGAGGAAATCTCTCAAAGCGAGAGAAACAGGTTCCCTGAGGCAGTACAGGATAAGAAGTCATATCCCACTGGCTCCCAAACTCCTCCTCTTATGTTTAATTATTGGCACTTGATTTTTTTGGTATATTCTTTGTTGAGATATAGTATCTGTACAATGCAAGGTACAGATCTAAAGGCTACAGTTCAATGAGTATTGGTACATGCATATACCCATGTAACTAGTACCCAAGATATAAAACATCGTCATTACTCTAGAAAGGTCCCTCCTCCCCTGCTCTGTCTCCTTATCTGACTTCTCTCCTTGTTGATTAGTTCTGCTTGTTGTTCAACTTGATATAAATGGAATCATACACTATGAAATTTATGTTTAGCTTTTGTTCATTTGATACTTCTGAGATACTTCTTGCTGAATGTATCAATAGTTCATTTCTTCTTCTTCTTTTTTTTTTTTTTTTTTTGACACAGGGTCTCCCCCTGTCACCCAGGCTGGAGGGCAGTGGCACAAACACGGCTCACTGCAGCCTCAACCTCCTGGGATCAAGCGATCCTCCTGCCTCAGCCTCCTGAGTAGCTGGGACCACAGGCACATGCCACCATGCCCGGCTAATTTATTTTATTTTTTGTAGAGATGGATCTCACTAAGTTGCCGATAGTGGTCTTGAACTCATGGGCCCAGGTGATCCTCACCGCTTGGCCTCCCAAAGTGCTGGGGTACAAGTGTGAGCCACCATGCCTGTCTAGTTTATTTTGTTATTTTGTTTATTACTCTTAATAAAAGTGTATTCTTTTCTTTTATTACAGTATATGAATATGCCATGCTTTGTTTAATAACTGTCCTAGTGATGGGCATTTGGGTTGTTTCCAAGTTATTGCAAGTAAAGGTGCTATGAACATTTGTGTACAAGCCTTTATATGGATGTTTTCATTTCTCTTGGTAGAAATGAAATTCTCCCAGTAATTATCTAGGAGTAAAATTTCTGGGTTATATGGTAAGGTTATATTTAATTTTATAAGCAGCTGGCTGAGCCAGGTGCGGTGGCTCACGCCTGTAATCCCAGCACTTTGGGAGGCTAAGGCGGGCGGATCACAAGGTCAGGAGATTGAGACCAGCCTGGCCAACATGGTGAAACCCTGTCTCTACTAAAAATACAAAAAAAAAATTAGCTGGGCATGGTGGCACGTGCCTGTAGTCCCAGCTATTTGGGAAGCTGAGGCAGGAGAATCACTCGAACCTAGGAGGCAGAGGTTGCAGTGAGTCGAGATCATCCACTGCACTCCAGCCTGGGCGACAGAGCGAGACTCCGTCTCAAAAAAAAAAAAAAGAGAAAAATCAGGCTGGTGGATCATCTAAGGGAGTGGTGGCTCACTCCTGTAATCCCAGCTCATTGGGACTCCAAGGCGGGTATTATCATCTGAGGTCAGGAGTTAGAGACCAGCCTGGCCAACATGGCAGAGCCCTAACTCTACTAAAAATACAAAAATTAGCAGGGCACAGTGGTCTGCGCCTGTAATCCCAGATACTCGGGAGGCTGAGGCAGGAGAATCACTTGAACCCTGGCAGCAGAGGTTGCAGTGAGCTGAGATTGCGCCTTTGCACTCCAGCCTGGGCGACAGAGCAAGACTCCATCTCAAAAAACAATAATAATAATAAAAAAAAGAATATTAAACCAATCTTATATTCCTGCAGAAATCCCACTTGATTATGCTATATTATCTTTTTTATATATTGCTGGCTTTCGTTTGCTAATATTTTCCTAAAGATTTCATCTGTGGTCATCAGTGACATATTCTATAATTTTATTTTCTTGTATGTCTTTGTCAGATTTGATTGATTGATTGATTTGATTAAGACCAAGTGTCACTCTGTCACCCAGGCTGCAGTACAGTGGCAGGATCATGGCTCACTGCAGCCTTGAACCTGGGGGCTCAAGTGATCCTCCTTTCTGAGCCTTCTGAGTAGCTGGGGCCACAGGCATGCACCACCACGTACAGCTAATTTAAAAATCTTTTTGTGGCCGGGCGCGGTGGCTCATGGCTATAATCCCAGCCTCTGGGAGGCTGAGGCAGGTGGATCACTTAAGGTCAGGAGTTCAAGACCAGCCTTACCAATATGGTGAAACCCTGTCTCTACTAGAATTACAAAAATTAGCCGTAATTAGACTAAATACAAAAGTTAGTCTCACTCTGTCGCCCGGGTTGGAGTGCAATGGCATGATCTCAGCTCACCACAACCTCCGCCTCCCAGGTTCAAGCGATTCTCCTGCATCAGCCTCCCGGGTAGCTGGGATTACAGGGTCATGCCACCATGCCCGGCTAATTTTTGTATTTTTACTAGAGACGGGTTTTTACCATGTTGGCCAGGCTGGTCTCAAACTCCTGACCTCAGGTGATCCACCCGCCTCGACCTCCCAAAGCGCTGGGATTACAGGCGTGAGCCACCACGCCCAGCCACTAGACATCAAATTATGTAATGCGTGCAGTTTCGATCAGTGGTATACTAATAGAAATTGCATGATAATGCAATCCAAGAGAAAATTTTGTTTTTTGTTTTTTGTTTTGTTTTTTGAGACGGAGTCTTGCTCTATCACCAGGCTGGAGTGCAGTGGCACCATCTCGGCTCACTGCAACCTCCGCCTCCCAGGTTCAAGCAATTCTCCTACCTCAGCCTCCGAAGTAGCTGGGACCACAGGCGTGTGCCACCACGCCCAGCTAATTTTTTTTTTTTCTTTATTTTTAGTAGAGATGAGGTTTCACCATGTTGGCCAGGATGGTCTCGATCTCTTGACCTCGTGATCCGCCCACCTCGGTCTCCCGAAGTGCTGGGATTACAGGCGTGAGCCACCACGCCCGGCCGAGAAAAGTTTTAACTAAAATCACAAAGAATGAAATTTTTGATTTTAATTTATAGATACATTTTTGTTTCAGAGACTTATGATAGGACATTTGAGCATAAAAAAGTCACATTAGGATAAAACTTTATAGAGAAAGTAAAATGTAGGTGGAACTTCAAAGATAGCAGGGAACAATGCAAACTCTTAAAAAAGAGATAGTTGGTGTATTTTTAAATGGCTTTGGAGGGAGACAGAGAAGCAGGGGTCTGGGAGCCACTGGGATGTCTTTGACCCAGATCCTTCCCATCGTCATCACCTCATGGCCAGGCTCACAGCTAAGCAGAGCCCCTATCTGGACCTCAGTGGCAGGTGTGGTTTTGTCCCCAGCAACACCAGGCAGGGTTACTGGAGTTCAAGGCCAAGGCTGAGTGGGCTCTTGATGTCTGCATTGCCCACCAGCCCCATGCCAGAGGAACAGGCTTGTTTTCAGTGTGGCACTTGCCCCCTGGGCTGTTCTCAGAGTCCTCCTGGTTTACCCCCAGTCAAGGAGGGATCCTGGGCTTAACCCCACCCTCAGTCACTTTGCATGTGTGGTCCTAGTCTCCAGTTCCTTCTGCTTCTTGTCACCGCCCTTTCCCCCTCTCCCCTTCTTCCCTCTACCTGCCCCCCTTCCAGGGTGCCTAGGTCTCAGCAGCCTCCCTGCTGGCTCAGTTACCTCTCAGCCATCTGCTCCCGCCTCAAGGCTTGCATTGATTCCCTCCCCTTCCGCCTAGTCGCATACCCTCCCAACCCCCCCACCCCCACCCTGATGCTTCTCTTTGTTCTTGTGGCTTCTGCTGTCTTTCCTTCCAGGACTGCTATTTTATTGGGTCTTGAGGAGGGAGCAGAGGTGCAGAGGTATAGGCTTAACCTGTGGAATCCTGGGGGCCAAGGTGGCTTGTTTGATTTTTTTGAAAAAAGTTTTAATTATCTGTTTTGGTCAGGCACAGTGGTGCACACCGGTAATCCCAGCACTTTGGGAGGCCAAGACAGGCCGATTGCTTGAGCTCAGGAGTTCAAGACCAGCCTGGGCAACATGACAAAATCTCATCTGTATTTAAAAAAAAAAAAAAAGGCCGGGCGCGGTGGCTCACACCTGTAATCCCAGCACTTTGGGAGGCCGAGGCAGGTGGATCATGAGGTCAGAAGTTTGAGACCAGCCTGGCCAACATGGTGAAACCCCATCTCTACTAAAAGTACAAAAATTAGCAGGGCATGGTGGCGTGCGCCTGTAGTCCCAGCTACTTGGGAGGCTGAGGTGGGAGGACTGTTTGATCGCTGGGATTCCAGGCCACAGTAAGCCATGATCCTGCTACTGTACTTCAGTCTGGGTGACAGAGTGAAACCCTGTCTCAAAACAAAAACAAAAAACAAGACTTCCTTACTCTATTTCAGCTGCTGACAGAAATGCTGGAATTTGTGAGATTATAGTGTCAGAGGGTCTCTCTTGGCTTTTTAATTGTTATCATAGGCTGGGCACAGTGACTCACACCTGTAATCCCAGCACTTTGGGAGGCCGAGGCGGGTGGATCACAAGGTCAGGAGATCGAGACCATCCTGGCTAACACGGTGAAACCCCGTCTCTACTAAAAATACAAAAATTAGCTGGGCATGGTGGCGGGCGCCTGTAGTCCCAGCTACTCAGGAGGCTGAGGCAGGAGAACGGTGTGAACCTGGGAGGCGGAGCTTGCAGTGAGCCAAGATCGAGCCACTGCACTCCAGCCTGGGCGACACAGTGAGACTCCGACTCTAAAACAAACAAAAAAATTGTTATCATACACTATGCTGCAGGATTAAGGAGCCCAGCAAGGCCTTTCCCACCTGGACGGGTGAACCTGACATAAATGCCCAGAAGCAGAATGACTGACTCCAGGGTGTGCAAGGATTTACACTTACACCAGCAAATGGGTGAGAAGGTCCATTTCCTCACAGTCGAGCCACCTGGGGGCTGTTTCTGTTTTCATTTTTCTACTTTGAACTAATTTTAGACCCACAGAAGAGTTACAATAAAAGTACAGAGAGTTCCCACATACCTTTCACCCAGAGTCTCCGGATGATAACATTTTACATAACCACAATGCAATGAGGCGACCCAGGAAATGAACACTGGTATAAAGCCTGCAGGCCTCATTCCTATCTCAGCAGTGTTTCCACTGGTGTCCTTTTCTGCCTGTTCCAGGATCTTCTCCAGAAATGCACGTTCATTTAGGTGTCATTTCTTTTATTTATTTATATTTTTTTTGAGACTGAGTCTCGCTGTGTCTCCCAGGCTGGGCAGTGGCGCGATCTCAGCTCACTGCAACCTCTGCCTCCCAGGTTCAAGAGCTTCTCCTGCCTCAGCCTCCTGAGTAGCTGAGATTACAGGCGTGCGCCATCACACCCAGCTAATCTTTTTTTTTTTAGTAGAGACAGGGTTTCATCATGTTGGCCAGACTGGTCTTGAACTCCTGACCTCATGATCCACCTGCTTTGGCCTCCCAAAGTGCTGGGATTTCAGGTGTGAGCCACCGCCCCCGGCCTATCATGTTTCTTAATAAGGGAATTTCTTTTTCCTTTTTCTTTTCTTTTTTTTTTTTTTTTTTTTGAGATGGAGTCTCACTGTATCACCCAAGCTGGAGTGCAGCACCATCTCAGCTCACTGCAGCCTCTGCCTCCTGGATTCAAGCGATTCTCCTGCCTCAGCCTCCCAAGTAACTGGGATTACAGGTGTGCATCACCACTCCCGGCTAATTTTTTATTTTTAGTAGAGATGGGGTTTTGCCATGTTGGCCAGGCTGGTCTTGAACTCCTGACTTCAAGTGATCCAGTGCCTCGGCCTCTTAAGTGCTGGGATTATTATAGGCGTGAGCCATAATGCCTGGCCCTAATAAGAGAATTTCTAAACATTCCTCATTTGGAAATTTTTTTCTCATCTTTTATTATTTCTTCCCCATCTTTCATTTTTTTATTTTTATTTTATTTTATTATTTATTTATTTATTTTTGAGACGGAGTGTCGCTCTGTTGCCCAGGCTGGAGTGCACTGACTGGCATGGTCTCGGCTCACTGCAGCCTCTGCCTCCCGGGTTCAAGCGATTGTCTTGCCTCAGCCTCCCGGGTAGCTGGGATTACAGATGCCTGCCACCACGCCCAGCTAATTTTTGTATTTTTAGTAGAGACGGGGTTTCACCATATTGGTCAGGCTGGTTGCAAATTCCTGACCTCAGGTGATCTGCCCGCCTCGGCCTCCCAAAGTGCTGGGATCTTCCCCATCTTTTATTATCAGCCAACTTCCTTGTATGAAAGATAAGGATTTGATGTTTTTCCTTTCCCTCTCCCATATTAAATAACCTCTCCCTCCTCCCTAGTATACAGTTCCGGTTACCGGTTCCACGGGATTTAGCCTCTCAGTAGCCAGCATGTTCGTCATGGCCGTCTTGCCATCGTGGGCTCTAGCAGTCACTACTGTGTCCTTATGACGACCCTTCACCATCGAGTAGTGGACCCTATGAGGAATACCTTCCCTTCATTTTACAAGGAAGCAGCCATCGTATGCAGGCGTGTTCCCAATAGTGGGGAAGAGGTGCTTTGTCCTTTTTTTCTTTCTTTCTTTTTTGAGATGGAGTTTTGCTCTTGTTGCCCAGGCTGGAGTGCAATGGCATGATCTCGGCTCACCGTAACCTCCACCTCCCAGGTTCAAGCGATTCTCCTGCCCCAGCCTCCCGAGTAGCTGGGATTACAGGCATGCGCCACCATGCCTGGCTAATTTTGTATTTTTAGTAGAGACAGGGTTTCTCCATGTTGGTCAGGCTGGTCTTGAACTCCCGACCTCAGGTGATCCACCCACCTCGGCCTCCCAAAGTGCTGGGATTACAGGCGTGAGCCACCGCGCCCGGCCTGTCCTATTTGTGCATAAGCTCCCGAGCCCCGGTCCCCCACCACGGAGGGAGCTGTTTGGTCTTAGCAGCACATTTCCTGAGGAAAGGGTTGCATTCCAGCCACCTGCAGTTTCATGCTCAGAAAAATCTTGAACAATAGTTAACTGTGGCCAAGTACGTCACTTTACTTGCCTCAGTGGGTTAAGATATCCCTCCTTTCCCGGGGAAATCTCTCTGGGCTTGGTCAGCCACTGTGTTGTGACCTAGAGTGTCTGAAGTGCCTGTGGCCTGGAGCTCCGGGGCTGAGAGAGATCTGAGCATAGGAGTTTGGGTCCTGAAGTTCTGAGTGGCCCCTGGAAGTAGATGTGACAGTCGAGTGAGAAAAGGGCTTAGGAAATGGTGCCCTGAGAAATGACAGCCACTGAGGCCGAGGAAAGGGTCTATATCAGAGACAGATGTGTAGAGGGGGCCTGGAGCCAATCCAGGAAATCCAGGAGGAGGGGCAATGCACAGTGCCACATTCTCGAGGGGACAGATAACACCAAAAGCATCAGGAGAGAGAGAAGGGAGATGGGGGAGCCAGAGACAGGAGCCATACCCATTGTCCATGGTCACCTCCTGGGCACCTCCACAGATCAGCTTTTTCATTAAGTGCCTGCTCTGTGCCTATCTGGGGCTGGGGACAGTGCAGTGACCGAGTTAGCCTCAGGTCCTGCCTGCATCGGCCTCACAGTCCAGTTGGAGAGACAGACTTGTCACCATGCAGTGAGGACCCAGAGCAGTCAGAGCTCAGATAGAGGATCCCAGGGGTCTGGAGGTCAGGGAAGGCTTCCTGGAGGAGGGGACATCTGAGTTGGGATTCTCCGGTATGGAAGACAGATGAAAGGGAGTGAGTCTGGAGGGAGAGAGTTCAGGGAGGAGACGGAAAACGATTCTATGTAACCCAAGAGTAGATTCACACCAGTGGGTAGGATGTACTTCCAGGAATAAAATTCCTGACAGAAGTCAGGAAGAGGATATTAGGTTAACATTTACAAACTGAGCATTTTCTCCCTTACTCTGTCATTGCCATTCTCCCAATCCTGTCAGTTGAGTATTTTGACCCCCAGTTTTGATAAGGAAACACCAAGGCTCAGCTTGCGAATCCAGAAAGTGACAGAACCAGGATTTGAGTCCAGGTCTGTGCGACTCCAAAGGTCTTGCTGCCATTTATTAAGGCCGGCCTCGTGTTAAGCCCAGGGAGCTTTGAGAACCTTGAGAATGTGTCTGACCCAGCCTATGGTTCAGGGAGGGCTTCCTGGAGGAAGGGACAGTCCAGCTGAGATCTAAAAGAAGAATTGGGAAAAGACAGGAAGAGAGAAATGGAGGGGGCCAGGTGCGGTGGCTCACACCTGTAATCCCAGCACTTTGGGAGGCTGAGGCGGGTGGATCACGTGAGGTCAGGAGTTCGAGACCAGCCTGGTCAACATGGTGAAACCCTGTCTCTACCAAAATATACAAAAATTAGCCAGGTGTGGTGGTATGTGCCTGTAGTCCCAGCTACATGGGAGGCTGAGGTGAGAGAATCACTTGAACCCGGGAAGCGGAGGTTGCAGTGAGCCGAGATTGTGCCACTACAGTCCACCTGGGACAGCATGGCGAGACTCCATCTCAAAAAAAAAAAAAAAAAAAAAAGAAAGAAAAAGAGGGAAAGAAGAGAGAGAAGAGAAAGAAAGAAAAGAAAAGAAAGAAAGAAAGACCATTGTCCATATTCTTTTAAGTAATAGAGAAAGTAGGAATACTGACTTACTCATTTTATGAGTCCAATAGAATACTGATATCAAAGCCTGATAAAGTCATTACAGAAAAGGAAAATTATAGGTTAAGATCTCTCATGAAGTTGGAGTTAGGCCAGACACGGTGGCTCACACCTGTAGTCCCAGTACTTTGGGAGGCCAAGGTGAATGGATCACTTGAGGTCAGGAGTTTGAGACCAGCCTGGCCAACATGGTGAAATCCCGTCTCTACTAAAAATACAAAAATTAGTCGGACATGGTGGTGGGCGCCTGTAATCCCAGCTACTTGGGAGGCTCAGGCAGGAGAATCACTCGAACCCGGGAGGCAGAGGTTGCAGTGAGCCAAGATCAAGCCACTGCACTCCAGCCTGGGCAACAAGAGCAAGACTCTGTATCAAAAAAAAAAGCACCAAAGTCTCATGAAGCAGCACTCAGAGGGTCTCCTCTCTGCCTTAGTCACACCACACTGGAGAGTGTTTCCATGGCCACTGCATTGCAGAGCGGAGATCATGCCACTGCACTCCAGCCTTGGGGACAAAGCGAGACTCCGTCTAAAAAAAATAAAAAAAAAAAACAGCAGAACATAGAATAATAAAAACTGCATACAAATCCCCTGTAGAAATGGGGGAGCGGAGAAAGGGCAGGCCGCATGGGGGCAGAGTGCTCACCTTTCATAGTGGGGCTGGATTATGAGTAGGTAACGATGGCGTAGATCTGAACAAACCTCCAGTTGAAGAGCTCAGAAATGAGTGAGGTATGCTTACTATGGGCTGTCCAGGAGATGGCGCTAGGGGAAAACAGGCTGGCGACCGCAGTAGTTGAGGGTTCCTCTGAGGAGGGGACTTTGGCTTTACATTTTATAGTTTGAGTACTTTGTTTTCTTGCCATGTGTTACTTTTATTTGCGGCAGGAGTTGGGGGTGGGGCGACGGGGAATGGTAGGTTTGTTCTTTTCTTTTCTTTTTTTGAGACAGTCTTGCTCTTGTTGCCCAGGCTGGAGTGCAGTGGCGTGGTCTTGGCTCACGGCAACCTCCACCTCCTGGGTTCAAGCGATTCTCCTGTCTCAGCCTCCCGAGTAGGTGGGATTACAGGGGCCTCCCACCACGCCCCGCTAATTTTTTGTATTTTTACTGGAGATGGGTTTCACCATGTTGGCCAGGCTGGTCTTGAACTCCTTACCTCATGATCTGCCTGTCTCAGCCTCCCAAAGCGCTGGGATTAAAGGCCTGAGCTACCGCGCCCAGCCAGTTTGTTCTTTTCTTCTCACCAATTCCTTCTGATTGCTGCGTGGGGGACAATTGCAGAGGGGTGAGGCTGGGGCCGGCAGGTGGGAAGGAGGCTGGAGGCGGGACTCACTTATGTGTTAAGCTTAGATCTAATGAGCATCATGCGTGTGCCTGGCCTGGCACTGGGCAGTGCTGGGGACACAGCAGTGACTGTGACAGCCCTGGGCCCCACCCTTGTGAGGCTTACAGGACAGTGGGGAGACTGATTGCAGACAGGTAACTGGATAGCCACTATTCCTGGTTGTGATAGGCACTCAGAAGGGGATAGACAGGCTGTATTCCTCCTATTCAGGAGGTCAGGGAGGAGAACGTTGGTCAGAGCTGGGATGGATCCTGGACCAGGACAGCAGAAGGGAATCCACTGGGAGAGATGTTCAAGATGCAGAATGGACCCGACACGCAGCTGAGAGGCTGTGGGAGAAGGGGAACAGCTGGGCTGAGGCCCCCGTCTCTAGCCAGGGGACAGGTGTGGGGCCAGGTGCTGGGTTCAGGTTTGGATGTGCTGAGTGTGAGAGGTCTAGGAGACATCTGGAGCGTGTTGACCCCCGCAAGTCTGGTGAGTCCTCCAGCTTAGCCTGTCCCGGCCCCTCACAGCTGTCCCTTCTAGAATCACAGCCCTGTGATTCATCCCCACCTGGGCCTTGTTTCCTGAACCCCACATCTGACCGCTGGCCCGAGGGAGAATGCCGTCGGCCCCTGCTCTGAAAGCCCTGAAAGCCCATGCCTGCGTGCACACACGCGTGCACACACACACACACCCTCTTGATTTGATTTCCTGTGGCCTGGGTATGTGCCCACTCCCATTGGCACACCTAGACCCACCTGCTGGCCCAGATCCCCATGCTTGGTCTGCACTGAGACACTTGCATTTCCACGCTGGGAACCTCACCCAGGAAGGCTAGAGGATCTGGAACCCTCACCCCTCACCACTCTCTGGCCACTGTGCTAGGTGTCCCTGACATGAAGGAGGCAGTGACAGTTACGGGCCCAGCTCTGGGCCACCACCAGGTCTGGCGAGTGTCATTGTCAGGATGATGCTGTCCTTCCTGTGTTACAGAGGGGCCTTGGGGCAGGCTGTCATTGCTCAGGCAGCAGGTGGCGGAGCCCCGGGGGGACCCCAGATCAGCCTGACCCTAAGACCTCAGTGTGGGAGGGGTCTCCACAGCCTGGACCCCAGGAACCCACAAGCCCAGGGCCTAAGTCACAGCTGTAACAGTAACTGCAGCAGCTGACAGTGACAGTGACAGTGACTTCTCGGGCCCTAAGCTTGCACCTCAGGTCTTCCCTCCAGCTCCAGCAGAGCTCCCCAAGCCTTCCTGCCACCCCACCCCTTTGAAGATGAAAAATGTGTAGTGGCTGGGCTCAGTGGCTGTCTCCTGTCGTCCCAGTACTTTGGGAGGCTGAGGCAGGATGATTGCTTGAGCCCAGGAGTTCAAGACCTGCTTTGGCAACATAGCAAGACCCAGTCTCTACCAAAAAACAATTTAAAAACAGCCAGGCATGGTGGGGCATCTATAGTTCTAGCGGCTCCAGAGGCTGAGGCAGGAGAATTGCTTGAGTCTAGGTGTTCGAGGTTGCAGTGAACTGTGATGGAGCCGCTGCCTTCCATCCTGGACCACAGAGTGAGAGCCCATCTGTTAAATAAATAAATAAATAAGATGGAATATGGCAAGACCCCATCTCTACCCAAAAAAAATAAAATTAGCCAGGCATGGTGGCATGCACCTGTTGTCCTAGCTACTCAGGAGGCTGAGGTGGGAAGATGACTCGAGCCTGGGAGGCAGAGGTTGCAGTGAGCTGAGATTGTTCCACAGCACTCCAGCCTGGGCAACAGAACGAGATCCTGTCTCAGAAAAAGAAAAAATAAATTGTGTGCCCTCTAGTGCATTTTCAAGTTGACAAGTAAAACTTTTCTTCATTAACCTTAAGTAGTTGTGAAGGATGGAATTTCTGGTTCTGGTGTGTTATGATACTGACATGTTCAAACAGCTGGTGCATCCTTCCCTTCATATTTATTGCAGTTCGCATACAATAATGATTTGATGCCTACCAATGTCTGGTTTAAAGATATATATATATAGGCCAGGCATAGTGGCTCACGATTGCAATCCCAGCACTTTGGGAGGCCGAGGCAGCCAGATCACTTGAGCCCAGGAGTTCAAGACCAGCCTAGGCAACATACTGATAAACCCCATCTCTATTTTAAAAAAAATACAAAAATGACTAGGCACGGTGGCTCACGCCTGTAATCCCAACACTTTGGGAGGCCGAGGTGGGTGGATCACGAGGTCAGGAGATCGAGACCATCCTGGCTAACACGGTGAAACCCCATCTCTACTAAAAATATAAAAAAATTAGCTGGGCGTGGTAGCGGGCGCCTGTAGTCCCAGCTACTCAGGAGGCTGAGGCAGGACAATGGTGTGAACCCGGGTGGCGGAGCTTGCAGTGAGCCGAGATCGCGCCACTGCACTCCAGCCTGGGCGACAGAGTGTGACTCCATCTCAAAAAAAAAAAAAATATTAGCCAGGCATACCTGTAGTCCCAGTTACTCAAGGGACTGAGGTGGGAGGATCATTTGAGCCTGGAAGGTCGAGGCTGCAGTGAGCCATGATTGCGCCACTACACTCCAGCCGGGGCGACAAAGCAAGACCCCGTCTCGAAAATAATACAAATAAAAACAAGCTCTTCTTTTTCAGTCAGAAATTTCACATGGTTTCTTTTTGTTCATGTACTTTTGTATTTACAGTCCACATACCCACAGAATTCCATCTAGTGATTTATATGTCGGCAACCAAAATACATACAGAAATTTACATGTTAATTTCCTGTGACCATAAGGTTCTAAATGCTAAGTTATTTTCTTCTGGATTGAGTTAATTTTGAAATTATTAGTGCGCAGTTACTTTAAAATGTTCATCTTTTGGATGGACATGGTGGCTCATGGCTGTAATCCCAGCAGTTTGAGAGGCCAACGCAGGTGGATCACGAGGTCAGATGATCGAGACCAGCCTGGCCAACGTGGTGAAACCCCTTCTCTACTAAAAATACGAAAAATTAGACGGGCATGGTGGCGCGTGCCTGTAGTCCCAGCTACTCAGGAGACTGAGGCAGGGGAATTGCTTGAACCTGGGAGGAGGAGGTTGCAGTGAGCCAAGACTGTGCCACTGCACTCCAGCCTGGCAACAGAGTGAGACTCCGTCTCTAAAACAACAACAACAAAAAGTTCATCTTTTATACATTTTCATGAATAATTACTAAACCTTAAAAGTAAAAGGAGATGTTGCAAATGAGTCTGCAAAGGCACCACACAAGGGTTCCCTCTGTGGTTTCATGTGCCCTTGGATGAATATTAATTGTTGCAGGAGTGAGTCAGGATGCAGCATCAATTCTGCATTGGTTTTAAAGACTCAAGTGCTGAGAACCTTCCTTCATAAAGAAGCAGCTAGGCAAGGAAGGAGTTTTTGTTCCAGCAGCACCACTCACCTCTTGAGCTCCCACCAAGGTATGTGCCCAAAACCTCACTGTGAAGAGCTCGCAGCTCTTAGCTGCACCTTCAGGGCTGATGAAATTCTAGGATTGGAGCCATCAGACTTGCAAAAATGATTGATTATTACAAGTGTATCTAAGTGTTCAGAGGCACTTAGCATCGACTGCCACCTTAAGCTGCCCTTTGGAGCCAGGAGCCCCCCTCTCCCCCATCTGTAGCCCCAACTTTGCATTTTGGGAAAATAAGGCAAGAAAGGAGGTTGGTCTTTCTCCTGGGAAGTGGGTGGGGCGACAGTGCCAGGGCAGGACAGCCAGGATGGCAGTGGCTTAAGGGAGGAACACAGGGAACTAAGCATCTGGCAACTGGACCTTTACACCGTCCATGAACTTGGCGCTGTGGAAGCTCCTGGTGTCCCTCTTGGGGCGCGGCCCCTCAAGTCCGAGGACCTCCCTTCTGGGGCAGTGTTTCTTATTCCTGGCTGCTCGCTAGAATCATCTGGTCTTTTAAAAGACCCCTGGGTTACCCAGGCTAGGTGACTGCATTCCCTGGGTGAGAGGGGTGGGGCTTGCAGGGGGCTCCCAGAGCGCAGCCTGACCCCTCTCTTCCCCCGCAGTGTATCACTGGGTGGAGATGCGGACCAAGATGCGCATCATGGGCTTCCGGGGCACGGTCATCAAGCCGCTGAACGAGGAGGCGGCAGCTGAGCTGGGCGCAGAGCTGCTGGGCGAAGCCACCATCTTCATCGTGGGCGGCGGCTGCCTAGTGCTGGAGTACTGGCGCCACCAGGCGCAGCAGCGCCACAAGGAGGAGGAGCAGCGTGCTGCCTGGAACGCGCTGCGGGACGAGGTGGGCCACCTGGCGCTGGCGCTGGAAGCGCTGCAGGCGCAGGTGCAGGCGGCGCCGCCACAGGGCGCCCTGGAGGAACTGCGCACAGAGCTGCAAGAGGTGCGCGCCCAGCTCTGCAATCCCGGCCGGTCCGCTTCCCACGCAGTGCCTGCGTCCAAGAAATAGGAGCTTGCTGGATGGAACCTGAATTTGGACATGGCCTATGTACCTAACGTGGCCTTCTTCCCGCACCACCCTTGCCTGCGCTGGCCCAGTGGAAACCACCAGGATCTTGATGCAACTTGGCATTTGGTTACCCCTGCTGATAAGAGCAGCCGTTACCTGCCACTGGGACCAGCAGGTGAAGCGTTGCAACATAGCCCCCTCCATCATCCTTCACCTCCTATCCCCCACTCCAAACCAGGACGACCTGCAAGGTCCCAGCCAGCAGGACACCGTGGGCACTCTGGCAAATGAAAAAATGGAACCTGGTCTTGAGCTGAATCAATGTGTTATTGTTACCCCCACCCCCGGTTTACCTGATCAGTGTTAACCTTTACTGGGACACTCATCTGTTACACTGGAACACCTTCTTCTTTTTGTCAATCGGCACAGACCACTGTAAGGAAATGCAGTGTGTTGCAGTGGCCTTTTCTCCCCCTCACCTTCTAAGGTCAGCTCTAGCTGAGCATCAGTGCTCTCTTAAGGAGGAAAAAAACGGTGCGGCTGGGAGCGGTGGCTCACGCCTGTAATCCTAGCACCTTGGGAGGCCGAGGCGGGCGGATCACTTGAGGTCAGGAGTTCCAGACCAGCCTGGCCAACATGGTGAAACTCCGTCTCTACTAAAAATACAAAAATTAGCCGGGTGTGGTGGGGTGCGCTTGTAATCCCAGCTACTCGGGAGGCTGAGGCAGGAGAATTGCTTGAACCCATGAGGTGGAGGTTGCGGTGAGCCAAGATGGCACCATTGCACCCTAGCCTGGGCAACAGAGCAAGACACCGTCTTAAAACCAAAAGTTAACCGGGCGTGGTGGTGGGTGCCTGTAATCCTAGCTACTTGGGAGGCTGAGGCAGGAGAATTGCTTGAACTTGGGAGGTGGAGGCCAAGATTGTACCACTGTATTCCAGCCCGGGTGACAGAGCAAGACTGTGTCTCAAAAAAAAAAAAAAAATCCTGGCTGGGCACGGTGGCTCACACCTGCAATCCCAGCACTTTGGAAGGTCGAGGTGGGCGGGTCATTTGAAGTCGGGAGGTCGGGAGATCGGGAGCTCGAGACCAGCCTGACCAATATGATGAAACCCCGTCTCTACTAAAAATACATAAATTAGCTGGGCATGGTGGCATGCACCTGTAATCCCAGCTACTTGGGAGGCTGAGACAGGAGAATTGCTTGAACCCGGGAGGCAGAGGTTGCAGTGAGCCGAGATTGCGCAATTGCATGCCAGCCTGGGTAACGAGCAAAACTCCATCTTAAAAAAACCCACAAAAGGTCCTGGCCTGCAGTCAATCCCTGGAATCATTGTACCTTCCCTTGAGACCCGAAGTGGACTATTCCAACAGAACCCCCTCATCCTTGAGTCTATGGCACAACCCACTGGAATGGCACTACAGGATCTTTTCTGTGAATGTCCTCCAACCCCCCTTTCCGTGGTGGGAAATTTGATCCTAACTAGGGCTAATCCAGCCTGTCCTTCAGCCTCAGCCCCCTATTTTCCTGTCCTCAGAGTCCCTGGAGCTTGTACTGTGTGGCATGTCCTTTCTTGCCTTCCCCACCTTGCTCAGTAGCATTTCTCAGGGACCCAGTCGAATCCAAGCCCATGGATTCAATTGTCACATCCTTCATCTTCCATCCGTGTCTCCTAATCTGTGTGCTCTTGCTTTCTTTCCTCGGAGCTCTGGACTGACCCGACAGCCTGTCTTCATGTAGCAGTACCCTCCTGCCTCCATAGCCCCCGGTCCCACCCCCATCCTACCAATTAGGCCAGCAGTTGGCCTTAACTGCTTGATTAATTTCCTTGGACTGCCATAACAGATCACCATTGGGTGGTGAACTTGATGGCTTAAGTCCAACAGGAATTTAATTCACACAGTTCTGGAGTCCAGAAGTCTGAAACCAAGGTGCTGACAGGGACACGCTCCCTCTTCCAGCTCCTGGTGATTCCAGGCCTTCCTTGGCTCTGCCTGCAGCTTCACATGGCCTTTTCCCTCTTCTATTTTGTCTCTTACAAGAACACCTGTCATTGCATTTAGGGCCCATCTTAAGTTCAGGATGATCCCACCTCAAGACCCTTAATTACATCTGAAAAAACACTTTTTCCAAATAAACTGTCATAAGCACAGGTCCTGGGGGTTAGTATGTGGACTTGTCTGTTGGGGGCACACCATTCAAGCCATTCAGCCCACTATTCCTCCTCACCCCAAGAGTACGCTGGCGTCCAGGTGCAGTGGCTCACACCTGTAATCCCAGCACTTTGGGAGACCAGGGCAGGAGGGATCTCTTTGAGCCCAGGAGCTGAAGACCAGCCTGGGCAACATAGTGAGACCCCATCTCTACAAAAGTAAAATAAAAAATTAGCCAGGTGCGGTGATGCATGCCTGTAGTCCCAGCTACTTGGGAGGCTGAGGCAGGAGGATCACCTGAGCCCTGGAGGTCGAGGCTGCAGCGAGCCGTGATCGCGCCACTACACTCCAGCCTGGATGACAGAGTGAGACCCTTTCTCAGAAAAAAAGTACCCTGGGACTCCTGCCAACCCCGCGGGCCATTTGGCCTTCCTGCTAGCTGAGAGGAACAGTCTAGGAACCACCCTTTTCTACTGGGTTTCTCTTCCAGGATCTGCCACTGAAGCGGGAGGGGGTGGGTCCCAGTAGCCTGCAGTCTGTCCTTCCGACTGTAGCTCTCTCATTAGAGGAGCTGCAAGGTGATGAAGGCATCCTGAGGCTGTACCTGAACCACCATGTGGATCTCCACAATGGGTACAGAGCTTATTAAAATCAGGAGGGAAACTGGGAGGGTTCTGATGGGGAGAGGCCCAAGAGTCACCCTATGAGCTGGGGAAACTAAGGCCAGGGGTAAGCAAAGGGACTTGCCAGAGATGCCACAGCCAGTGAGGGGCTGACTGCCCAGGGTGGTGAAGTAGTAGGGGCAGAGTGAGAGGCTTGGATTACCCCAGCTGCAGAGTGAGGAGGGAGAGGCGATGGCTGAGCAGAGGCTGGGAGGGTGACGATCTCTACACAGAGGCCCAGACCATCCCAGAGGTGGCGTTGATAGTGGGAGACCCTCTCTATCCCCTCTCAGAGCAGCCCCAGATCACACCAGAGATCATAGCATTGTGTAAACTGGGTGACCATTCCACCTGGGCCCGCTTTTGGGAAGCTGCAGGTGAAAGTGGGAGGGCCGGGCTTTCCCCGACTTCCATCCTCACCTCCCTTCTCTAAAGAGGTAAAACTGGCCTGGACCAAGATCTGCCCAGATAGAAAGCCAAGAAACAGGTTCTGAAACTTTTCTTTTCTTCTTTTCTCTTCTTTTTTCTTTTCTTTTCTTTCGGAGACAGTCTAGCTCCGTCACCCTGACGGAGTGCAGTGGTGCAATCTCGGCTCACTGCAACTTCTACCTCCCAGGCTCAACCAATGATCCTGCCTCAGCTTCCGAAGTAGCTGGGATTACATGTGCCCACCACCCACGCCTGGCTAATTTTTGTATTTTAGTGGAGACGGGGTTTCTCCAAGTTGCCCAGGCTGATCTTGAACTCCTGACCTCAGGTAATCCGCCCGCCTCGGCCTCCCAAAGTGCTGGGATTACAGGCGTGAGCCACCGCGCCTGGCCTGAAACAGCATTTCAGTTCCTTCTGGAAGAGGGGGAGAAGCTGGAGCAGAGGGAACTGACCGAGTGGGTCCTGAGTGGGCTGTGTTTAAAACTGGGAGTGACCCAGGCCAGCTCACGCCTGTCATCCCAGCACTTTGAGAGGCCAAGGTGGACTGATCACATGATGTTAGGAGATCGAGACCAGCCTGGCCAACATGGCAAAACCCCGTCTCTACTAAAAATACAAAAATTAGCCGGGCATGTTGGCACATTCCTGAATCCCAGCTACTCGGGAGGCTGAGGCACGAGAATTGCTTGAACCCAGGAGGTGGAGGTTGCAGTGAGCTGAGATCGCGCCACTGCACTCCAGCCTGGGTGACAGAGTGAGACTCAACTCAAAAAAAAAAAACAGAGGTGGGAGTGTGAACACAGGCAGGAGCTCCAATTCCTGACCCCAGCGCTGTCCTGACCCAGATGGAGTGCTGCTCTCACATCTCAGAGACTTCGCACTCAGCCCTGCCCTGCCCTGCCCTGACAGGCAGCCAGTCATCGTGGGCAGCAGGGCCATCTACTTCCCCCACTGCGGCGTCAGGGGTGGCCAGAGTGTGTGGAAGTGGAAAGAACGTCCTCTCAAAATGCAAGAGGCCAGAGGATGGTTCACTGCTCGTGTGTTCTGCTAGCTAGAATTCTGTGTACCTTGTAATTTGGGGAGAGGGGTTAGAATAAATTTGTAAATGAAGCTGATTATCTTCAAGTTGATGCATTCTTTTTTCATATTTAAAAAGTCCTTGGGACTGGGCGCAGTGGCTCACACCTGTAATCCTAGCACTTTGGGAGGCCAGGGTGGGTGGATCACCTGAGGTCAGGAGTTCAAGACCAACCTGATCAACATGGTGAAACCTCGTCTCTACTAAAAATACAAAAATTAGCTGGGCATGGTGGTTGTGCACCTGTAATCCCACCTACTCGGGAGGCTGAGGCAGGAGAATCTCTTGGACCCGGGAGGCGGAGGTTGCAGTGAGCCGAGATCATGCCATTATACTCCAGCCTGGGTGACAGAGCGAGACTTCATCTCTAAATAAATAAATAAATAAATAAATAAATAAGGTCCATGTCAACCTTAGGAAAAATATCCTTTATTTATTCTTTCACTCAAAAAACTCACTGAGGTGGTCCCGCACCGGGACATGGACCCAGTGTCCTTGGTAGGGCGTCTCCCGCAAAAAAAAAAAAAATAAAAAAAATAAAACACAAAACTCACTGAGTTACCCACTCTCTGCCCCACCCTATGCTGGGGTCACAGTGGTGACAGAGACAGCCCCAGCCCTGCCGTCACCGGGTCTTACAGATGCTCACACGTACATTTCTTTTCCAGTGTTCCCTGCCCCACCCCATAGTTGTTTAGGAAGCAGGGGCTGGGCTGAATCCGGAATCCTCCCTCTGGAGTGACTCAGGACTATAAACCCATTCATCCCAGCTCACAAAACCCTGGGAGGTGCCCTGAGGGCTGTGCCCCTCCCATCTCCTGGCAGGCCCTGCTGTCCCTCTTGTTGGTTTCTCTGTAGGGCAGGCCATTGCCTGGAGGGAGGCAAAATGGCTGAGAGCCACCCCAGGAGAAAATGGGCTTTACATAAGCCCCAACCTGATCTATTGGCTCACGGAGCTACTCCTGGGCTGGTCGCTGTGTTGCTGAGTGGCAGGCTTGGGTCCCCCAGTGGCAATGGCTTGTAGCTGGAGTCGGTGTGGACAGAGAGAGGAGAAGCATGGCAACTCTGAGTGTACTGAGGATCAACTGCACCAGGCTCCATTCTAGTAGCTGGGAGCCAGTTGGGAGCAAGCAGAGGCCCTCACTGGAGCTGACATTCTAGTGCCAGAGACCGGCAATAAAGAAGGAAAGAGTGGCCAGGCGTGGTGGCTCACACCTGTAATCTCAGCACTTTGGGAGGCCGAGGCGGGCCAATCCCCTGAGGTCGGGAGTTCGAGACCAGCCTGACCGACATGGAGAAACCCCATCTCTACTAAAAATACAAAATTAGCAGGGCATGGTGGTGCATGCCTGTAATCCCAGCCACTCAGGAGGCTGTGGCAGGAGAATCGCTTGAACCCGGGAGGCGGAGGTTGCGGTGAGCCAATATTGCACCATTGCACTCCAGCCTGGGCAACAAGAACGAGACTCCATCTCAAAAAAAAAAGGAAAAAGCTAATCCAGCATAGGGTGATGAGGACTGAGAGGAATGGAGGCAGGGTAGGAGTTCCGGACTTACGGGCACCGCTGATCTAGACAGGTGGGCAGGGAGGAGGCAGCGCTTCAGATGGAGGGAGATAGGAAGAGGGCTGTGAGTATCTGTGAAAGTCCTAGGACAGATGTGGCCTTGGCCTGTTCCTGGAACAGCAAGAGTTTCTGGCTGTCAGAATAGAGCAGAGGCTCGCTGACCAAGGCCTTTGGGCCAAATCAAGGGGACCCTTGCTTCCTGTCTTTGTAAATAAAGACTTATTGGAACCCAGGCGCTCATTCGTTTGCATATTTTCCACAGTTGCTTTTGCAGTACAGTGACAGAGCTGAGTATTTGCACAGAGATCCTAGGGCTCTCGTACTCTCTGGCCCTTTACAGAAAAAGTTTACCATCCCCTGGAATAGAGTAAGCGAGGGGAGAAGTTAGGTGAGGGGGCCAGGCAAGCAAAGGCTGCCCCTTGCCTTGATTGGCACAACTGTGGAGGTCATCCCAGCTCTGGAGCCCCAACAGGATCACTCAGGCCTCTGCTTCCACCACATCTGGCTTCAGCTTCCCCCTCTGTGGAGTCCTCCCTCCCTCCCTCCTTCCCCATAGGAAATGACCCCAGTGCTCAGCAGTAACCCCCACTGCGCGCAGATCTCAGAACCTCCACCTCAATCTACAGCCACGTGCCACAATAAGAAGCAGAGTTTTAGGCCAGGCGCGGTGGCTCACGCCTGTAATCTCAGTACTTTGGAAGACCAAGGTGGGAGGATCACTTGAAGTCAGGAGTTCGAGACCAGCCTGCCCAACATGGTGAAGCCCCGTCTCTAATAAAAAGAATACAAAAATTAGCCGGGTGTGGTGGTGCACATCTGTAATCCCAGCTACATGAGAGGCTGACATAGGAGAATTGCTTGAGCCCAGGAGGTGGACGTTGCAGTGAGCCAAGATTGCACTACTGCATTCCAGCCTAGGTGCCAGAGTGAGACTTGGTCTCAAAACAAAACAAAACAAAAAATTAGCCAGGCATGGTGGCACACACCTGTAGTCCCAGCTACTTGGGGGGCTGAGGCAGGAGGATCGCTTGAACCCGGGTGTTTAAGGCTGCAGTGAACTGAGATCAGGCCACAGCACCTCAACCTGGGAGACAAAGTGAGACCCTGTCTCAAAAAAAAAAAAAAGCAGAGTTTATGTAATCCATCGTGTGCATATTTATACAATAATTTACAATTCTATGTATTTTAAAAGTGTATAATTCATATATTATGTGACACAATATATAATGGAATATAAAATATATATTTTATGTCATGTGTAACATAACATCATCTATTATATGTAGTGTATGTGCTTATGTACATATCATTGGAATGAAAGTTTCATTAAATAATTACCCTTAATATTTGCAGCCCGGTTTAATATTTCCTATTTTATTGTATTCCATTTCATGAAGAATAACTACAGATATATATGCATTCTATATACTTAATATATATTATAAACATATGAAACCCATTAAGTGTGTTCCATAACACATTGGATGATATGTTAATATCATACATTATGTATTATATGTCTTGTTAGAACAAGTTTCTCTGAATAATAATTGTTCTTATGTGTGATGGGCAACTTCGTTACTTTTTATTCTCCGTTATTTTATTTCTTAAAGAAAAGCATGGCCTGTCACACCTGTAATCCCAGCATTTAGGGAGGCCGAGGTGGGAGGATTGCTTAATCTCAGGAGTTCAAGACCAGCCTGGGCAACATGGTGAAACCCTGTCTCTACTAAAAATACAAAAAATTAGCTGGGCGTGGTGGCACACACCAGTAGTCCCAGCTACTTGGGAGGCTGAGGCAGAAGAATTACTTGAACCCAGGAGACGGAGGTTGCAGTGAGCCAAGATCACACCACTGCACTCCAGCCTGGGCAACAGAGTGAGACTCCATCTCAAAAAAAAAAAAAAAAAAAAGAAAAGCATGTACATATGATGTATGTATTATACAAACCTGTATAATGTGGGCTGCCTTGGGCCAGCATGAAGACTAACTTTTACTCTGGGAAGAGATTTTTAAGCTGGGATTACAGGTGTGAGCCACTGTGCTCAGCCTCTGGTTGTTGTTGTTGTTTTTTCCATTTGTTTGTTTCATTTTGGACAGGGTCTTGCTCTGTCACCCAGGCTGGAGTGCGGTGGTGCAATCACGGCTCACTGCAGCCTCAGCCTCCCAGGCTCAAGCAATCCTCCCATGTCAGCCTCCAGAGTAGCTGGGAATAGAGGTGTGCCACCACTACACTCAGCTAATTTCTTAATTTTTTGTAGAGATGGGGGTCTCTTTATGTTGCCCAGGCTGGTCAGGAACTCCTGGGCTCATGCCATCCACTCGCCTCAGCTCCCAAAGTGCTAGGATTACAGGTGTGAGCCACCACATCCAGCCCCTTTTTTCTCTGTTTTGAAGTAGAGGCCTATCCTGCCTTGTCTTGATTTCCTATTTTTTGTTTTTTTGTTTTTTTTTTTTTTGAGACGGTGTCTTGCTCTGTCGCCCAGGCTGGAGTGCAGTGGCGCCATTTCGGCTCCCTACAACCTCTGCCTCCCGGGTTCAAGTGATTCTCCTGCCTCAGCCTCCTGAGTAGCTGGGATTCCAGGCACCTGCCACCATGCCTGGCTAATTTTTGTTTTTTGTTTTTGTTTTTGTTTTTTTGAGACGGAATTTTCCTCTTGTTGCCCAGGCTGGAGTGCAATGACACGATCTCGGCTCACCACAACCTCCGCCTCCTGGCTTCAAGCGATTCTCCTGCCTCAGCCTCCCAAGTAGCTGGGATTACAGGCATGGGCCACCATGCCCGGTTAATTTCCTATTTATTTATTTATTTATTTATTTATTTATTTTGAGACGGAGTTTTGCTCTTGTTGCCCAGGCTGGAGTGCAATGGCATGATCTCGGCTCACTGCAACCTCCACCTCCCGGGTTCAAGTGATTCTCCTGCCTCAGCCTCCTGAGTAGCTGGGATCACAGGTGTGTGCCACCACGCCCGGCTAATTTTGTGTTTTTGGTGGAGACAAGGTTTCTCCATGTTGGTCAGGCTGGTCTCGAACTCCCGACCTCAGGTGATCCACCTGCCTCGGCCTCCCAAAGTGCTGGGATTACAGGCGTGAGCCACTGTGCCCAGCCGAATTTTGTATTTTTAGTAGAGACGGGGTTTCATCGTGTTGGCCAGGCTGGTCTCGAACTCCCGACCTCAGGTGATCTGCCTGCCTTGCCGTCCCAAAGTGCTGGGATTACAGGCGTGAGCCACCGTGCCCCGCCCCCATCATCCCTTTTTATGGCTGAATAATAGTCCATTGTGAGGCTAGACCACAATTTGTTTATTCATACATCTGTTGAACGTTGGGGTTGTTTCCTCCGCGTGGTGGCTATGAATAGGGCTGCTATGAACGTGCATGTAGCTTGCAGTCTTTTTAGGCTTAGATCATTTGTCTCGAGAGCAGTGAAGCATCATGGGAAGGGCATGGGCTCAGATCCCAAAATGCCTGGAATCAATCCCTAGCTCTGCCTCATACCAGTTGGATGAGCTTGGGCAAGTCACTGGGTATCTTGTGCCTGATAACAGAACTTCCTTTGTAAGTTTATTATGAAAGTGAATCAATTAATACATGCAAAACACTTAGGAAGTTGCTTAGCACAGAGTGAACGGTTGCAAAATGACTCTGCATTGCCAGCAACAGGAACCTTCCTGGGCTAACTGAAGCAGAAAAAGAACTTACTGGAAGGATATCAGGTAGCTCACTGGAGGCTAAGAAAACCAGCAGGAACCTTGAGAGGTTTACAGTTAGAGATGCCGATGCTGTAACAGAGACCCCATATGTGTAATGATATTGAGTGAACGAGTTTACTTCTTGCTCCTAAAATAGTAACGTTGGCCAGTTGCAGTGTTCACACCTGTAATCCCAGCACTTTGGGAGGCTGAGGCGGGAGGATTGCTTGAGCTCAGGAGTTAGAGAACAGCCTGGGCAACATAGCAAGACTCCTCTTCTACAAATAAAAATAAATTATAAAAATTAAAATACAGCTGGGCGCAGTGGCTCACGCCTGTAATCCCAGTACTTTGGGAGGCCAAGGTGGGCAGATCACTTGAGGTCAGGAGTTCGAGACTAGCCTGACCAACGTGGTGAAACTCCATCTCTACTAAAAATGCAAAAATTAGGCGTGGTGGCGTGTGCCTGTAATCTCAGGTACTCCGGGGGCTGAGGCAGGAGAATCACTTAAACCCAGGAGTTGGAGGCTACAGTGAGCCGAGATCACGTCACTGCACTCCAGCCTGGGCAACAGAGCGAGACTCTGTCTCAAAAAAAAAAAAATTAAAAATAAAAATAGGCCAGTTGTGGTGGCTCATGCCTGTAATCCCAGCACTTAGGGAGGCCAAAGCTGGAGGATCACGTGAGCCCAGGAGTTTGAGACCAGCCCCTGGGCAATATACAGAGACGCTATTTCTTCAAAAATACAAAAGTTAGTCAGGCATGGTGTCATGCTCCTGTAGTCCCAGCTACGAGGGAGGCTGAGGTGGGTGGGTTGCTTGAGCTGGAGAGTTGGAGGTTGCAGTGAGCCGAGATCATGCCACTGCACTCCAGCCTGGGCGACAGAGTGAGACCCTGTCTCAAAAATAAATAAATAAATAAATAAACAAACAAAATAAGACAAAACAGTGAAGTCACGCGCTGGGCATGATAGCTCACACCTGTAATCCCAGCACTTTGAGAAACCAAGGTGGGCAGATTGCGAGGTCAGGAGATCGAGACCATCCTGGCCACCATGGTGAAACCTGTCTCTACTAAAAGTACTAAAATTAGCCAGGCGTGGTGGCAGGTGCCTGTAGTCCCAGCTACTCTGGAGGCTGAGGCAGGAGAATCACTTGAACCAGGGAGTTGGAGGCTGCAGTGAGCCAGGATCGCACCACTGCCTGCCCTCTAGCCTGGCGACAGAGCGAGACTCCGTCTCAAAAAAAAAAAAAAAAAAAAAAACAAAAAAACAGTGAAGTACTGTACCACATAATGAGGTTTCTGTCCACAACAAACCGCATATACAACAGTGGTCTCATAAAATGATACCACCGTATTTTTACTGTACCGTTTCTATGTTTGGATGTGTCTAGACACGCAAGTACTTACCATTGTGTTACAACTCCTGCAATTTTCAGTACAGTCACATGCTGTTTAGGTTTATAGCCTAGGAGCAGAAAGCTCTACCACATAGCCTAGGTGTGTAGCAGGCCACACTATCTAGGTTCGTGTAAGCCCACTCTGTGATGTTTGCACAATGACAAAATCACCAAACAATGCATTTCTCAGAATGTGTCCCTGTCATTAAGCAGTGCACGGCTGTACTAGCCGGGAACAGGTTGGCAGGGCAGCCCTCCTCCACACAGTCATTCAGGGACTCAGGCTGTTGCAGCTCTGCCATCTTCAGTGTGTTTATTTCAAGGTCACCCTGGGGTGGTCTTCATGAGGACCACAGCATGGCTCATATGGACCAGGGCTGGAAGTAGCCGGCTTCACTTGGCTGGCTTATTTTTCCTAGAACTCGGTGCCCTGACCACACCTAACTGCACCTAACTATAGTCCCTGGCTGGGCAGCCACTTCCCAGCAAGGAGCCTGTCTGTTGGGTTGCAGCGAGCATGAAGCACTCAGGGACTCCAAGGTCAGAGGGCTGTCAGCACCATGGGTACCACCCCCTACCACTGCCGTGGACCTACTCCACACCCTAACATGGATCCTAGGGGTCTCTTCGTATCCTTGAAGCCTTCCCCAAGATTTCAGGTTCAGGCTGGGTGTGGTGGCTCACACCTGTAATATCAGCACTTTGGGAGGCCAAGGTGGGAGGATCGCTTGAGCCCAGGAGTTCAAGACCAGCCTGGGAAACATAGTGAGACCCTGTTTCTATAAAATGTTTTAAAATGCGCCAGGTGTGGTGGTGTGTGCCTATAGTCCCAGCTACTCAGGAGGCTGAGGCAGGAGGTTTGCTTGAGCCCAGGAGGTCGAGGCTGCAATGAGCCATCATTGCACCACTGCACTCCAGCCTGGCTAACAGACTGAGACTCTTTCTCCAAAAAAAAATTTCTCTTATTTATTTTGTTTTATTTTTTAGTAGAGACCAGGTCTCCCTGTGTTGCCCAGGCTAGTCTCAAACTTCTGGACTTAGATGATCCTCCTGCCTCAGCCTCCCAAAGTGCTGGGATTACAAGCCTGAGCCGCTACACCAGGCCCCAATTAAATGAGGGGTGACTCTGTATCCAGTCAAGAACAATGGACCTCCCAGACCCCCCTATAGTACAGGATGGCTATGTGGCATGGGGGCTCTGTAAAATCTAGTGGCTTTTCCATAAAAAGTGACAGATTAGACACACACTTCCTCTGACACCCCCTGCCCTCACCTCCTGTGTAGAAGGAGGCTGTGATGCCGAGGGGCAGCAGGCATCTTTTGGGCATGTGGCTAAAAGCCCCATAATGAGGAGGGTAGGGATTGAACGAGAAGGAGCCTGGGTTCCCAGTGACATTGTATGGCAGCCTTCTGGTTGTGGGAGAACAGTCCCCATATGGGGAAGCCATGGGTTTCTCCAGTTTCTGTTGCAGGCTGTTCCTGACTCAGACTAACAGCAATGGCGCTTCCCCAATGCAACAGAGGGGTTTAGATGCTGGAAAATCAAAAACCTCAGAAGTACAGACATTCATTCCTGAGGTCCTGAGTTTGGTGGGATCCACTTGGGCCCAGCATAGAGACTGTGAACCCCCACCCATCCTGCCTATGATTCATGACAGCATTTGCCAATTCCAGTGAGAGAGGTCCTGGACCCCGGTGTTCTGGCTTTTTTGCTTGTTTTTTTTTTGAGACGGAGTCTCTCTCTCTCACCCAGGCTGGAGTGCAGTGGTGCCATCTTGGCTCACTGCATTCTCCGCCTCCCAGGTTCAAGTGATTCTCCTGCCTCAGCCTCCCAAGTAGCTGGGATTGCAGGCGCCTGTCACCACGCCCACCTGACTTCAGGTGATCCGCCCGCCTCAGCCTCCCAAAGTGCTGGGATTAGTATGAGCCACCGTGCCTGGCCCCCTTTTTTTTTTTTTTTTTCTTTCTGAGACAGGGTCTTACTCAGTCACCCAGGCTGCAGTGCAGTGGTGCAGTCACAGCTCACTGCAGCCTCAACCTCCCAGGCTCAAGCGATCTTCCCACTTCAACCCCCCAAGTAGCTGGGGCTACAGGTATGAGCCACCGTGTCCTGGCCTGGTTTGTTTGTTTAAACAGCAAGGCATAATCTACACACCATGAAACTCACCCTTTGTTTTATTTTATTTTTTATTTTTTATTTTTTATTTTTTTTGAGACAGAGTCTCGCTCTGGCACCCAGGCTGGAGCACAGTGGTGCGATCTTGACTCACTGCAATTTCTGCCTCCTGGGTTCAAGCGATTCTCCTGCCTCAGCCTCCCGAGTAGCTGGGACTACAGGTGCACGCCACCACACCCGGCTAATTTTTGTATTTTTAGTAGAGACGGGGTTTCACCATGTTGGCCACGATGCTCTCAATCTCCTGAGCTCGTGATCCACCTGCCTCGGCCTCCCAAAGTGCTGGGATTACAGGCATGAGCCACTGCGCCTGGCCGAAACTCACCCATTTTAAGAGTACGATTTGATGATTTTCAGTAAACTGACATGGTTATGCAACCATCTCCACATTCCAATTTCAGAACATTTCCATCATCTCCAAAAGATCCCTCACATTCATTTGCAGTGACTCTCCATTCTCCTTCCTTCAGCCCCTAAAAATCACTGATCTACTTTCTGCCTTAATAGATTGCATTATTTGGGACATTTAATGTAAATGGAGTCATACAATGCATGGTCCATTTTATTGCATGAATATCTCATTCCTTTTTTTTTTTTTTGAGACAAGGTCTGGCTCTGTCGCCCAGGCTGGAGTGCAGTGACGCGCTGTCTGCTCACTGCAACCTCAGCCCCACCCCCGCCCAGTAGCTGGGATTACAGACATGCACCGCCACGCCCGGCTAATTTTTGTGTTTTTTGGCTGGGTGTAGTGTTCATGCCTGTAATCCCAGCACTTTGGGAGACAGAAGTGGGTGGATAGCTTGAGGTCAGGAGTTTGAGACCAGCCTGGGCAATATAGTGAGACCTCATCTCTACAAAACATACAGAAATTAGCCGAGCGTGGCAGAAAAAATAAAAATATTAAAACTTTTTTGTGATGTTTTTGTAGAGAAGGGGTTTCGCCATGTTGCCCAGGTTGGTCTTGAACTCCTGGGTTCAAGCGATGAGTAGCCTCCCAGAGTGCTGGGAATACAGGTGTGTAAGCCACTGCACCTGGCCTATGTTTAACTTTTTAAGAAACTGCCAAACTACTTTCCAAAGTGGCTGCACCATTTTACATTTCCGCCAGTGACATGCGAGAGTTTTGTTACCCTACAACTGATATAGTTTGGCTCTGTGTCCCAACCCAAATCTCATCTCGAGTTGTCATCCTCATGTGTTGAGGGAGGGAAGTGATCATGGGGGTGGTTTCCCTTATGCTGTTCTCCTGATAATGAGTGAATTCTCATGAGATCTAATGAATTTTAAAATGGCAGTTTTTCCTGCCCTTTCACTTCTCCCTCCTGCTGCCTTGTGAGGAGGTGCCTGCTTCCCCTTTGCCTTCTGCCATGATTGTAAGTTTCCTGAGGCCTCCCCAGCCATTCAGAACTGTAAGTCAACTAAACCTCTTTCCTTTATAATTACCCATTCTCAGGAATTTCTTTATAGCTGTGTGAAAACTGACTAATACAGAAACTTTGGAAGCATTAGTGGTTGTTCACTGTTTTGACTATAGCCATTCCAGTGGCTGGGAAATGGCATCTCATTGTGAATTTGACTTGTATTGCTCTACTAACTAATGTGTTGAGCATCTTTTCTTTTTTTTTTTTTTGAGACGGAGTCTCACTTTTTTGCCCAGGCTGGAGTGCAATGGCACAATTTTGGCTCACTGCAACCTCCGCCTCCCAGGTTCAAGGAATTCTCTTGCCTCAGCCTCCCAAGTAACTGGAATTACAGGCACACGCCACCACACCTGGCTAATTTTTGTATTTTCAGTAGAGACAGGTAGTTTCACCATGTTGGCCAGCCTGGTCTCGAACTTCTGACCTCAAGTGATCTGCCCACCTCGGCCTCCCACAAATGCTGGGATTACAAGTGTAAGACACCGTGCCTGGCCTCACTTGCTTTTTTCTTGAGATAGGGACTCACTCTTTTGCCCAGGATGTAGTGCAGTAGTGCAATCACAGCTCACTGCAGTTTTGATCTTCCAGGCTCAAGCAATCCTCCCCCCTCAGCCTCCTGATGAGCTGGGACCACAGGCATACACCACCACACCCAGCTATTTTGTGTGCGTGTGTGAAGATGGGGTTTCACTATGTTGCCCTCAAATTCCTGGTCTCAAGCAATCCTCCTACCTTGATCTCCCAAAGTGCTGGGATTACAGGTGTGAGACTCCATAGCTAGCTAGAATCTTTTTTTTTTTTTTTTCAGGTGGCATTTTTTTTTTTTTTTTTGATATGGAGCCTAGCTCTGTCCTCCAGGCTGGAGTGCAGTGGTACCATCTCAGCTCACTGCAACCTGCAACCTGCACCTCCTGAATTCAGGCAGTCCTCCCGCCTCAGCCTCCTGAGTAGCTGGGACTACAGGCACACACCACCACACCCAGCTAATTTTTATTGAAAACATATATATTATGAAATATTGCAGACATACAGAAAACAATATAATGAATAACCTTGTACCCACCACTTAGAATTAATAGAAATGAACATTTTGTCCTCTTTGCTTTGGTTTTTAAAGAGAGAAAGCTGAAGCTACAGTTTAGTCTCGTCATTCTCCCTCCCTGCTCTGGCACTCGGGAGGCTGAGGCAGGAGAATCGCTTGAAACCGGAGGGCAGAGGTTGCAGTGAGCCGAGATCGCACCACTGCACTCCAGCCTGGGCAACAAGAGCGAAACTCCATCTCAAAAAAAGAAAATAAAAGAAAAGAAAAAGATACCATCCTCTTTTGTGAGTCAAGTCCTTCTCCACTAGGTTCTCTACCCTTCCCCTTTTGATTGGCAGGAGGTATCTGTATGTCCTAAATTTGAGTTATTTGTCAGATTGATGTATTGCAAATGGCTTCTTCCAGTCTATGATTTGCCTTTTCCCTCTCTTGCTGGTGTCTTTTGAAGAATGAAAGTTCTTTTCTTGTTTTTTTTTTTTTTTTTTTTTTTTTTGAGACAGAGTCTTGCTCTGTCATCCAGGCTGGAGTGCAGTGGCACCATCACAACTCATTACAGCCTTCAACTCTCGGGCTTAAGTGATCCTCCTCGCTCAGCCTGCTGAGTAGCTGGGAGGCGGAGGTTGCAGTGAGCTGAGGTTGCGCCATTGCACTCCAGCCTGGGCGACAGAGCGAGACTCCATTTCAAAAAACAAACAAACAAAAAACAAGTTCGAGACAAGCCTGACCAACATGGCGAAACCCCATCTCTACTAAAAAGTTTTTTAAAAATTAGCCTGGCATGGTGGCAGGTGCACCAGCATACCGGGCTAATTTTTTATTTTTTGTAGAGATGGGGTTTCACCATGTTGCCCAGTATGGTCTTGAACCCCTTCTCTGAAGCAATCCTCCCACCTTGGCCTTCCAAAGCACAGTTTATAGGCATGAGCCAGTACACCCAGCCTCCTACTTTTTTTTTCTAAAAGTGTTATTTTTGTGTCTATCATATTTTGATCTACAATCCCTGTGGAATTAATTTTTGTGTATTATGTGAGGTAGATGTTAAGGTTTATTTTTTTCTCTGTGAATATTCAAGTGATCCAACGTGTCTTAAAAAGTCCATTCTTTTCCCACTGCACTACAGTGTCACTTTCGTCACAAGTCATATGACTGTGCATGTGTGAATATTTCTGGATTCTCTACGCTTTACCACTGGCCTGTCTATTCATGTGGAAATGCCACCCTGTTTTGATGATTATAGCTTTATGATAGCTTTATATCTGGTAGTGTAAGGTCTCCAGTTTTTCTCTTCAGTATTACTATTCTTGGCCCTTTGTGTTTCCATACACTTTTTTTTTTTTTTTTGAGACAGAGTTTCACTCTTGTCGCCAAGAGTGGAGTGCAGTGGCACGATCTTGACTTACTGCAACCTCTGCCTCCAAAGTTCAAGCAATTATCCTGCCTCAGCCTCCCTAGTAGCTGGGATTATAGGCACCCGTCACCATGCCTGGCTAATTTTTTGTTGTATTTTTAGTAGAGACGGGGTTTTGCCATGTTGGCCAGGCTGGTCTCAAACTCCTGACCTCATGTGATCCGCCTGCCTCAGCCTCCCAGAGTGCTGGGATTACAGGCATGAGCCACCGTGCCCGGCCCACATTTTTTTTTTTAATTTTTTTTTTTTTTTTTGAGATAGAGTCTTGCTGTGTCATCCAGCTGGAGTGCAGTGGTGTGATCTCGGCTCACTGCAACCTCCACCTCCTGGGTTCATGCAATTCTCCTTCCTAAGCCTCCTGAGTAGCTGAGATTACAGGTGCATGCCACCACACCTGGCTAATTTTTTAATTTTTTCAGTAGAGACAGGGTTTCACCATGTTGGCCAGGCTGGTCTCGAACTCCTGACCTCAGGTGATCCGCCTACCTTGGCCTCTCAACGTACTGGGGTTGCAGGCATGAGCCATCACACCCGGCAAGAAAACCAGTTTCTAGCAGGGTGTGGCAGCAGGCACCTTTAGTCCCAGCTACTCAGGAGGCTGAGGTGAGAGAATCTCTTGAGCTCAGGAGATCAAGGCTATAGTGAGCTATAATTGTGCTATTGCACTCCAGCCTGGGTGACAGGGTGAGACCTCAACTCTTAAAAAAAAAAAAAAAAAAGAAAAGAAAAAAACAGTTATTATGTTCAAACAATTAAAGTGTATATGTACAATTAAAATAATTTATAAACAAATTATATGACTAAGAAGAATAAGAACTAATTAGGCTGGGCATGGCGGTTCATGCCTGTAATCCCAGCACTTTGGGAGGTCAAGGCAGTTGGATCGCTTGAGCCCAGGAGTTCGAGACCAGCCTGAACAACATGGCGAAACCCTGTCTTTACAGAAAATTACAAAAATTAGCCAGGCATGGTGTTGTGTCCCTGCAGTCCCAGCTACTCAGGAGGCTGAAGTAGGTGGATCACTTGAGGCTGCAGTAAGCTATGATTGCACCACTGCACTCCAGCCTGGGTGACAGAATGAGACCTTATCTCAAAAAAAAAAAAAAAAAAAAGTAATAATTTATCAAGATCACTGCATATAAGGTACGGAAATCAGTTTATTCCTATCATCAGTACCAGCAACAAACAAATAGAAAATGAAATTTGAAATGTTGCCATCAAAATAGTATCAAAATATCTAATACATAGGAATAAACTGAATTTACATGCAAGATATCTATTCTGTAAACTACAAAACATTATTGAGATAAATTTCTTAAAGACCTAAATGAAGAGAATACCATGTTCATGGATTGCATTGACAGGAAAATCTTTTCCTCTACCAATCTAGATCCCTGTTGTTGGGAACCTGCAAATTAATTAACAATAGACAGATCAACACGTGGAAAGAAAAACTTTATTTACACATTAGGCAAGGGAACTCTGTAATGAGTAACTCATTGAATAGCTGGAAGTAAAGGTTTATTTACCAACTTAAGAAAAAGGAGTTCAGGCTGGATGCAGTGACTCACACCTGTAATCCCAGCATTTTGGAAGGCCGAGGCTGGGGGATCACGAGGTCAGGAGTTCAAGACCAGCCTGACCAACATAGTGAAACCCCGTCTCTACTAAAAATACAAAAATTAGCCGGGCATGGTGGCGCGTGCCTGTAGTCCCAGCTACTCGGGAGGCTGAGGCAGGAGAATCGCTTGAACCTGGGAGGCGGAGGTTGTGGTGAGCTGAGATCACGCCACTGCACTCCAGCCTGGGCAACAGAGCAAGATTCCATCTCAAAAAAAAGAAAAAGAAAAAGGGGTTCAGTGGAAAAGTATGGATAGTTCTATTGTTTTCTTTACTTGACTTTTTTTTTTTTTTTTTTTTTGGGACAGAGTTTTGCTCTTGTCACCAGGCTGGAGTGTGATGGCATGATCTTGGCTCACTACAACCTCCACTTCCCAGGTTCAAGCAATTCTCCTGCTTCAGCCTCGAAAGTACTGGGATTACAGGCACCCACCACCATGCCTGGCTAAGTTTTGTATTTTTAGTGGAGATGGGGTTTAATTAGGTTGGCCAGGCTGGTCTGGAACTCCTGACCTCAGGTCATCCACCCACCTCAGCCTCCCAAAGTGCTGGGATTACAGGCATGAGCCACAGCGCCTGGCCTCTATTGCTTTCCTGTGTGATTTTTAACACTAAAAGAGATGGACAGTCTGTCTCCTTCCTGGAATTCGCAGAAAACTCCCTTGGAGGGGGTTAATGGCAGTTGTATTTTCAGGAGGCTCTCCTTTAGTCCAATAAGAGGAGTGTAGATAACATTACAAGTGTTTTCACTGTAAAATAATCTTTGTGCCAAAGCTGTGGATTCCTTCAATTGGAAGGTTCAATATTGTAAAGATATCATCTTATAAACTGATTTATAGATTCAAGTCAATCCCAATTCTATGCCAAAAGGTGTGTGTTTGTATATTTGTGCATGTGCATGTGTGTGCAAACTGACAAACTGATACTAGAATTCACATGGACTGAACTGACTTGTCTCCAGGCCAGAGTCAGAGGCAACAACCTGCCCACTGCTTAATGGTGGCTATGGTGCCTTCTTTCGGGGAGAAGCATGGAGCCTGCCCAGGACGGAGCCGCTTGTTCAACCTTGTGAAACCAATCCCTGGGTTTTCACCTTGACCCTGCCCATCCAGGGCCACCAAGAGGGCCCCTCCCATAGGAGACTGAAGTGAATTCACACACCTCACCATGCTTTGCATTCAACCAACAGAAGCTTGGCCTGGCCTGGCCTGGCCTGCCCTGGAGTACGGACTTACTGGTGAACTGACCTCTCCTGGATTAGGATCCGGCTGATGTTTAAGTACCGGCCTCAAAGGTATAGGGTAAAAGGAAACAACGTACATCTGTAGCACAAGGTGTCTCCTGATTATTTAAAAATTAGCTACATTCAGCTGGGCGCGGTGGCTCACGCATGTAATCCCAGCACTCTGGGAGGCCAAGGCGGGCAGATCATGAGGTCAGGAAATCGAGACCATTCTGGCTAACTTGGTGAAACCCCATCTCTACTAAAAATACAAAATATTAGCCGGGCATAGTGGCAAATGCCTGTAGTCCCAGCTACTCGGGAGGCTGAGGCAGGAGAATGGCTTGAACCCAGGAGGCGGAGCTTGCAGTGAGCAGAGATGCGCCACTGCACTCCAGCCTGGGCGTCAGAGTGAGACTCCGCCTTAAAAAAAAAAGAAAAATCATCCTGGCCAGATGCAGTAGCTCATGCCTGTAATCTCAGCACTTTGGGAGGCCAAGGCAGGTGGATCATTTGAGGTTGGGAGTTCGAGACCAGCCTGACCAACATGGTGAAACCCCATCTCTACTAAAAATACAAAAATATCCGGGCATGGTGGTGCATGCCTGTAATCCCAGCTACTCGGGAGGCTGAGGCAGGAGAATCGCTTGAGCCTGGGAGGCAGAGGTTGCAGTGAGCCGAGATGGTGTCATCGCACTCCAGCCTGGGGGAGAAGAGCAAAACTCCATCTCAAAAAAAATTTAAAAAATAAAAATCATCCTAGGGCTGGGCACAGTGGCTCATGCCTGCAATCAGCACTTTACGAGGCTGAGGTGGGAGGATTGCTTGAGGCTGGGAGTTTGAGACAAGGCTGGACAACATAGTGAGACCCCATCTCTATTAAAAAATAAAATAAAATAAAATAATTTTAAAGCCGAATGGACACTAAACTTCCCTGTATGTTTGGATATTTTATAATCAAATTTTAAATAAAGACTGAAAATTAGGGGGAAAAAATAAGTTCTGAAAGTCAACAAAACCTCCCAGTGGTGTAACAAAAAGGAGCAATGGAAAAAAACAGGAAGGGAAAGTGAGGAGATCAGTGCAGGGTGGCGTTCCAGACTGGGAAGGGGTAGGAGAAGGGTAGGAGAAAATGGAGAGGAGGCAACAGATAAGACACACATTTAGGGGGTCACCAAGACCACCCTCACTTCTGTCATTGACTGCAAGCTCAGGAGTCTCTAAGATCACCATCAGTTTCAGTAATTTGCTAGAAAGACTCACAGAACTCACTAGGATCAGTTATTCTCATGGTTGTGGCTCATTACAGTGAAAAGAATCAGATTAAAAGCAGCCCAGGGAAGAGGTCCATGGGTCCAGGAGAGTTCCAAGTGCCAATTTAATACCTGGTACAGTTGTGGACAGCACTAACTTCTCCCAGCAATGATAAGTGACATGATGTCACCCACCAGGGAAGCCTACCTGAGCCTTGGTGTCCAGGGTTTTTAATAGGGATCAGCATGTGGATAAGGCTGACCACTTGTGTGGCTCCCCTTAGATTCTAGCCCCTCCAGAGGTTAAGCTGATATCACATGGCCCAAAGCCCCCACCATAAATCACCACTGTTAGCACAAACCATATGGTGTGGCCCAAGGCCCCATGTAAACTCAGGCTGGACATTCCAAGAACTAAAAAATTACCTCCCAGGAGTAAAAGGCAAAGGTCAGACCTCTATTTGGATGAAGTTAATCCTTTACTGAGCAGACAAGAAAAATTCGAAGGGCTAAAGAGAGAAACGGGATTTGGATAGAAGATAGAAGAGTTTAAGGGGAATAAGAAAAACATTCATCTTGGTGCAATGTCAGTGCCACAGGGATGACAACAAGCCCCTCTGCCTTTACACATCGTGGAACCAGGCCACCAAACTGCTGAGGAATAGGATTTCGAACTAGTCATTCTGGGGCTAGAATTTATCATCTCATCTAATGTGAAGGTGGAAAAAGATATTTCAGATATTCAAGGATTCAAAACACTGAGATACCAAGCACCCTTTCTGCAAAAGGTATCTAGGGATATACTCCAGGAAAACTAGAATGAAATTCAACAAAGAGGATGCAAGTTCCTCAAAAGAGGAGGAGCAGTATGAAGGAGGACAGTCCTGCAGCAGCCCAGAGAACAGCTAGTGTGTCCACAACTGTTTATTTAATAAACAGAATAGGAGCAAACATCTGGATGATCTTGGTCCCATGGTAAATTTTTGTGGGTCACATAGTTAGTTTGAGAATCATCATTCTAGGAAAAACTAAAACCTTCATACAGTAACGTCAAAGTTGAAATAAAAGAAAATGAAAATGTGGCACGATACGAAGCAGTGAGTCCAGCTGGCATTTAATGATAATGCTTCACATGCCACTGGTTTAGTGAAATAAAAATACATCTTCATTATGGATCTACAGGATTAATATTTCCATAACCTCCATATTTTACATGGTCTATATTTTCAATTTCAGGCAGCACAAAGCATTGCACAAAGCAATTACATAGGTTACCAATAAACAGTAAAAAAAAATAGGCTGGGTGTGGTAGCTCATGCCTGTAATCCCAGCACTTTGGGAGGCTGAGGCGGGTGGATCACTTGAGGCCAGGAGTTCGAGACCAGCCTGACCAACGTAGTGAAACCCTGTCTCTACTAAAATGCAAAAAAAAAAAAAAAAAAAAAAAAAAAAAAAAAAAGTAGGTGACATGGTGGCACACGCCATTGAACCAAGCTACTTGGGAGGCTAAGCCACCAGAATGGCTTGAATCTGGGAGGCAGAGGCTGCAGCGAGCCAAGATCACACCACTGCACTCCAGCCTGGGGGACAGACCGAGACTCTGTCTCGAAAATAAATAAATAAATAAAGGCTGGGCATGGTGGCTCATGCTTGTAATCCTAGCACTTTGGGAGGCTGAAGCAGGCGGATCACTTGAGGTCAGGAGTTTGAGACCAGCCTGGCCAAGATGGTGAAAACCCGTCTCTAGTAAAAATACAAAAATTAGTTGGAAATCACTTGAACCTGGGAGGTGGAGGTTGCAGTGAGCTGAGATAGTGTCACTGCACTACAGCCTGGGCAACAGAGCAAGACCCCGTCTCAATAAAAAAAAACCATACATACATAAATAAAAATAAACAGTAAAAAAATAAAAACCACTTGTAAAAATTGGGAGGGGAGAGGGAAGGAGATAGAATATGTGATGAATTCCATATAGTTCATGGGGTTGAGGGGGAGTGCAGTGAAAAATCAAGTTACAATTTTATTTTTTTTTTGAGATGGAGTCTCGCTCTGTCTCCCAGGCTGGAGTACAGTGGCATGATCTCGGCTCACTGCAGCCTCTGCCTCCCTGTTTCAAGCGATTCTCCTGCTTCAACTTCCAGAGTAGCTGGTATTAGAGGCACGCGCTATCACGCCCGGCTAATTTTTGTATTTTTAGTAGAGACGGGGTTTCACCGTCTTGGCCAGGCTGGTCTCAAACTCCTGATCTCAACTGAGCCACCCACCTCGGCCTCTCAAAGTGCTGGGATTACAGGCATGAGCCACCGCGCCCAGCGAAGTATGAATTATTGATGGAATTAAGAGTTAGCCTCAGGGCCGCGCTCCGTGGCTCACACCTGCAGTCCCAGCACTTTGGGAGGCTTTGGCAGGAGGGTCGCTTGAGCCCAGGAGTTCGAGACCAGCCTGGGCAACGCAAGGAGCCCCCATTTCTACAAAAAATTAAAAAATTAGCCAGGCATGATGGCGCGCACACGTTGTCCCAGCTACTCTGGAGGCTGAGGCGGGAGGAGGATCGCTTGAGCCCAGGAGTTCGAGGCTGCAGTAAGCTGTGATTTCGGCACTGCACTCCAGCCTGGACGATAGAGCGAAACCCTGGCTCAAAAAAAGAAAAATTAAAGAAAAAAAAAGAGCATCAGCATCTTCTGTGTTTATAACGATGCAAAAGCTGACACTCCACCTTCACATGAGTAAGTCATTAGTTAAGGAAGTTTTCCCTAGAGGATTCTGGGTGTGAGGCCTGCACTTGTCTTCGTTAAGGCGTCCCCGCCAGCACGCGTCCGATTGTGGTGACCACATCCCCATTGCTACAACGGGGACATCGAAGCACAGAGGGTCGGGGCTTATAGGAGGCTGCCCTGCAAAAGACCCCTGACTCCTGTCTTTTCCTGCAGTGTACCACTGGCTGGAGATGCGGACCAAAATGCGCATCATGGGTTTCAATGCCGCTGCCATCAAGCCGCTGAACGAGGGTGCAGCCGCCGAGCTGGGCGCGGAGCTGCTGGGCGAGGGCATCATCTTCATCACCGCCTGCAGCTGCCTGATGCTGGAGTATTGGCGCCACCAGTTGCAGCAGCGCCGCAAGGAAAAGGAGCGACGTGTTGCCAGGGAGGCGCTGCGGGGCGAGGTGGGCCACTTGGGGCTGGCGCTCGAGGAGTTGCAGGCGCAGGTGCAGGCGACGTCGACGCAGCTCGCCCTGGAGGAGCTGCGCGCTCAGCTGCAGGAGGTGCGAGCCCACCTCTGCCTCCGAGACCCGCCGCCTGCACCCCCAGTTGCGCCGGCGTCCGAGAAATAGGAGGTCTCGGGGCCCTGGTCTTGGAGGTGACTGCTGTCTGGACTGCGAAGTCTCTGTCTTGGCCTATTCTCCGCACTGTCCCATCCTGGACCGGCCCAGCTGACACCACCCAGTCCTTCGGGGGCGCCGGAGAGATCCTGGGCTGGAGCTGATCGAACCTCCCTACTAACCTGCCCAGTGGTACCTTCCACTGGGACTCTCCGCCTCCTGCAGGTGGAACGTTCCAAGAAGGACCCCGCCCTATCCCACCCCGCCCCTGCCAGCGCATTTGTTGAGCACTTTGGAAAGACAGCGTCTTTTATCAGACCCCACCTCCCTACCGCTAGGTAGGCCAGCAGGACGTCCACCTCTTTTGGCAAAACAAAATTCTGCACCCGGATTTAGCCACCTCTCATTCTGTCACCCGCACCCTCACTCACCTGAGTGGACCCTTCCCCTAGGACGCTCATCCTTTGCACCGAACACCACCTACCTCCTCCTCATTGGTACAGACCATTGTAAAGATGCACAAAGTTCCTACGGACTTCCCGACCCGCCCCCTTCCATCTACCTCAGTCTTAGGGGGAAAGGTGGGGGTGAATCCTGGACTGCGTTAGCTCCAATGAGTCACCACCCTGCGGCTCCTGACCTTAATCCATCTTAGTACCTGTCATTGACATCCTCCCCTCCCTGAGTGGATCGATCCAACATAACCCCCCTCTTCTTCCACCTATGGCGCACCCCACTGGCATGGCTATGCTGGGTCTTCCAGGGAAACGCCTCCCAGCCCGGCATTCTGTGGTCTGTTCCAGCAGGACGTGGCCTTTTGGGAGGAAAAACCGGTCTTGACCAGGGCTAGTCCATTCTGGCTTTCAGGCTCAGTCACTTGGTCACCAGTCCCCAGTCCTGGACCTACTGCTACTGTCCTTTTATCCGGTCCTCCCTCGCTGTCCTCTTCAGTTGCCTTTGCTAGGGACCGGCCTGTCCCTTTACTACCTAAGTCATCGTCAGTTCGCCCAACTTCCCTCCAAATCTGCCCCTCACGGTACGCAGGGATCGCCCTTCCTTCCTGCCTTTGGACTGGTCCAGGTCCTCCTCCGCCCTCCTTCACGCAAAGGCCTCCTCCAGGGGGACTACCTGTCCCTCAGCCCAGAGGTCCCCCTGTCCAAGCGGGGTATTCCACCAGGCCATATGACCTACCCACCCGACAACTGAAGGGGGCGTGGATGAGCTCTGTGACTCTGAATGCTACTTTATAAATCGACTGTCAGCGTTTTCTAATTAAAGGAGCTCTGGGGTAAAGATCTTAAGAACGTGTCTGAGAACCATAATGTGCGTCTGCAAAATGTCATTGAAATTAGGAAAGAAGGCCGGACACAGTGGCTCACGCCTGTAATTCCAGCACTTTAAGAGGCCAAAGCAGGAGGACTGCTGGAGGCCAGGAGTTAGAGACCAACCTAGGCAACACAGCAAGACCGCATCTCTACGAAAAATGAAAATATTAGCTAGGCGTCATACCAAACGCCTGTAGTTCCAGCTACTTGGGAGGCTGAGGCAGGAGGATCCCTTGAGCCCAGGAGTTCAAGGCTGCAGTGAGCTGTGATCCTGCCACTACACTCCAGACTGGGTGAAAGAGCAAGACTCCAACTCATTAAAAAAAAAAAAAAAAAAAAAGAGGAAAGAAGCTGGGAGAGTGGTAGAGTGGGGGCAGAGAATCATCTTATGAGCCCTTTCCCAAATCAGAAACTGAGGCCTGAGGTAAGCAAATGGACTTGCCCAAGGCTACACAAAGTGAGGCTGCTTCTGGCCTCCCCTAGGGTGGTGAAGGGCAGGGTGGGATGGGGAGGAAGTGGCCTCCTAAGGGGCATGGGGAGGGAGGCTGGAGGGGGCAGAGATCATCCTGGCTGCGGGCCTGAGGATGAGTGAGCAGGCGCAATATGCAGGGTGGGAAGGAAGATGAAGGGAAGGTGGATTCCTGGGAGGAGGCAGGGGTTCTCAGCAGAGGACCAAATCTTCCTGGAGGGGCACCGGGGGCCGAGCACACCTCCATCCCCATCAGAACAGGCCTTCAAATCACTCCAGAGATCTTAGCATTTATAAAAACTGGCAGATTTATTCTGCAGGGGCCCATTTTCAAGAAGCTAAAGGTGAAGGTGGGAGGGGAGAAGTTTCCTCCCCTTCTCCTTTCTCCCTCATCTTATTTCCTCCAAGGGGTAAAAAAAATGGCCTGGACCCCAAAACCTACCCAAATAAAAAATCAAAAAACTGAGGTTCCAAAAAGTTACAGCATCTTATTTCCTCATAGAAAAGGGGAAGGAGCCAGAGGGAAGGGGAGTCCCTGGGGTGGGGGGATATCTCACCCCCAGCCCGGTGAGACATCCCCTCCCCTTAAATAGCTGCCCCAAATGGGGCAAGCCCAGGGCTATAGCATTTAAAAACTCCCACATCCCATTTTATCAAAACCAAAGAGAAAAAAAAATTTCCCTTTTCCCCCAAAACCCAAATATATATATATTTTTTTTTCTTAAAAAAACCAAAACTTTGAAGGCATTAAGCGTTAAAGTGAATCTAGAACAAGGGAATGTGAAATTCCCTCCTTCCTTCCCCCTTCCTGTGGGGTTCATTGGTGCATCCCCAGCAGAGGGACCGGCCCCAAGGGGATGGCAGAGGGGAAGGACCAAAGGGAGAAAAGGGCGGGGGCCTCCCCAGCCAATCAGCAGCCAGTGTGGGTGTGAGCAGGGAAGCCACACCCCCTTGGAGTTTTCCAAGTGGGATGGGGAGTGGGAACGATGCATTCCTGTGTAGTCTTCAGCCAATTCCAAGTCAAGTAGAGGCAGGGAAAGCAGGGTGACAGGCCGGGTGTGCGGAAAGGAGAAGCGGGTCTTCTGGGTCCCTGTGGTCAGGGAGAACCCCGCTTCCTCAGCTCCTGGACGAAGGCTGGAAGGAAACAAGGAGCAGAGGTCAGGGGCAGAGTCTCTGCCTCCTCCCTTCCAAAACAGGGCTCTTGCCCAGGGACATGATGCCTCCAAAATAAGTAAATGTTTAAGAACAAAACCAAAGCAAACCACCTCACCTTCAATGATTTCCTCTTTCACTTTCTGCAATTCCTTCTTCACCTCTTCCAGAAGCTCCTAAAATTAATGGGGTAAAACTAATCAGGAGGGGGTACCGGGACTTGCAGGAATGAATCCCCCTTCTTTTATTTTTTGAGAAGGAACCTTGCTCTGTTGCCCAGGCTAGGGTGCAATGGCATGATCACAGCTCATTGCAGCCTCAACTTCCCAGGCTCAGGTAATCCTCCTGCCTTAGCCTCCCAAGTAGCTGGGACCACAGTCACCTGCCGCCACAATCAGGTAACTTTTTCTTTTTCTTTTTTTTTTTGAAACAGAGTCTCCCTGTCACCCAGACTGCAGTGCAGTGGCCCAATCTCGGCTGACTGCAATCTCTGGCTCCCGGGTTCAAGCGATTCTCCTGCCTCAGCCGCCCAAATAACTGGATTACAGGTGCCCCCCACAAGGCCCAGCTAATTTTTGTATTTTTAGTAGAGACAGGGTTTCGCCATGTTGGCCAGGCTGGTCTCGAACTTTTGACTTCACGTGATCCGTCCCCATCAGCCTTCCAAACTGCTGGGATTATGGCTGTGAGCCACCATTCCCAGCCTAATTTTTGTATTTTTAGTAGCGATGGGTTTCACCATGTTGGCCAGGCTGGTCTTGAACCCCTGACCTCAGGTGATCCACCCACCTCGGCCTCCCAAAGTGCTGGGATTACAGGCATGAGCCACCGCACCTGGCCTTCTCAGGTAACTTTTAAAAGTTATTTTTAGAGATGGGGGTCTCCCGATGTTGCCCCAGGCTGGTCTCAAACTCCTGGCCTCAAGCAATGCTCCCACCTCAGCCTCGCAATGTGCTGAAATTACACACATGAGCCACCGTGCCCTGCCAGAGTCCCCTCTTTCTTGTTGATGGAAAAGCCAGGGGTAGTAGGTTTGAGACCTACCCCTACATCGACACCATGACATCGCTGTCAAGGTCGCAGAGTGACTGGAGGATTCTAGGGGAGAATTCTGGATCCTTGGAGCCGGAAAAGTACTGGAGAACATCCAGTACCAAGGTTGGCAAGCGCATTCCAGCCTCCTGCCAACTCCAATTGGTGATGGACAGCTGGGTCAATGTGCGGAAAGAATTCAAGGCACTCATCTGGAATGAGCGCGGTGATAGATTAATAATGTCTGTCACAGGTGCCAGAAAAGGGGGTGTGGAGTCTCGGTCATCCTTGACCCAATCCAGTTTCTCCATTTGTCAGATTGGAAACCTGAGGTTTCTGAGATGTTATCTAGGATCATACGGCATGCCAGTGGCAGGGGCCAGACCTAGATCTCTCTTGCTGTGGTCCCCAACTTCCCCCCCAAGTTACCTGTTTCACCCTCTGTAGGTCCGAGTAATCACTGGAGCTGGGCGTGCAGGGTTGGGTCTCGGAAGTGGTCACCGAAGAAGACGACTTCATCCTGGGGGAGTTGGTGTGGTTTGGGACAGCAATGAGATTAGAGAGAGGACCTGCTTCCCCGCCTCCTATTCCAGGGGTCACATTGAGCTCTGCCTTATAAATTGGGCAAGTCCAAGTATTTTTGGGGCCCCAGTTTTTTTTTTTTTTGGTTTTGGTTTGTTGTGTTTTGTTTTGAGACAGTCACATTCTATTTCTCAGGCTGGAGTGCAGGCATGATGATGGCTCGCTGAGGCCTCAACTTCCTGGGCTCAAGTAATCCTCCCACCTCAGCCTCCTGAGTAGCTGGGACCACAGGTAAGTGCTACCACGCCTGGCTAATTTTTGTAGAGATGGGGTGTCGCCATGTTGCCCAGGCTGGTCTTGACCTCCTGGGCTCAAGCGATCTGCCCGCCTTTACCTCCCCAAGGGCCCCAGGACCGATGGCCTACCTTGGCAAGGTTGTGCTGTTCTTCTCCCAGGGTCTCCGCACAGATTCTGGGGATAGGCAAGAAATCAGAAAGATCAGGGACAAAAGACTGCCCCCCAATCAATCTTACTCCCCCAACCTCATCAGCCCCTGATCAAAGCCCCATCTCAGGAGACTACAATCCCCAGCACCATTCGCCCTGACTCTCCTATAAGGGTGCTTAACATGTGAGAACAGAGTATTCTGGGATTTGTAGTTCCTGTGGCTGGACTGGGCACTCTACTCACCACTCTGGGCCGGGACTCTGGCCTCTGGCTCCTCCTGCTGGTAGGAAATAAAACTGCCATGAGCCAGCCCCTGCCACACCTCTGCCCATTTCCTCTTTCAGGTTCAAACCCCACACATCCCACTATCCCTACCCTCATGGTACGGCCTAAGAGATGTAGGGCAAGAAGAGTCCCTGACTTACATTGGCAGATTCATCCTTGGGGGTTTTCTCCCCAACTTGCGTGGCTTTCCTTCTGCAGGAGAGAAAAGCAAAAACACGTGCTTCCGTCACCCAACCCATCCCCTTCTGAGGGGAGTTCTAGAAATGTAGATCCTAGCGCATAGAATTCTGGAACTCCGAAAACCTAAGGAAACTCTAGTTTTAGAAATTCAAGAGATTGTGCTGGGCGCAGTGGCCTGTAATGCCAACACTTTGAGAGGCTGAAGCAGGTGGATCTCTTGAGGTCAAGAGTTCAAGACCAGCCTGGCCAACATGGTGAAATCCTGTGTCTACTAAAAATACAAAAATTAGCCGGGTGTGGTGACTCATGCCTGTAATCCCGGCTACTTAGGAGGCTGAGGCAGAAGAACTGCCTGAACCCAGGAGGCGGAGGTTGCAGTGGACCGAGATCATACCACTGCACTCCAGCCTGGGTGACAGAGCAAGACTCCATCTCAAAAAAAAAAAAAAAAAAAAAAAAAAAAAATTCAAGAGATTGTGGTTCTAGAATCAGGGTGGAGGAGGTTCTATGATTCTTATATTAGGGAACAGTAAGATTCCGAGGGTGGAGCGGTGCTGTGTTGGAACACTGAGATTGCAGGAACCTGAGTTCCCAGAATTCTGAGGCAGGATCTCCTACGGTTCTAGAATTCTGGGTTTTAGAACATCTACAGGCTACCTAGGTGGTTGCAAGCCTCAGGCATTTCATGACAAACCCCACCATTATATCCCAAACCTGGTTATCAAAGGGGGAACATTCACCAAAAGAAACAAACTAAACAGGAATTGGAGCCCTCCTCTGACTGGGCCCTACTGAACTGGAACTCCAGGTGACTTGGGGGTCCAGGCTCAGGCTCACCTCCGGGCCAGCATGGCGTTCATCTCTTCCATGAGTCCCCCACCTCCGCTTCGACCACTCTCAGCTTTGGGGGCTGTGGGCCCCCCTGAGGCCTCCTCCTGCTGGAGAAATTTAAAAGGGGCAGGAGCTTTAGGGGCAGGCCTTTTGGCCTTCCAGCCCAATGACACCGCCGGCAGCCCTGGCCTCATCCCCCATAAAAGCCCTGTTGCCCCCTGCCCACCTCTCCCGGCCCCTCACCTTGCTGACTTTCCTGAGTTTGGCTCCAGCAATAGCTGCGGCCAGGCCTGGGGCCCCAGCTCCCCCACCACCAGGGCCCTGTGCTGCCGGGAGAGGGGGTGCAGGGGGTGGTCCTCCCCCTGCTCCGTGCGCTGCAGCTGGGACCCCCGAAGGGGGCAAACCTGGGGGTGGGGGGGGACCTGGAGGAGGGGGAGGTCCTGGTGGTGGGGGTGGACCCCCAGCGGGGGGAGCAGGTGGGCCTCCTGAAACAAACACAGAAAAGGGGGCAGCTGAGAGAGAGAAGCCTCATTCTTCACTGTCCAGCTGGCTGGCCACTTCCTCCAGGGAGGCCCCCTCCCAACTCCCGAAGCTATCTGAGCATCACCTGCATTGGAGACCCGGCGCTCTATGTGCTCCGACGGGCCGGGCTGCTGCCTGTGGGGGGAGGCGAGAGAGCTGCCGTCAATCAGGGCCCTAAGGATGGCCAGCGAAGGGGCCAGCGACCTCCGTCCTCTCTCTCAGAGGTCTCCAGGGTGGCTGGCTCCTAATACTCACCCAAGCCTTCCTCCCCTAGGGAACCAAGAAGGGGGCTGGGTGAGAGTAGGGGGAATGGAGGGCAGGGCAGCGACAGGGAGAGATCAGGATGCGAGATCCCAGTCACTAAACTGTCAGGAACACCGAATTACAAAATGCCCAAGATTCTTTCTTTTCTTTTTTTTTTTTTGAGACTCTGTCACCCAGGCTGGAGTGCAGTGGCTCGATCTTGGCTCACTGCAACCTCTGCCTCCCGGGTTCAAGCGATTCTCCTGCCTCGGCCTGCCGAGCTGGGATTACAGGCACGGGCGCCACCATGACCGGCTAATTTTTGTTATCTTCAGTAGAGACGGGATTTCGCCATGTTGGCCAGGCTGGTCTCAAACTCCTGACCTCAGGCGATCTGCCCGCCTCGGCCTCCCAGAGTGCTGGGATTACAGGCGTGAGCCACCACGCCCAGCCACAAGATTCTTTCAACCACCATATTCTGATTTCCAGGAATCTGCAGGGACCAGGAGGTTCTGCAACTCTGAGTGTCAGAAGTTTCTTGAACATTCTGAAAACTGCAAGTTGGCTGGGTTCTGAACTCTAGGAGTCAAGGGTTCCAGAACATATGGAACTCTGGCAGCGGCTAAGGTTCCCCACCCAGGGCCCAGCCCCACCTTTTCTGCTGCTCCACCTCCTCCGGGGAGGGGCCGTTCGGGACCGACCAGGTGGGAAGTGCTGGGGGTGGAGGGGGCCCACCTCCTGAAAGGTGAGAGAGAAAGGGCCATGGATCAGTCCCAGAACTCTGCTCAGCTCTTGGCGCTTCCCTTGCTCTCCCAGGCCTCCCAGGAATCCTGCCCAGAGGCGCTCACTTCCTCCTTCCAGAGGCCCTGAGGCTCCAGGCCCAGGAGGACGCACATTGGGAGGTGAGGCAGCACCAACTTCCCTGGCCTGAGTTGCCCTAAGGTAGGTGCTGTTGTGATGTCCCAGTGACAGGAGAAGCTAAGGCCCGGGGAACAGTCACTTGCCCCAGATTTCTCCAGGGTGGAATGTGCAGGAACAAGACTTGAATTCAGGCTGATTCCAGCAGCCAGGCTCTTAACCACTGTTGGTTTGTTTCGAGACAGAGTCTCACTCTGTCACCCAGGCTGGAGTGCAGCAGTGCAATCACGGCTCACCACAGCCTCCACCTCCCGGGTTCAAGAGATTCTCCTGCCTCAGCCTCCTGAGTAGCTGGGATTACAGGCGCCTGCCACCATGCCTGGCTAATTTTTGTATTTTTAATAGAGATGGGATTTCACCATGTTGGCTAGGCTGGTCTCGAACTCCTGACCTCAAGTGATCCACTTGCCTCAGCCTCCCAAAGTGCTGAGATTACAGGCGTGAGCCACCGCACCTGGCCCCTGGCTAGCTCTTAACCACTGTTACAGCCACTTGGACCTTACCTAAGAACCTGGAAAGGTAAAGAGCTTCTTCCTCACCTACCTCCAGGCCTCTGGCCCTAGCACCTGAATTGAATTGGCTACGAATTAACAATGAATTAGCCCCAATTTACAGATGACTCAACTGAAGCCCACTGTATTTTTCTGTGTGCCCCAGAGGAGCAAGCCCCTTCCGCACTAGCACAGAAGTTGTCCCACGAAGCAAACACCCCTGCATTTGGTGACTTTCAGTTCTACAGCAGTGATTCCAGGCCAGATGCACGGCAGTCACCTAAAACCTCACTACTCAGTCACGTCCGCAGACCAGCAGCCTGGGTATCACCAGGGCACTTGTGAGAATGTGGAGTCTCAGTCCGCCCAGCCCACCTGCACCAGAGCCTGCACTTTAACCAGATCCCCAGGTGATTCATGTGCACGTTAAGGTTTAAGAAATAGCAACTGGGCTGGGCGCGTGACTCGCGCCTGTAATCTCAGCACTCTGGGAGGCCGAGGCGAGTGGATCACCTGAGGTCAGGAGTTCGAGACCAGCCTGGCCAACACTGCGAAACCCCGTCTCTACTAAAACTACAAAAATTAGACAGGCATGTTGGTGCACACCTATAGTTCCATCTACTCAGGAGGCTGAGGCAGAATTGCTTAAACTCAGGAGGCGGAGGTTGCAGTGAACTGAGATCACACCACTGCACTCCAGCCTGAGAGACAGAGTGAGACTCCATATTAAAAAAAAAAAAAAAAAAAAAAAAAAAAGGCCGGGCGCAGTGGCTCACGCCTGTAATCCCAGCACTTTCGGAGGCCGAGGCGGGCGGATCACGAGGTCAGGAGATCGAGACCATCCTGGCTAACACGGTGAAATCCCGTCTCTACTAAAAATACAAAAAATTAGCTGGATGTGGTGGCGGGTGCCTGTAGTCCCAGCTACTCGGGAGGCTGAGGCAGGAGAATGGCATTTACCCGGGAGGCAGAGCTTGCAGCGAGCGGAGATCGCGCCACTGCACTCCAACCTGGGGACAGAGCGAGACTCCGTCTCCAAAAAAAAAAAAAAAAAGCAACTGGGCTGGGTGTAGTGGCTCATGCCTGTAATCCCAGCACTTTAGGAGGCTGAAGTGGGAGGATCACTTGAGCCCAGGAGTTCAAGACCAGCCTGTAGACCATCTCCACAAAAAGTAAAAAAAAAAAAAAAATTTGAAATGATCCAGGTGGCCAGACATGGTGGCTCACACTTATAATCCCAGCACTTTGGGAGGCAGAGGCAGGTGGATCACTTGAGGCCAGGAGTTTGAAACCAGCCTGGCCAATATGGTGAAACCCCTTCTCTACTAAAATACAAGGGCCGGGCATGGTGTCTCATGCCTGTAATCCCAGCACTCTGGGAGGCCTAGGCGGGCGGATCACAAGGTCAGGAGATAGAGACCATCCTGGCTAACACGGTGAAACCTTGTCTCTACTAAAGATACAAAAAATTACCCGGGTGTGGTGGCTCACGCCTATAGTCCCAGCTACTCGGGAGGCTAGGGCAGGAGAATCGCTTGAACCCGGGAGGCGGAGGTTGCAGTGAGGCAATATCGTGCCACTGCACTCCAGCCTGGGCAACAGAGTGAGACTCTGTCTCAAAAAAATAAAAATAAAAACAAAATACAAAAAAATAGCTTGGGCATGGTGGCACATGCCTGTAATCCCAGCTACTCAGGAGGCTGAGGCACGAGAATCACGCGAACCCGGGAGGTGGAGGTTGCAGTGAGCTGAGGTTGCACCACTGCACTCCAGCCTGGGTGACAGAGCAAGACTCTGTCTCAAAAAACAAAACAAAAAAAGAGCCAAGTATGGTGGTGCACACCTGTATTCCCAGCTACTTAGGAGGCTGAGGCAAGAGGATCACTTGAGCCCAGGAGGTGAAGGCTGCAGAGAGCCATGATTGTGCCAGTGCACACCAGCCTGGGCAACAGAGCGAGATCCTGTTTCTGGGGCAGGACCTACCTATGTCTTGATCTGGGAGGTGGTTTCCCGGGAGTGTGCCTGTGTAAAGTTCATGGAGTACTGATCCCTGAGTAATCGTGCATTTTTTTTGTGTTTGTTTTCTTTCTGAGACGGAATCTTGCTCTGTCGCCAGGCTGAAGTGCAGTGGCCTGATCTCGGCTCACTGCAACCTCTATCTCCTGGGTTCAAACACTTCTCGTCCCTCAGCATCCCGAATAGCTGGGATTACAGGCGCGCACCACCACGCCCAGCTAATTTTTGAATTTTAATAGAGACGCAATTTCACCATGTTGGGCACGGTGAAACTCCTGACCTCAGGTAATCCGTGTGCCTCGGCCTCCCAAAGTGCTGAGATTACAGGCATGAGCCACGGCGCCGGGCCAATGGTGCATTTTACACATAGGTGCACACGGTCACACTGGAATGCACAAAATGCTAGTGATAATTTTCCATGATAACAATGAATTCGCTCTATTTTACCGACGAGTAAACCAAGTCCCAGCAGGGTAAAGCGGCAGCCCCAGGCCACACAGCCGCATTCACTGGTCCCCTTTGCCCGCCGCCATTTCTGACCTTCCAACGCCTCTAGGGCACTGGCCATGCCGGCGGCAAACTGGGCCGCATCCTCCTTGCTGCCGAAGTTGAGGCCCCAGACCTGGCGAGCGTCGCGCCACTGATGGAAGTTGGGGGTGGCCTGGTTATACTTGACACCCCGGACGATGGCACAGTTGATGACCACCTGGTGGGAGGGGAAAGGGGGGTGAGGGGCGGCGGGCGCAGGGGTGGGGCGGGTAGGGGTTCAGCCCACAGAGGGGGCCGGCGGGAAGCTGCACCTGCTGGTCGGGCTGCATCTTCCGGCCCACGACGCGAAAGGAATTGGCCGTGGGGTTGTGGTAGATCTGGACGCGGCTGAAGGCCTGGGGACCCGTGCCAGCAGGGAGCCATCGCTTGTTGCCATCATCATAAAGCATCACAGTGGCCCGGCTGGAACAGATGACCGTCTCGCTGCAGGCGGGAGGAAAAGGGAGAGGGGCCGGTCACCTTCTTATCTGGGTCTCTCCTGGGAGATTCCAAGGGACAAAGACAGTGTGTGGAAGGAAGAGAGTGACACAGAGGGAGGCAGGAGCCACGTGGACAGAAGGAGACGGGGGAGACAGATCAGGAGAGAAAATCAGATCAGGAGAGACAGGCAAACACACAAACGAGATGCAAGAGACAGACGCAGAGAGAGGTGGGAAAGGGAGAGTCGGGTTGACAAAGAGGAGAGACAGACTGAAGGCAGACAGACAGATGAACAGATGGGGGAGGGGTGGGGAAAAAGGATGGGCAGACAGGGGACCTGGAGGAAGAGGCAGACACAGAAAGAGATAAAGATGGTCTTGGCGTGGTGTCTCACACCTGTAATCCCAGCACTTTGGAGGTTGAGGCAGGAGGATCACTTGAGCCCAAGCATTTCAGAGCAGCCTGGGCAACATAGTGAGACCCCATCTCTAATAATAATAATTATTATTATTATTTTTATTTTTGTTTTTGAGACAGAGTCTTGCTCTCTGTCACCCAGGTTGGAATGTGGCCTCGACCTCCTGAGCTCAAGCGATCCTCCCACTTCAGCCTCCCAAGTAGCTGGGACTACAAGCATGCACCACCACACCCGACTAATCTTTTTTTTTTTTTTTTTTTTTTTGAGACAGAGTCTTACTCTGTCACCCGGGCTGTCCTCGGCTCACCGCAACCTCTGCCTCCCAGGTTCAAGCCATTCTCCGCCTCAGCCTCCTGAGTAGCTGGAATCACAGGCATGCACCACCAAGCCCAGCTAATTTTTTGTATTTTTAGTAGAGACGAGGTTTCACCATGTTGGCCAGACTGGTCTCGAACTCCTGGGCTCAAGTGATCCATTTGCCTCAGCCCCACAAAGTGCTGGGATTACAGGGGTGAGCCACCACACCCAGTCCACAAAAAAACTTTTTTAATGAAAAATAAAAAACACAACACAACAAAACTAATAAGAAGGAAAAGATAAAGATGGAGAGACAGGCTGAGGGGTGTAAGAGGCCGAGGCCAATGCCAGTGGGGGGATGCGGGTTAGCAGAGCAGAGGGCAGGAGGGAAGACAGAGGGGCCAGAAGGAGGCCAAGAGCCCAGAGCTGCACTAGGGACCAGCCCCTGCCTGACCTCAGTTTCCCTATCTCTACGCACCCCCCTCCACCACTGCCTGCTCAGGAAGAAGCTGAGGCTTGGGAGGGGAAGTGTGAGGCCTGCAGCAGGTTGGGGACCCATCCCAGACCTCTGAGCTCTTCCTCCAAAGGGACTTCCCGCTGCCCACCCCTCGCCTGGCTCCCCAGGGCACTAGCGGCCATTCCCCAGATACTCCCTGCTCTGTGTCTGGCCTATATTGGGTGGGGCTGGGGATGAAGACACAGCAGTGACCCAGACAGCTCCGGCACCACCCTCCTGGGGCTCACAGTCCAGTGTGGGAGACACAGCTGTCCCCAGACGGTACCAACCCAGGTTTAGGACCAAGGAGCCCAGGGTCTGGGGGTACCCTGAAGGAACGCCTGCCCCAGCCTGGAGAGTCAGGCAGGACTTCCTGGAAAAGGCAACGTCTGACTTAGCCTGGGTGGGAGGTGTCAGTAAACTGGTGCAGAGTTCAGGAGCTGATATCCCCAGACCTGGGTTCAAATCCCCACTGAGCCACCTACTTCATGTGACTCAGGCACATGACCTTCCCACTCAAGACCTCTTCTTGCCTGTGAACTGGGAAAATGACAGTCCCCACCTCCAGGGCAGTGGGGGAGGGGCACATGAATCTGGGCACCTAAAGGGCTTGGTACAGCCGGGTGTGGTGGCTCACGCCTGTAATTACAGCATGTTGGGAAGCTGAGGTGAATGGATCGCTTGAGCTCAGGTGTTCGAGACCAGCCTGGGCAACATGGTGAAATCCCGTCTCTACAAAAACGTACAAAGATTAGCTGGGCGTGGTGGTGTGCACCTGTAGTCTGAGCTACTCAGGAGGCTGACGCAGGAGAATCGCTTGAACCCAGGAGGTGGAGGCCGCAGTGAGCTGAGATCACGCCATTGCACTCCAGCCTGGGCGACAGAGTGAAACTCTGTTTCAAAAAAAAGAAAAAAAGCTAAGTGCTTGGTACAGCGTCCAGCACACGCCGAGAGCTCAGTAACTGTCAACATCCCTCTCATGGGCACCACTGGGGCCCGGGACAGCTACAACCCTCGGGACCCTCCCACCAGCCCCTCTGGGAGGTTCAATCCCCTCTCCCCCAGTGAGGAAACTCAGGCCTAGACAGGAACTCAAACAGGAAGTGACTTGCCCAAGGTCACACAGGGGAAGGGGAAGCACTGGTCTCCTCCCCACCCCACCCACACCAGGCTTTTTCCTGAAATGGGGAAGTTGGTGGTCAGAGGTTTCCGGGGACAGAAATTAGACACCCCCCGCAAAGCCTCTGTCTCTAGGAGGGCTGGGGGCTGGGTGTGACACTGATGCTGGGAAGTCAGGGCAGGGAAAGTCCCTAGGCAGACTCAGCTGTGGGTAGGGACCTGGGGTAGGGACCCTCAAATTTACCTAATTGTGCCATCTCCCTCTTACTAGGCATTTCAGGTGGATCAGGGGCCTTAAGCCCCTCCCCCAAAGTCACTCATTTTATTCTCACTGCAGCTTATCCAGAGAGCCACTCATTCTAATTTTGCAGGTGAGGACTAGAGGCCCAGAGAGGTTGAGTGACTTGCCCACAGTCACACAGCTACTGAGGAATAGAGTGAAGATGTGAATTCAGGCTTCCAAGCCTTAACCACCGGGAACTGTGTGGGCCCCACCCAAACACCAGGTGCCCTTTCCAGACAAACACAGCCTCGGGGGCTGTTTCTGGCTCCTGCTGCCCCTGGCAAGGCAGGGTTAAGGCCTCGGCCTCACCCACACCTGCCACCCACACCCAGGGCCGACTCTGGCCAGGAGCCCGGGGCTGCTGCTGCCCCGCCCTGGCTGCACTTTGCTCTCCCAGGCAGCCCTGCCCTACTGAGGCTCTGGACTGGCCGGAGAACAGGGCGCCTGCTGGGTGACCAAGGGGTGGTCTTGCCCCTCTCCAGGGAACACTATACCCATTGTAACAGAAGGATCCTGTTAAAACACGAGGTGGGGCGGGGAACGGTGGCTCATGCCTGTAATCCCAGCACTTTGAGAGGCCGAGGCGGGAGGATTGCTTTAGTCCAGAAGTTCAAGACCAGCCTGGGCAACACAGTGAGACCCCCCATCTCTAAAAAACAAAACAAACTAACAAAAACCTACAAGGTGGGATGTCTCTTCTTCTTCTTGAAGGCTCCAGGCTCCTACGGAATCAATGCCAAGTTCTCTCCAGGGCCTCCGTGATCTGTGTGTCCTCAGATCTCATTTCTTCCCGCTCCACTGTCCCTTGGGGACTCTGTTCCAGACCCTAGACCTCCTACCCCCATGCTGCTCTTCCCGCAGGCCAGACACATTCCTGCCTCGGGCCTGTGTGCTGCTTCTTCCTCAGGCCTAGCCTCTCCCCACTTTCAGGTCTCTCCTTAGATGTCACCCCTTCCAAGAAGCCGTCCCTCACTCCCTTAGCTGGAAACGCTTCTCTCCTTTTCATCCCCTGCTGCACATTTCATAGCAGTGACCCCTGCCCAACACAATATTTGTCTGTCTCCGCTGCCAAAAAGGCAGAAATTTGTGTCCCAGTTGTTCACTGCTGTGTCCCCAGAACCTAGAATGGCGTCCAACACATAGTAGGGACTCAATAGTTACGAAACATCTGTAAAAAAAGGCAAACTTTGGCCAGGGGAGGTGGCTCACGCCTGTAATCCCAGCACTTTGGGAGGCTGAGGCAGGAGGATCACTTGAGCCCAAGAGTTTGAGATTGGCTTGGGAAGGCTGGGTGTGGTGGCTTATGCCTGTAATCCCAGAACTTTGGGAGGCCAAAGCAGGTGGATCTCTTGAGGTCAAGAGTTCGACACCAGCCTGGCCAACATGGTGAAACCCTATGCCTACTAAAAATACAAAAATTAGCCAGGCATGGTGGCTCATGCCTGTAATCCCAGCTACCCAGGAGGCTGAGGCAGGGGAATCACTGAACCCAGGAGGCAGTTGCAGTGAGCCGATCTCAGACCACTGCACTCCAGTCTGGGAGACAGAGCGAGACTCTGTCTCAAAAAAAAAAAAAAAAAAAAAGGAGAGAGACTAGCTTGGGCAAGATGGTGACCTCCGTCTGTACAAAAAACTTTAAAATTAGCTGGGTGTGGTGGCGCTTGCCTGTAGTCCCAGCTACTCAGGAGGGTGAGGCAGGAGGATCACTTGAGTCCAAGAGGATGAGGCTGCAGTGAGCCTTGTTCAGGTCACTTGCACTCCAGCCTGGGCAACAGAGCAAGACTCCCTCACAGAGCAAGACTCCCTCACAAAAAAAGGCAAACTTTTACCTAGGACACCTAACATTTCTCAGTCAGCCTGGGTCCCAGACACTCTTCTTGGTGCTTGACACCAATTTCCCTGCTGCATGACTCTACAACCTCATGGGATAGGCTCTGACGCTCACCCTTTTGACAAGGGGGAATTGCAGGCACAGAGGAGTGAAGGCACTTGCCCCAGATCACACAGCAAGTAAGCAGAGGGGCTCATAGTTGAAACGAAGTTCCCACAAGTTCTTAACTTCATTTAAAGATGAAGAAGCAGAGCTAAATTGAAATTTTTAAAAGCCAAAGTACAAGGTAGTGTTGATCAGAGGCTTTACAAAACCAAAAAAAAGGTCGGGTGCGGTGGCTCATGCCTGTAATCCCAGCACTTTGGGAGGCCAAGGCAGGCGGATCACAAGGTCAGGAGTTTGAGACCAGTCTGGGCAACATAGCGAAACCCCGTCTCTACTAAAAATACAAAAAATTAGCCAGGCGTGGTGGCGGGCGCCTGTAATCCCAGCTACTTGGGAGGCTGAGGCAGGAGAATCACGTGAACCCAGGAGGCGGAGGTTGCAGTGAGCCAAGATCACGCCACTGCACCCCAGCCTGGGGGACAGAGCAAGACTCCGTCTCAAAAACAAAAACAAACAAACAAAAAAGGTAGGCTAGGCGCAGTGGCTCAAGCCTGTAATCCCAGCACTTTGGGAGGCCGAAGCAGGCGGACCTCTTGATGTCAGGAGTTTGAGACCAGCCTGACCAACATGGTGAAACCCTGTCTCTACTAAAAATAGAAAAATTTGCTGGGCGTGGTGGCGCGTGCCTGTAATTCCAGCTACTCAGGAGGTGAGGCAGGAGAATTGCTTGAACCTGGGAGGTGGAGGTTGCAGTGAGCTGAGATCGCGCCACTGCACTCCAGCCTGGGCGACAGAGCAAGACTCCATCTCAAAAAAAAAAACAGTGAGGAGCATATATAAATATATCTGCACTCAGAGTGGTGATATATGCAGAGACTGTTTCCCAAGACACTAACTGTGGCTGCCTCCATTGAGGGGAACTCAGGAACTGGGGAGGGAAGAAACAAATATTTTGTACCATTTATCTTTTGAGACAGAGTCTCTCACTCTGCACCCAGGCTGGCAGTGGTGTAATCTCAGCTTACTGCAGCCTCCACCTCCCAGGTTCAAGCAATTCTCCTGCCTCAGCCTCCCAGCCTCCACTTCCCGAGTTCAAGCGATTCTCCTGCCTCAGCCTTCTGAGTGTCCGGGATTACAAACGTGTGCCACCACGCCAGGCTAATGTTTCTATTTTCAGTAGAGATGGGGTTTGGGCGTTTGCCACATTGGCCAGGCTGGCCTCAAACTCCTGACCTCAGGTGATCTGCCTGCCTCGACCTCCCAAAGTGCTGGGATTACAGGCATAAGCCACCAGGCCCAGCCACCATTTCAATAATTTCAGTAAGTATTTCAAACTGCTTATTATTTGTTTTCTTATCATGGGTTGAAATTACCTATAAAAACCTAACTCACTACTTAAGTTCAATAAATAAAACTGTAAACTACACAAAAGCCAGAACGAAAATCCCATAGCCATAAAACGGGGGTGCGGGGGCTGTGAGATGGAAAGGAGTTCTGCCCATTTCCAGTGTGTTTTCCCGAAGTCTAGAACCCTCCATTGGACATGAGAACACTTTAATTTTCCAGCCAGCCCAGGACCCACTCCTCCCTGCAAGTCCCCACATTTTGGAAAACTCTAGCACATGGCGGATGAAAAGACGGTTCAAGTTGCCTCCTTGTTGTGTGGCTTTGCCTCTCTGAAACTCAGTTTCCAGCCCTGGAAACAATAACTCACTGGGTTCATTGTAAGGATTAAAAGAGATAATGGACAAAAAGCCCTAAACGCAGGAACTGTAACTTGGTACACGCTCCACATGAAGGAGAGAGCTTCCCATCACCAGAGGTAATCAAGCATGGTGAATCCGGTTTTCACAAAACTTGCAGTCTTACCCTTCCCTTCACTGTCCCCTGAACCCAAGACTTAGCCCATACCCTCCTTATACCATAAAACCTATGATACATATACACCACCCTTCCAAACGACAAATCTTCTTTTGTCGGGGATGGGGCTACTCTAGTCCCTTCCTCCTGGTGGGCCTCAGTTTCCCATAAGTGAATAGGAAGATAAATGTTGCAGCTTCGGTTTCATTTGGCTTATCTGAATTATCTTAAGAGTTTTCACAGTGAAAGCACGTTCCTTTTTTTTTTTCTTTTTCTTCATTAAGAACACGGAAAGCATGTTATCTCTATTTTTTTTTTTTTTTTGAGACAGGGTCTCACTTTGTCACCCAGGCTGGAGTGCAGTGGCAAGAATATGACTCATTGCGGCCTCAACCTCCCCAGCTCAAACGATCCTCTCGCCTCAGCCTCCAGAGTAGCTGGAACTACAGGCGCATGCCACCACACCCAGCTAATTTTTGTATATTTTGTAGAGACGGGGTTACACCATATTGCCCAGGCTGTTCTCAAACTCCTGGGCTCAAGCGATCCTTCTGCCTTGGCCTCCCAAAGTGTTAGGATTACAGGCATGAGCCCCGGCGCCTGGCCCTGTTTGAGTTTAATAGGCACCTTGCCTAACTTTCCTGTGCCTCAGTTTCCCCATCTATAAACTGAGTACCGGGGTGGGGAGGCCACAAGGTTGTAATAGTATCATTGTTCGAACTGCCATGAGGGGCCAGGTGTGGTGGCTGACGTCTGTAATAATAACACTTTAGGAGGTCGAGGCGGGTGGATCACCTGAGGTTAAGAGTTCGAGACCAGCCTGGCCATCACGGTGAAACCCTATCTCTACTAAAAATATAAAAATTAGCCGGGCATGGTGGCAGGCACCTGTAGTCCCAGCTACTCGGAAGGTTGAGGAGGAGAATCGCTTGAACCCAGGAGACGGAGGTTGCAGTGAGCCGAGATCATGCCATTTCACAACAGCCTGGGCAACAAGAGCAAAATTTCCGTCTCAAAACAAACAAACAAACCAACAAAAAAACCAGCCAGAATTGCTGTCAGGCACAAAAATGCCCCACATAAAATAGATGCTTGATCAAATGGTCTCTTATTTTTTAAAAATAAAAATAGCTATTATTGGAAGAAGAAAGAAATGGACCCCAGTTCTCCCCAAGTCCCTTCTGCCCTGAGATTCTAGACCTCTGCCTCGCTTCTCTGTCTTCCCAGCACCCCAGCTCCAGTCCCGGACACAGCCAACACTCAACAAATATTTGTCAAACTGGGAGAAAAAGAACTATATCTTGTAATTTTCCATCTTAACATCCTCTCTTCCAACTGCCCCCAGGACTGTCCCCAGCCAAACCAGCCAGAAATCAGAGGATCCTAGGCTCCTCCACCCCTCCAACGTTGCCTAGGAATTTCTGAGGGATCTTGGCCATGTCTTTTTCTCTTTGAGCCTCAGTTTCCCCAGCTGGGTAATAGGGGCATGGGTTTTGAATTCTGGCTGTCCTTGGAGAAGAGGCACAGCCCAGGAAGTCGGGTGTGACCACCTGCAGGGGAGACCCCCTGGAAAGGTGGGAGTGGCCTTTTGGTGGGACAGGCATCTGGTCATTTCTGCACCGCACCCCACCCCAGCACCCCCACAAGACGGGATGCTTGGCCACCACCACAGCAAGAGGTGGGCCTTGTGGGAGGGCCAGGGCTTCCAGGGCTGGTGCTGGTGGTGGTGGTGGTGGTGGGGAGGACAGGGGGCCGGCCCAGACACCGCTCCTGCCCTTTTACGGTTGCAGTGAGTGAGGCAGCACTAACTCGGACATCCGCCATCCGCCTTCCACCGAGCCTGGGACCGGAAACGCGAGGGGGGGTGGAGGGGCGGGGCTGGGGGGCAAGGGGAGAGAAGAGTCCCGGAGGAAGAGGGCGAAGGAAGAGAGCGACGCTCCCTAAACTGACCCCTCTCCAGGGCGGACTTGGAAGGGATGTTGCTATAATGGGGAGCGGATAGGCAGGAAGTCTTGAGGGTATCTGTGGGTGTCCTCCTTGCTCCAAATTTTCCAGCCATGCCTTTCACATCAGAAGGAACAAACGCGGGAGGGGGATTCTCTAGTGGTCATAAAAAGGAATGCCACGCCACTCCGATGTCAAAGGGCAGGGGTTCAGGAAATGCGGGGGATGTGGGCACCACGGGGTTAATCCCCAACCGTCCCCAGGGGCCTCCCTGCTCAGGCTGGGGGCTTTGGGGCAGGAAGTCCCAGAGAGAGTAGAGGAAGGGAGATAGTATTGTCAGGCTCTGGCCCCATGGGAGAGATTATGGGGGGCCAGGGGAGGGAAGAATAGGGGGGATGGTTGGGCCCCCCTGCCCACACTGGCCCCGCCCTCAGGTGAGCCCAGGAGTTCGGGGGAGGCCCCGGCCAGACCAAATCCCTGGGTCCCTTGGGCCGCCACCCCCAGGATTAAATTCCTGGGAAGATAGCTGGAATTATCTGGGAAGCCTGGGTCCCTAGGGAAGAGGGCTATGACCTTGAAGCTTTCCAGCTCCCCCTCCTCCAACCCCAAGGCTCCGGGTGGATAGGGGGACGGTGAGCAAAGGGGGAGGGGCCGTGGTGGGGAAGGCAGCCGGCCTACAGCGCTTGGTGCCCGCCCCCCACACCAGCTGTCTCGACAGGTGAGTCAGGAAGACAAAGGCCCCCTTCCCCCAGCTGCCGCGCCCCCTCCCTCTCCAGGGCCGCGCAGGTGGGGGAGCCGGGCCGCCCTTATGGCCGGAGGCGGGGAGCCGCCCTCTGCTCCGAGCGCCCGCTCGGTCCTAGGCACGGCCAGTTAAGCAGATTGTGTGCGGAGCGACGGGGAAGGGGGGGGTCCCACCAGACTCTGGAGGCTGCGTCCAGGTCCCTGGATCGGTTCACACCAGCCTCCTCCACAGGAAGACCTAAGTGACCCCCAAAATCCAGGGGATTAAGAAGTACCCCCGAAGTTATGGAGCGCGGTCCCACTTGGGGAGACTTTTTCCAGCACCAAGTAAACGGGGGACCTGCACACCCAGGGTCTGAGTCTCAGTCTCTCTTCCAAGTCCCAGGGTATCCCAAATCGGTCCCCCACAATCCTTCCCGGACCTCGAGCTGAAGTCTGGGGGGAGGGGGAGGAGAGTCTGAGCCCTGCCTCAATCCTGGCATCCCTGCGGGGAGTCGCTGCCAACTTTGAGGTCCTCTAAAAAAAGTCTTAACAATTCGGGAGTCCTCCGAGCGCCCCCAAATCTTGAGGGCTCCCAGGAGAACCTCACCGCCACCACCCCCCGAGCTTGGGGAGTCAGTCGTGGAGAAGTGATCGACGGTTCTGGGGCGCGTCCAAGGGGATTCAGCTCAAATCCGAGGCTCCCAAGGATCTGTCCCCAAATTCCAGCCCGGAGCTAGCTGGGGGGGAGGGGGACAAAGGCGGGGCGCGGAGCCCGCCCGGGCGGGGACGGGTCGGGGGGCAGGTCCGGCTCACCTCATGGCTGCTCGGCGGGCGGGCGGCTCGCCCACGGGCTGGCTGCTCCCGGGGCGCCCCTGGCTGGAGGTTCAGGGGTTCGGGGCTGGCTCCGGGCTCGGCTCAGGCTCCCCCAGGGTCCCGCCCCATAGAGTCCGGCTTCCTGGGGAGAATGTGGACCGGGCCGGGGCGGGTCTCCGGGCGCCGCTTCCCTCAGGCGGTCTGATGAGAGGTTCCTGCAGCAGAAAGGGGATGCAGCGTCCGCTCCCCAGCGCGCACCCCTTGCCGGTGGCGGCTACAGTGTTACTCTTACTACTGTACTTCTCTTCGTTACATTTCGTTCCAAAATTCCACTCCCCGCACCCACAATGCCCCGCGCCTTAAAGGGGCCGCGTGCGCCTCCAGGCGAGGGGGTGGAGGGCGCTTAAAAGGGCAACTCTGCACCCTCGGCTTCCGCGATCTCGCTCCTCTCCCCAATGTTGTAGCCCAGGGGTGCACCCTGGGAATCACCCCCACCTGAGGGGCAAGTTGGTGAAGGGGAAGGGGACCTCCCTTGCTTCCTAGTTCGCTCCCACTGTGGGAATTCTGAGGAGGGTCTCGGAAGGGGCGCGATTTCTTTCCCCATCGACTTCTCCATCTCGTACTCCGCTCAATTTTGGGGGTCGAGGAGGACCCTCAAGTTAAGCAAGTGGTCTCAGATTTTCTCCCTGAAATCCCATCTTCGGAACACCGCCCCTCCCCAGCGTTTCTCTTCTGTCAATTTCGGAGAGGTTACTAAGGGGGCGAGACCCCCACCCGCACGGGAGTGGAAGTCGGGGGAGTAGGGCCCAACCCCTCTCACCCCACCCCGCCCGCCCCGGGAAGGTGAGGAGGAAGTGGGCCAAGGGGGCGCGGTCGGTCGCTGACTCACAGCCGCAGGGTCGGGGGTGGGGTGGGGTGGAGGTGGGGACTGGCGAGGAGTGCGGGAGTGGGGGGCCCGGCATTCGCCCGGGGTGGGCAGGAGGCGCCGGCTTCTTTGGTGTGTAAAGCCTCCGGCCCACGCACGCCCCGCTCTGACTCAGTTTCGCCTGCGGAGGACAGCAGGATCATCCCAGCCCTCAGGAGGGCCCGGAGGTGAGGAGACCCTCCCGGGAGCCCCCGCCCCCACACGCCGGCTCCGGGCTGAGCCCAGACACCCTCTGAGGCTTCCGCAGCGTGTCTTGCCGGCCCCGCCCCGAGTGACGTCACTGATTTGGTCGCGCCCCTTGGGTAGAGCGCCACCTGGCCCGGGTGAGGCGCCCGAGCCCTGGGAAATCAGTTAGTTCCACATTTACACACGGGTAAACTGAGGCCTGGAGACAGGGAATGAATCTGGCCTATGGCCCTCTTGCCTGAGCCCCCAGAACCCGGAAAGCCACCAAGGTCTGAGTGTAAAACCAACAATTCTCAGGGCCAGCTGACTATGTGAGAGAATCCACTTTTCCAGCGTATGTCCAAGCCGAGTCCCATGTCCGGATGTTGATGTTGTCCTGACCTCCTTTACCTGGGGAGCACGTCATCCTTCCAGGCCAAGCTTTGACATTAATTCCCCTCCCCTTCTCCACCCCACTCTGGGAGACCTTGAACCCTGTTCCTCGGAGGTTATCATTGTTTCTCAGTGTGTTTCCTCAGGCTGAGTTGTCTGGGAGAATGGGTAGACTAAATTTCTTTTTTTCTTTTTTTTTTTTTGAGATGTAGTCTCTCGCTGTCACCCAGGCTGGAGGGCGCTGGCTCGATCCCCGCTTACTGCAACCTCCCCCTCCTGGGTTCAAGCAATTCTCCTGCCTCACCCTCCTAAAGTAGCTGGGATTACAGGCACGGGCCACCAAGCCCAACTAATTTTTGTATTTTTAGTAGAGATGGGATTTCACCATGTTGGCCAGGCTGGTCTCAAACTTATGACCTCAGGTGATCTGCCTGCCTCAGTCTCCCAAAGTGCTAGGATTACAGGCATGAGCCACTGCACCCAGTTGACTTAATCAATTTCTGGACCTCACTCACCCCAGCCAGGCCCGCCCGGCTCAGCAGCTCAACAAACTTACCTAGTTGAATGAGTTACCAGTTCAGTGTGACCTTGGGTAACTGTGTTCTCCTCTCTGGGTCTCAGCTTTCCCATCTGTGACATAGGAGGGGTGGCATTTCTGGGTGCCACCTACACTACAACAACAGTCAGCAAACATGGTTTTTTGTTTGTTTGTTTGTTGGAGACAGGGTCTTTGTTGCCCATGCCGGAGCGCAGTAGCATAACCAGGGCTCATTCGATCCTCTAACCTCAGCCCACTGAGTAGCTGGGACTGTAGGTCCACACCACCATGCCAGGCTAATTTTTTGTAGAGACAGGGTTTAGCTGTGTTGCCCAGGCTGGTCTCAAACTCCTGGGCTAAAGTGATCAGCCTGGCTCAGCCTCCCAAAGTGCTGGGATTGGAGGTGTGAGTCACCAGGCCCAGCCGGCAAACATTTTCTGTAAAAGTTCAAATAGGAAATATTTTAGATATGCTAGACATAGGGTCTGGTTTACACACTCTTCAGTTTTTCTTTTTTCTTACAAGGCTTAAAAACTGTAAAAAAAACTCTTCTTAGCTTAAGTGCTGTACAAAACAGGTAGCAAGACCCCTGTGTAAGAGAACGCTTGCATATGTACATAACGATCTTTACGGTAGCAGTGATGTGAGAGCAAGAAATTGGAAATAGCTTAAATGTTCATCAAGAGGACAGGGGAGGCTGGGCACAGTGGCTCACGCCTGTAATCCCAGCACTTTGGGAGGCCGAGGCGGGTGGATCACTTGAGGTCAGGAGTTCAAGACCAGCCTGGCCAACATGGTGAAACCCCGTTTCTACCAAAAACAAAAAATTAACCAGGCATGGTGGCACACACCTGTAATCCCAGCTACTTGGGTGGCTGAGGGGCTGAGGTGGGAGGATCACTTGAACCCCGGAGGCGGAGGTTGCAGTGAGCCAAGATCGTGACACTACACTCCAGCCTGGGAGACAGAGCAAGACTCCTCAAAAAAAATTAAACAAAACAAAACAAAAAAAAGATGAGGGCAGGGAATAGTGAAACCCTTGGACATCCTTTTCTGAAGCACGGAGTGAGCAGCAACTTAAGGAGGTGTGGACTGGGCAAGGTGTGTCATGCCTGTAATCCCAGTGCTTTGGTGCTTTGAGAAGCCAAGGCAGGAGGATCACTTGAGGTCAGGGAGTTTGAGACCAGCCTGGACAACATAGTGAGGCCCCATTTCTCTCTTTTTTTTTTTTTTTTTTTTGAGACAGAGTTTCATTCTTGTTTCCCAGGCTAGAGTTCAATGGCGCAATCTCGGCTCACTGCAACCTCCACCTCCTGGGTTCAAGCGATTCTCCTGCCTCAGCCTCCCAAGTAGCTGGGATTACAGGCATGCACCACCAAGCCCAGCTAATTTTTGCATTTTTTAGTAGAGATGGGGTTTCTCCATGTTGGTCAGGCTGGTCTCGAACTCCTGACCTCAGAAGATCTGCCCACCTGGGCCTCCCAAAGTGGTGGGATTACACGTGTGAGCCACTGCGCCTGGCCGAGACCCCATCTCTAAAAAAAAAAAAAAAATTAACTGGGTGTGGTATCATCCATCTGTGGTCCCAGCTACTTGGGAAGATGAGGTAGGAGGATTGCTTGAGCCCAGGAGTTCGAGGCTGTGGTGAGCGATGATTGCGCCATTATACTCCAGCTTGGGATACAGACTTAGACCTTGTCTCTTAAAAAAACGGGTGGCATGAAGTGTGTAAATGACGTGGGTGACATAGAATGAAAACATCCATTAAGTGGATAAAAAGTTGCCAGAGATACGAAGGGAATGAAAAAAATCAAGGAAACACCCAGAATACCATATATTAATACATGTAAAAAGTCCACTTTAAACTCATTGCAAGGGTTACCAGTGAGATAGAGAGTGTGGGGTTAATTTGGTGGTCACAGAGATCTTTTTTTTTTTTTGTAGAGACAAGGTTTTGCTATGTTGCCCATGCTGGTCTCGAATTCCTGGAATCAAGCTGCCTCGGCCTCCCAAAGTGCTGGGATTACAAGTGTGAGCCACCGCACTTGGGAGGTCTCAAGTCTGTCTTGAAAATGCCAAATTTGGCCGGACCTGGTGGCTGGCTCATGCCTGTAATCCCAACATTTTGGGAGGCCGAGTTGGGTGGATCACCTAAGGTCAGGAGTTCGAGACCAGCCTGACTAACATGGTGAAACCCTGTCTGTAGTAAATACAAAAAGTTAGCCTGGTGTGGTGGCACGTGCCTGTAATCCCAGCTACTTGGGAGGCTGAGGCAGGAGAATCACTTGAACCCAGGAGGCGGAGGTTGCAGTGAGCCGAGATTGCACCATTGCACTCCAGCCTGGGCAACAAGAGTGAAAACTCTGTCTCAAAAAAAAAAAAAAAAAGGGGGGAAATTTTATCCTGCTTCTAAGCCTTCATACTGATTGTTCCCTCTGCCTTAGAACACTCTTTGGGGTATTTGCGGAGCTGACTCTTCTCTGTCAGGTCTCTGCTCAACTGTCCCCTCCTCAGAGACCTTTCCTGATTCCCCTGTTTCAAAAGCCACCTCCCCCACCACGGAAAATTGAGTGGCTGAAGTGTGAGAGGGATAGAGAAAGACTTCATTGTATGCCATCTTGCACTCTTTGCATTTCAAACCAAGTGAATTTATTACCCATTCAAAACTACCTGAATTAAATAAATCAAAATTTTAAAAATTGGAAAAAGTAAAAAACCCGAAGTAGCTCCCCTAGTCATTTTCTCAACACATCCTCCTGTTTTATTTTCTTCGTGACACTTGTCAGTGTGCAAGATGACTTCATTTTTTTAGTATTAATTACAGACTGGGCGGGAGAATGGCATGAACCCGGGAGGCGGAGCTTGCAGTGAGCCGAGAGAGCACCCTTGCACTCCAGCCTGGGTGACAGAGCGAGACTCCGTCTCAAAAAAAAAAAAAAAAAAAAAAATTACAGATTGCATCTTGCTATGTTGCCCAGGCTGGTCTCGAACTCTTGGGCTCAAGTGATCCTCCCACCTCAGACTCCCCCAAGTGCTGAGATTACAGATGTGGACCACTGCGCCTGGCGAGATGACTTTATTTATTGATTCCCTTGTTTGCTGCGTCTCCTGACCAAGAGGTCAGCCCCACAGTGGCAAGGATCTTGGTGGGTCAGCCTGGTTCATGACTGTGAGGCTAAGACCTGGCACACAGCAGGTGCCCTGTAACGTATTTGCTAACAGACTAGGCAAAACATGTCTTCTTGTTTTTTACAAGAAAATGTATTTGGAATCACTTATGTAAATAAAGTTTAATAATCAAAACTCTACTTCCCCTCAAAAACAGATGAGTAATAAGAAGGAAAGAGGTTATTGGACTGGGTTATCTCTCAGAATCTGTTCGGCTCTGAATATTTCAAAAACATTTGGTTGGGTTTTTTTGTTTTTTTTTTTTTTTTTTTTTTTTTTCGATTTGGGCTTTTTTCTTTTTGGTCTGGATGTTGGTGGAATTTCCCCATTCGTAAGACTTTTCTGTGAGAGGGAAGTAAGAGAAGAAGAAATAAGCATTTTGGGTTCCTACATTGGCCTTCCTTCCTTCCGCTGGTACATGTAGTTGGGGAAAGGGTCGGTTTTCTTCTTTAGTTCTGTTGAGGCCCCAGAGAAGCAAAGGATCCCCAAAGGACAACAGCTGTCAGGCCTCCATGTCCAAGGCTGAGCCCAAATGCGTGGGGTTGGACTTCCCAGCCCCATCCTGCCCCTTCTGTAACACAAAATGTGGGAGAAGGTAATGAGAAATTCTGTCTTGTCTCCTGGCACCTCTTCCTTTTCCTTTGAGGGACCACCATATCCCATCTCACAATCCATTAAGGTTTGAATGGAGTGGACCCCAACCCCAAGTGCGACCCCAGCCTGGCCAATCAGACACAGTGACTGGTCAGCATGTGACCTGGTGTGGCCAATGAGAACCAGCCCCCAAAGACCACTGCTGCAACTCCGGGGAAATTGGCAAACTTTCTCCACTGGGGAGGACAGGCTGCTGGGGTGTAAGCCTGGAGCTGCAAGTCTCCGCTACCTTAGGAGGAGACCCTGAAAGGTAATGAAGCCAACTCGGAGAAAATAAAAAGAGACCATTCATGATGACATCATCTGACAACTAGATGCAGCCATGCCTTAAGACTCTAAACTCTTCAATTACATGGCCCAGTAAATTCCCTGTTTTGTTTTCCCAGCTTGAATTGGGCTTCCATCTCTCACGACTCAAAGAAAACTGACAAATACCTCCTTCAGCTACTGAGAAATTGTCAACAATCCTCCCTCATCAACATGATAATCACCAAACTCCCACCTCTGCCATGCAAAGGCCTTGGGGCTCTAAACCCAGCTTCCTCCCTCCCATTTCTTCCCTGATGCCACTCCATGCCTTGGTCCACCACTATACATCTTTGGATATCTCCAAATTCTCCTTAGCTATCTGGGCCCCATTACAGCTTCTCTTGTCTAAGACCTGGATCATACTCATGTATGTCCTGATGGTATCTGCTGTGCGTCTAGGCCTTAGAATTGGTCATTAGCATTCCCTGAATGTTTCCATCTTATTCTTGGATGTGGGAAGCACTTGGGCTGATGGGGCACTGCAGAGCGTTGCCGGCTCACATTTCTTGGAGGGGAATCACAGTCTCTTCTCTGCATCTGCGTCTCCCTCCTCATGCCTTGCACAATGCTTCAGGGCTGGGAGTAGGAATGTATTAATATAGCAAGCTGGCTGGGTTGCAGTGGCTCCCGCCTGTAATCCCAGCACTTTGGGAGGCCAAAGCAGGAGGATCCCTTGAGCCCAGGAGTTTGAGACCAGCCTGGGCAACATAGTGAGACCCAGTCTAAAAAAAAAGAGAGAGAGAAAAGAAAGGAAGGAAGAAAAGAAAAAAAGAGAAAGAAAGAAGAGAAAAGAGGAATAAAATATATCAGGCAAATCCCTTATCCTCACTGGCTTCAATTTCCCTGTCACTAAGAGGGGTGGGCGGGGGGGCGTCCCCTCCTAAGAGAAACACTGGAGAACACAGGATCCTTACCTCTCCGCACTCTTCTGAGACCTGGCAGATCTGAGAATAAACTTCAGCAATGACAGTGGCCCTGGAGAGCACAGGAAGGCCCTCAGGAGGGGACTCTCCTCCTTCCACCCCACCCTCATTCCACCCCACCCTTCCTCACCCCAACTCACTTGCAGTCCAGCCCTCCCCCAGGAGGTAAATCTGGGATGTCCTCTGAGGCCAGAGTCCTGAAAACTGTGTTCAGGCTGGGGGGCTTCTGAGCAGAGGCACACAGTTCTGAGAAAGAGTCAAGAGTTAGGCTGGGCACAGTGGCGCACGCCTGTAATCCCAGCACTTTGGGAGACCAAGGCGGGCGGATCACTTGAGGCCAGGGGTTCGAGACCAGCCTGGACAACATCGTGAAACCCCGTCTATACTAACAATACAAAAATTAGCTGGGTGTGATTGTGCATGCCTGTAATCCCAGCTACTCAGGAGGCTGAGGCAGGAGAATCGCTTGAACCCGGAAGGCAGAGGTTGCAGTGAGCCAAGATCACGCCACTGCACTCCAGCCTAGGAGACAGAGCAAGACTCCATCTCAAAAAAAAAAAGAAAAAAAGAAAAAGTTATGGCACAGCCTTCACTGGCCAACCACCCCTCCAGCTGGGCCCCCAGAGTCTGCTCACCAGCGATTCTGCAGCCCAGGGCTGCGTCCAGTGCTAGCTCCCTCCTGATCGCCTCCTCAGAAGGCCTAGGGGCCCCAGGGAAGCAGACCAGGATGCAGGTCATGTTGTCCAGGCTGCCCTGAAGCCGGTGGAGAAAAAGGAGCCCGGTGGGGGAGAGTCCAAGGCAGAGCTTCCCAACAATCCCCAGGTTCAAGTCCCCCACTTCATTCTACTTATGCCCATTTCTTTCGCGTCCCACCCACCTGCCAATCCTCTCTTACTGGGACCAAACCCGGTCCTAGGCGCTCCCAATTGAGAGAACAATGCCTTTTCCCTAAAGCTCCGCCCGCTCTGATGTTTACCTGCTCTTCCACCTTCCAGCACTAATCAATACTTCCGGCCCGGCTCCTACGACCCAGAATCGCCCCTTTCCAAAAGACCACGCCCTTTCTCTTAAGTCCCTTCCACTAACTCTCCCGTGCCTCAAAGCATCCCTCAGGCTCCGCCCCTGTATTTTGGCCCTGCCCACTTCAGGCCACGCCCTTCGCTTGAGTCCTATCCCCTCCTTTGCTAGCTTTACTCTTGCCTCTCTATCAAAGCCCTCCTCCCCAAAACCCCGAGGCTCTCTCCCTCTGCTGCACCAAGCCCCAAAGGTACCACGCCACGCCCCCAGGACCTTGCACAGACACGTGTCCAACAGCTGCGCGCAGAGAAGCTCTGGGGCCAGGCCCAAGCGGAGGCGTGAAGCCACCAGTCCCGCCAGGGCAGCACCAGACACAGTGTCCCAGACGCCATCAGAGGCCAGGAGCATGAACTCGTCCTCAGCCTGGCGTGCCAGTGCGGCCACCTCTGGCTCCGCAGAAACGAGCTGTAGCTCGGGGGGCCTCCCCGGAGCCTCCTTGTAGGTAAAGTCGCCCAACGCTCGCGACACGGCCAGAGAGCCCTCGACGCGGCGGCGGCGGATGGTGCCGCCAGCGGCGTGGATGCGCTCGCGTTCCCGGGGTCGAAGGGGCCGGTGGTCCTCTGTGCTGAAGGCCACGGCGCCAGCGCGGCTCAGCACCGCGCGGGAGTCACCGCAGTGCGCCAGGTACAGAAACCGCGGGGAGACCAGCAACACCACGGCCGTGCAGCCGCCCGTTTCCACGCGGGGCCAGAGGGAGCGCAGGCGCTCGTCGGCGCTCAAGAAGGCTCGGCGCAGCGCCTCGCGCACGCCCTCGGGCTCGCTAGGCTCCGGGCCCAGCTCCTGGAGCACATGGCCTGGCAAATGGCGTGCACCGAAGCGGGCAGCTCGAGCCCCACCGTGGCCGTCGAGGACGGCAAACAAGGCCCAGCCCGGGGGCAGACCAGGTAACGAAAGCCAAGTGCAGTGAGCATCCTCCATGCGCGCGCGCCAGCCTTGCGCTGCGCTCGCCCCGAAGCGCAGGCCCCCAGACGCCTCGGCACCCCCGTGCGGCCGCTGGGCGCGGCGCGGCGCTGTCAACAGAGACCGAGGCCCTTCGGGGGCCCTGCGCCCCGCCTCCTCCTCCTCCTCTTCCTCCCTCCCCTCCTTCTCCCTCTCCTTTTTCTTGCAAGCGGTCCAGAGGAGACGCTGCAGCTGGCGGGCCAGGACCGCCATCCTTCAGCCCTGGGATCAGGAAGGCTCCACCCTGTACACCTGCCCGCCCCCTCCATTAATCCCCTCCGCTGTGAGATTTTAAACCATCTAAATCTCCTTCCTGTCCTTTGACCTGCTCTTTAGGCGGGTCACTAGAAGGAATTACACTTCTGGGTCTCCTGTTTCCTGCACCTACAAAGCGGGGTTTGGGATCTGAATCAGGAAAAAAAAAGAAAAAAGATAATACTGTACCAGTGGCAAACTATTACATAGTACTAATGTGTCACACACTGTTATACATCATCATCTCCAGTTTACATATGGAAGAAGAAACAGAGTCACAGAAGTAACCGGTGTTCCAGGGAAACTAATTCTAGAATCTGTGTTCTCAACACAACACTCAGTCCAAGCTCCTCCCACCTCAGTGGTACAGCCCCCAGCCTCAAAACCTGTAAATACCATACTTGGCCGGGCGCGGTGGCTCACGCCTATAACCCCAGCACTTAGGGAGGCCGAGGCAGGCGGATCGCTTAAGCCCAGGAGTTTGAGACCAGCCTGGGAAACATAGCGAGACCCCGTCTCTACAAAAATTAACATTTAGCCAGGCGCGGTGGAACACACCTGTGATCCCAGCTACTCAGGAGGCTTAGGTGGGAGGATCACCTGAGCCCGGGAGGTCGAGGCTGCAGTGAGCCGTGATCGTATCACTGCACTCCAGCCTGGGCAACAGAGCGAGACCCTGTCTCAAAAAGATATATATATATATATATATATATATATATATATATATATATACATATTTTTTTTTTCTTTACTGTTTTTAGTTCGACCCCTCCCCTCTGGGGCTTCGCTTATTTTCTCTTCCAGGCCCCGCCCATCCAGGATTCAGGCACACAGCTCCAGACCCTTCTAATTTTCGCAGACCTGGAATCGCCTGGAATCCGACCCCACCCAGTTATATTTGAATAATTCCCTGTTGCTTTAGCCCTGCCCACGTTTGAGCTCCTCCGCGTGCCCCAAAAGTTTCTGAATCGTTTCATTCGGCCCCCTTTCTCGCTCCCTCTGCAAATCTAGGCTCGGACCCTACCTCAGAGCATTAGAATCTTTCCACCCCCTCCTCAATGGCACCCCGAGCACCACCCCAACCCACCCAGGGATCCACGCTCTCATCCTCTCTGCCGTGGCTCGTTCACCATCCTCTCCCAAGTCCCTCGCCAGACTCCAGGCCTCCTTCCCTCTTCCCCTAAAGGCTGCGCCCTCTGCGATCTAGGCCCCGCCCTTCAGGCCGCTTTCCCCTCCTTCCTGGCTCCGTAGCCCACCCTCTTGGTTCCGCCCCTTTAGTAAGAAGGCCACGCCCCTCCGCCTGATCCTCGGCGTTTCCCCGCCCCTCACCCTCCCTCTGGTACCGCCCCGCCCGTCTTCTGGCCCCGCCCCCGGCCGCGCGCTGCAGTGCCTTCCCCACCTCGGCCCCGCCCGCCCCCGCCGAGCCGAGCACCAGGGCGGCGGCGGCGGCGGCGGCGGCGGCGGCGGCTGGAGCAGCCCGGGAGGAGGAGGCGGCGAGAATGGCAGCGGCGTCGTGGGCGCGGCGGAGATGAGCGCCCGCGACCCCGGGCCCAGGGCGGCACAGCCGGAGTGGGCGGGGGTCCCGATGCAGGCCCGAGGGGGGCCATGGGGCAGGTCCTGCCGGTCTTCGCCCACTGCAGTGAGTAGAGGAAGACTGGGGCCTGGTGTGGGCCCCAGAGGTTCAGGTGGGGTACTCCCCGGTGTCCCCTCGGCGCTTGCCCGCAGGAGAGCCGGGATGGGGGGAGGAGGCATAGGAGACAAAGGAAGCTCTCCCCTCCCCCGCGCTCTGGCGGCGACGGGGGTAGCCTGACCCGGAGGACCTGGACGAAACAGGGCGGAGGTGAGGGGGCACTGAGACAGCAGGCGGGGGGCGCGCTGCGCTCTGGGACGTACCGCCCGGCCCCGCCCGGGAGCGAGGACGCGCGCGGGGAGCTGTCCCCTGGCTCTGGTGCTGGCCGCAGCTGGCGGGGAGGGGGTTGAACGGAGGGTAGAGCCAGGATGGAAAACAGGGGTCTGGCTCCCAATCACTTGCCTTCGCATCCCATCCCCGTTTTCTGTCCAAGAGGCAGCCCCGACCTCGCCCAAACTGTCCAACCCTGTCCCGGGAAAACAGCCATCCGTGGTTTGGGGGCAAGGACTCATGGGTTCTTAGCGGTCTTTACCACTGGTTAATGGTAATCCTGGGGAAGACCCACACCATTCCAGGCCTCCTATTCCCCAGCTGAGGAAACGAGGTGAGGGCACAGGGCGTCAGATTTCAATTTCCAAACCGCATTGAGCATCATCTATGTGCAAAGCTCTGAACTAGCTCTAAGGGGCTGGATTCCCAGCTGAAAACGCCTAGCCTCACAATCTCTGAGCTCACAGCTATAACAGTCCATGTCTACCGTTCTCTGTCCCACACATGGGGGTTCTGACAGCTGGGGATTTCAACACCCTTAGATCTAGCCATTTCCATGTCTCGCGTGTCCAGATGCCAAAATTCTAAGAATTGGTGATTTCAGCATTTTCGAGTATCATCCCAACATTCTATGATCTTGTCGTTAACTTCAGATTACAAAGGGAGGACCACCTCGTCTGTCTCTCCCCACCGCCCTTACCTCTCTGTTCTCACCTCCCACTCCTCTCCTCCTCAGTCACTCTTCTCCAGTCATATCTTCGCACCTCTCAGTTCCTCAGATGCCAAGCATGGTGCCTGGCTCAGGGCCTTTGCACTGGCTTTCTTCTCTACCTGGAAGACGTCCCTGAACATCTGCATGGCTTCCTCACTTCCTTCAGATCTCTGCTCAAACGTCATCTTATCAGAGAAGCCTTCTTGACCACCCTATGAGAAACAGCACCCCTTCACTTTCTCTTCCCCTACCCTTCTTTACTTTGCTCCCTATGCTCATCTGCACCCGACGTCATATATTCACTTGTTTATTGTTTGTCTATCCCAAAGAGTGTCAGCTCTAGGAGGGCAGGGATTTTGTCTGTTTTCTTCACAGCTGTATCCCCAGGACCTAGAACAGTGCCTGGCACATAGTAGGTGCTCAATAAGTGGTTGTTGAACGAATGAATGAATTGAAACCTCCTAAGATTCCTACTTTGAAGACTCTAAGATTAAGATTCCTGGATTTGGACTTCAAAGACTCTGAGCTTCATCAGGCAGTGATGCTAGGTTTTAGAGTCTGTGTGCAGAATGTTCTAAAAATCCCGTGATTCAAATATTCTAAGATTCCAGGACTGGGACACTTCTGTGATTCGGACAGTCTAAGCTTCTAAGAGTCTTCGATTCTTTCCCTCTCGCAGAAGAAGCTCCGTCTACAGCCTCCTCAACTCCTGATTCCACAGAAGGTAAGTGGTGGGGAGCATGTGAAGGGGCTCAGGGCTGGGCAGCTCAGGGACCTGCTGAGGGAAACAAGGCTCTCCTTCACCCACTGCAGGAGGGAACGACGACTCTGATTTTCGAGAGCTGCACACAGCCCGGGAATTCTCAGAGGAGGACGAGGAGGAGACCACGTCGCAGGACTGGGGCACCCCCCGGGAGCTGACCTTCTCCTACATCGCCTTTGATGGTGTAGTGGGCTCCGGGGGCCGCAGGGATTCAACTGCCCGCCGCCCCCGCCCCCAGGGCCGCTCAGTCTCGGAACCACGAGACCAGCACCCTCAGCCCAGCCTGGGCGACAGCTTGGAGAGCATCCCCAGCCTGAGCCAATCCCCGGAGCCTGGACGACGGGGTGATCCTGACACCGCGCCTCCATCCGAGCGCCCTCTGGAAGACCTGAGGCTTCGGTTGGACCATCTGGGCTGGGTGGCCCGGGGAACGGGATCCGGGGAGGACTCTTCCACCAGCAGCTCCACCCCGCTGGAAGACGAAGAACCCCAAGAACCCAACAGATTGGAGACAGGAGAAGCTGGGGAAGGTGAGATGTCCGAGGTGCTGGGACCAAAGCCAAGAGGGGTGGGTGGTTTCTCCTTGGGGCACCTCCAAGAAGAAAGCTCACGGCCTCCTCTCTCTACCGTATCAGAACTGGACCTACGACTCCGACTTGCTCAGCCCTCATCGCCCGAGGTCTTGACTCCCCAGCTCAGTCCGGGCTCTGGGACACCCCAGGCCGGTACTCCGTCCCCATCCCGATCGCGAGATTCGAACTCTGGGCCCGAAGAGCCATTGCTGGAAGAGGAAGAAAAGCAGTGGGGGCCACTGGAGCGAGAGCCAGTAAGGGGACAGTGCCTCGATAGCACGGACCAATTAGAATTCACGGTGGAGCCACGCCTTCTAGGTAAGCAACGTGTATGAAGATGCTGCATTGGCCCACAGAAGGCAAAAGGTGAGAGGATTTTGAATTAAAGGGACCAACCTCGCAAAGGAACAGTACATAGTGGAAAAGGGAAGAGATAGACGTGATATCACATCTGGCTAGACGTGATAAACTCCGCTTTTTAAAAAAATTTCCCCGGCCGGGCGCGGTGGCTCATGCCTGTAATCCCAGCCCTTTGGGAGGCCGAGGCGGGCGGATCACTTGAGGTGAGGAGTTCGAGATCAGCCTGGCCAACATGGTGAAACCCCGTCTGTACTCGGGAGGCTGAGGCAGGAGAATCGCTTGAACCTGGAAGGCAGAGGTTGCAGTGAGCCAAGATCGCGCCACTGCACTCCAGCCTGGGCGACAGAGCGAGACTCCGTCTCAAAAAATAAAAATAAAATAAAATAATCCTCCCTCTTCTGGAGTGCTCCTCCTAGTGGCTGATTTTGGACAGGCCAAATCCCTGAAAAAATACAGTTCTCTCCTTATTTAGATGTGGCCGTAGAATATTTATAAGTAAACTCTGTGCCTTTTAAAAACTCTTCTTTTTGGCCGGGCGCAGTGGCTCATGCCTGTAATCCTAAACACTTTGGGAGGCCGAGGCGGGAGGATCCTTTGAAGCCAAGAGTGCAAGACCAGCCTGGGCAACATAGGGAGACTCGATCTCTATTTGAAAAAACAAACAAAAACCCTCTTTTTCCTGACCACATCTATTGGCCAGTTGTAAAATGACCCAGCCTTACTTTAAAATATGCTCCGCCTCCAGGAACAGCTATGGAATGGTTAAAGACATCATTGCTTTTGGCTGTTTACAAGACGGTTCCAATTTTGGAATTGTCCCCACCTCTGTGGACAGCCATTGGCTGGGTCCAAAGGGGCCCCACCCCCCCTACTCCTGTCCTCCGGGTTCTACTGAAGTGGGCAAAATCCCCGAGAAGCAGCGGTGTCCCCAGCCTCTCACTCGGAGCCGATATGGGGAGTAAAGGTGGGCTTGCGGAACGGGCTGGACGGGGGCTGAGGTCGGCGGAACGGGGTCCAAACTCGCCCTTATCTCCTGCACATCCGGAGCATTTTTATTACTGATCTGCTTCCGCAGCGCTGCAGGCTGGGGCTAGGGGGCCGAGGGGCAGTATAGGGAGGACCCAGAGGGAGCATGGGGTCCCTTCTCCTTCGAGCCAGCACTTTGGGGCCCAGGAGCAGGGAGGACCCCCTCCCCCAGCCTCGGCCCCAGGCAGCGCTGTCACTCAGGGGCCAGACGGGCCAGAACAGCTGCGGGGAGGCCCCCTCCCCCCAGCGTGCCTAAACTTAGCCCCCGCCTCAGGCGACCTGGCCCCTCCCCCATCCACCGGCGCCGGCCACTAGGAGCCTGCCTGGGAGGGCCCTGCTATGGGGAGGGAGGGGCTGCCCTATTTGGAGGTAAATGAGAGGAGATGCATTGGAAGGAGACGGAAGTGAGGGGTGAGCCTCTAAGAGGGACCGGTCGGAGGGGTCAGTTGGAGGGAGTGTGGGAGGATAGAGAGGATCTGGAAAGAAATAGAAAGGTACTGAGTTCCTGGTTTTCAGGACTCAAAGGAAAGCAGATTACTAAAGTTTCTTTTTCTTTTTAAGCCACAGAGTCTCCCTCTGTCGCCCTTTCTGGAGTGCAGTGGTGGGATCATAGCTCACTGCAGCCTCCAACACCTGGGCACAAGTGATCCTCCCACCTCAGCCTCCCAAGTAGTTGGGACTAGAGCCACAGGCCACCACGCCCTGCTAATTTTCTTATTTTGTTTGTAGAGACAGGGTCTCACTATGTTGTCCAGGCCTCAGGTGATCCTCCCGCCTCGGCCTCCCAAAGTGTTGTGATTACAGGAGTGAGCCTAAAGTTTAGACAGATGAGATGAAGGTTGGGGTACAAAGGTCACTGGTCAGGGCTGAGGTTGGGTTTAGGAGGTGTGTTTTAGGGTCTCAGAAAGGGGTCAGAAATTTGAGTTAGGCCCTGGAAAGGAGTATGGCGTGATTAATACATTTAGGACTTAGAAACATGTGTTGCTAAGGGTATCAAGGGGATATCACTTTACACCTGACAGATTGGCAAAAGTTAAAAAGAACTGCAACCCACTGCAGGGCAGGATGCTGGGAAAAGATCTTTCTCTTGCTTCTTGTGGAAATAAGAACTGTTATGGTCTTACTAGTAAGCAGTGTTTCAAAATTTATGACATTAAAAAAATATATATGACCGAGCGCGGTGGCTCATGCCTGTAATCCCAACACTTTGGGAGGCCGAGGTGGGAGGATCACTTGAAGCCAGGAATTCAACCTGGGCAACATAGCGAGACCCTATCTCTACAAAACATTTAAAAATTAGCCAGGTTTAGGAGGTCGAGGTGGGCAGATCACAAGGTCAGGAGATCGAGACCATCCTGGCTAACATGGTGAAACCCCGTCTCTACTAAAATACAAAAAATTAGCCGGGCATGGTGACGGGCGCCTGTAGTCCCAGCTACTCGGGAGGCTGAGGCAGGAGAATGGCGTGAACCCGGGAGGCAGAGCTTGCAGTGAGCTGAGATCGCGCCACTGCACTCCAGCTTGGGCAACAGAGCGAGATTCTGCCTCAAAAAAAAAAAAAAAAATTAGCCAGGCCAGGCATGGCAGCTCATGCCTGTGATCCCAGCTAGTTGGGAGGCTGAGGCACAAGAATCTCTTGAACTCGGGAGGCAGAGGCTGCAGTGAGCTGAGATCATGCCACTGTACTCCAGCCTGGGTGACAGAGGAAGACTTTGTCCAAAAAAAAAAAAAAAAAAATTAGCACGATATCGTGGTGCCACCTGTAGTCCCAGCTGCTAGGAGGCCGAGGTAGGAGGTTTGCTTGACTCTGGGAGGTAGAGGCTGTAGTGAGCCATGATCACGCCACTGCACTCCAGCCAGGGTGACAGAGTGAGACTCTGCCTCTAAAAATAAAAAAAAAAAAAATGTGGCCGGGCGTGGTGGCTCACGCCTGTAATCCCAGCACTTTTGGAGGCCAAGGTGGGTGGATCACCTGAGGTCAGGAGATCAAGACCATCCTGGCTAACACGGTGAAACCCCATCTCTAACTAAAAATAACAAAAAATTAGCCAGGCATGATGGCACATGCCTGTAATCCCAGCTACTCGGGAGGCTGAGGCAGGAGAATCGCTTGAACCCGGGAGGTGGAGGTTGCAGTGAGCCGAGATTGCACAATTGCACTCCAGCCTGGGCAACAAGAGCGAAACTCTGTCTCAAAAAAAAAAACAAACAAACAAACCAAGGTCAGGCGTGGTGTCTCACGCTTGTAATCCCAACACTTTGGGAGGCCGAGGTGGGAGGATTACTTGAGGTCAGGAGTTCGAGACCAGCCTGGCCAACATGGTGAAACCCCATCTCTACCAAAATATAAAAAATTAGCCGGGTGTGGTGGAGCCCTCCTGTAATCTCAGCTACTCAGGAGGCTGAGGCAGGAGAATTGCTTGAACCCAGGAAGCGGAGGTTGCAGTGAGCCAAGATTGTGCCATTGCACTCCAGCCTAGGCAATAGAGCGAGAATCCGTCTCAAAAAAAATAAAAACAAAAACAAAACACACACACACACACACACACACACACACACACAGACACACAACCAGTCCACCCAGCAATTCCACCCTGGGAATCTGTCTCAGAAATAGTCACTCCAGGAGGTGAGAATATCTGTTGGAGGATGTTGCTTGCAGCCCTGCTTGCGGTGAAGGGGTTAGGAAACAAACTGAATGACCCAGCAATAGGTACATGGTTAAATAAAATGAATGAGAGCACAGGAGCACAGCCACAACACAGAATACTATGCAGCTCTTTAAAATAATGAATTAAGGCCAGGCGCGGTAGCACATGCCTGTAATCCCAGCACTTTGGGAGGCCAAGGCGGGTGGACCACGAGGTCAGGAGTTCGAGACCAGCCTGACCAACATGGTGAAACCCCGTCTCTACTAAAAATACAAAAATTAGCCGGGAATGGTGGCACATGCCTGTAATCCCAGCTACTTAGAAGGCTGAGGCAGGAGAATCGCTTGAACCAGGGAGGCGGAGGTTGCAGTGAGTCGTGATTGCGCCACTGCACTCCAGCCTGGGCAATAGAGAAAAAAATAAAAATAAAATAAAATAATTTTTAAAAAATTGCAAATCGGGCTGTGTGCTGTGCCTCACACGTATAATCCCAGCACTTTGGAGGGCTGATGCAGGAGGATAACTTGAGGCCAGGAGTTCGAGACTAGCCTGGGCAACACAGTGAGAGCCACCTACCTCTAAAAACAGAAACAAAAACAAAAATTAGCTGAGTGGTGGTGCACACCTGTAGTCCCAGCTACTGAGGAGGCTGACGTGGGAGGATCACTTGAGCCCAGGAGATCGAGGCTGCAGTGAGCTATGATTGCACCACTGCCTCCAGCCTGGGTGACAGAGTGAGACCCTGTCTCTCAAAAAAAAAAAAAAAAAAAGGAAATCAGGTTATGCTCAAACAGGTGTGTCGAGAAGTCATTTTCAGCTGTAGGACAGGGAAAGGGAGGTGAGGAGACCAGCCAGGTCAGGTACAAGCCCTGATGCCCCCCACCCCTCCACAGTGGCGGACCTGCTGTACTGGAAGGACACGAGGACGTCAGGAGTGGTCTTCACAGGCCTGATGGTCTCCCTCCTCTGCCTCCTGCACTTTAGCATCGTGTCCGTGGCCGCGCACTTGGCTCTGTTGCTGCTCTGCGGCACCATCTCTCTCAGGGTTTACCGCAAAGTGCTGCAGGCCGTGCACCGGGGGGATGGAGCCAACCCTTTCCAGTGAGAACCCCCGGCCCCTGACCTGAGCCCCTGTCCTGACCCTAAAGCATGACCCACGACCTCAAATCAGGCACCGACTCCCACCCGGACCCCGACTCATCTTGATCATTTTTCATCCCGATCCCCTAACCTACCCTTCAATCCTAATCTCTGATCCTAACCTGGTACCCTTCATCCTCGATCCCTTCCCCTGACCCTGACCCTGACCCCAGCCCTCTACATATGATTCCTCTGAGCTGCCCCTCAGTCCTAACTCTGGTCTTCTCCCAACCGCCATTCCTCTCCCTTGTTTCAGCTGCCCCTGCACCAGTCTGAGCTGGTCACCCACTGAGTCGCCCCACACTCCTTTGTCCCCGCAGGGCCTACCTGGATGTGGACCTCACCCTGACTCGGGAGCAGACGGAACGTTTGTCCCACCAGATCACCTCCCGCGTGGTCTCGGCGGCCACGCAGCTGCGGCACTTCTTCCTGGTAGAAGACCTCGTGGATTCCCTCAAGGTGGCCTGGAGCTCTCAGCCCCTCCTGGGTTCCCCCATTCACCTCTGCATGGCTAGGGGGTGGGAGGGCGACTGTTGGGTAAATTCACAGCATGAGAGGGAATTCCCGGTGGGCTCTGCTGACCCTGACCTTCACCCCCAGCTGGCCCTCCTCTTCTACATCTTGACCTTCGTGGGTGCCATCTTCAATGGTTTGACTCTTCTCATTCTGGGTGAGCTGGGAAGGCCGTAAGGGGCAAATGGGGACTTGGAGTCTGGTGGGGGACAGGGCTCCAGATGGAACTGTTCATCTCTTGGGAACACCCTGACGCCCCCATCTCTGTACCCACAGGAGTGATTGGTCTATTCACCATCCCCCTGCTGTACCGGCAGCACCAGGTGAGTGTGACACCCTCAGTTGTCAGCACCCCAGCTAAACATGGGGGTCTGACCATCTCCTTCCAGAACCGGGGTCCCATTGACAGATGTCCCGGCCAGACACAGGTGTCCTGGCTGCAGCACCTTCCCAATACAACCAGAGTCTAAGTAACATGTCTTATCAGCATCAGCCAGGGACAGGCTTTTTGTTTGTTTTTGTTTTGTTTTGGGTTTTCTTTGAGACAGAGTCTTGCTCTGTTGCCCAGGCTGGAGTGCAGTGGTGTGATCTCGGCTCACTGCAACCTCCGTTTCCTGGGCTCAAGCAAGTCTCCTGCCTCAATCTCTGAGTAGCTGGGATTACAGGCATATGGCCACCGTGCCCGGCTAATTTTTGTATTTTTAGCAGAGACGGAGTTTTGCCATGCTGGCCAGGCTGGTCTCAAACTCCTAACCTCAAGTGATCTGCCCACCTTGGCCTCCCAAAGTGCTGGGATTACAGGCGTGAGCCACTGTGCCTAGCCTTTGCTGCCTTTTTTTTTTTTTTTTTTTGAGATGGAGTCTCGCTCTGTTGCCCAGACTGGAGTGCAGTGGCACGATCTTGGCTCACTGCAGCCTCTGCCTCCCAGGTTCAAGCGATTCTCCTGCCTCAGCTTCCCGAGTAGCTGGGATCACAGGTGCCTGCCACCATGCCTGGCTAATTTTTTGTATTTTTAGTAGAGACCGGGTTTCACCATGCTGGCCAGGCTGGTCTCCAACTCCCGACCTCAGGTGATCTGCCCGCGTTGGCCTCCCAAAGTGCTGAGATTGGCCTTCACTCTTGATTTTAACTGACATGTCAGTTAAATGCTACTGCATTCCAGCCTGGGTGACAGAGCAAGAGTCTGTCTCAAAAAAAAAAAAAAAAAAAACCAAAAAATAAAAAATAAAAACATAAAAATAAAATCAAGAGTGGGATGGCTGTTGCCCACAAGACTGACATTAGCAGGACTGCTGACATCCATCCTATCCAGAGACAGGCGGATGGACTGACAGCCCCTTCTCCAGCACAGCTGGGAGCCACATGATAATATGCCCTGCCAGTTAGTCCTAACTCTGTCCTTCACAGGCTGGAATCACCAAGACTCACAATTAAACTGTATTTAAATCAGGCCAGGCACAGTGGCTCACAACTGTAATCCCGGCACTTTGGGAGGTTGAGACAGGAGAATTGCTTGAGGCCAGAAGTTCAAGACCAGCCTCGGCAACATAGTAAGACCCCCATCTCTACAAAAAGGTTAAAAACTAGCCAGGTGTGGTGGCACACACCTATAGTCCCAGTTACTCTGAAAGCTGAAGCAAGAGGATGAGTTGAACCCTAGGAGGTAGAGGCTGCAGTGAGCTGTGATCATGCCACTGCACTCCAGCCTGGGCAACAGAGCAAGACCCTATCTAAAAAAAAAAAAAAAAAAAAAAAAAAAAAGGCTGGGCATGGTGGCTCACGCTTGTGATCCCAGCTTTGGGAGGCTGAGGCAGGCGGATCACTTGAGGTCAGGAGTTCGAGACCAGCCTGGCCAACATGGTAAAACCCTGTCTGTATTAAAAATCCAAAAATTAGCAAGGCTTGGTGGTGTCCACCTGTAATCCCAGCTACTCGGGAGGCTGAGGCAGGAGAATCGCTTGAACCCGGGAGGCAGTGGTGGCAGTGAGCTGAGATTGCACCACTGCAGTCCAGCCTGGGCCACAGAACAAGACTCCGTCTCAGGAAAAAAAAAAAAAGAAAGAAAGAAAAAGAAAAAAAAAAGAACAAGAAAAAAATAAATAAATAATCCAAAAATTAGCCGGGCATGTTGGTGCACACCTGTAATCCCAGCTATTCGGGAGGCTGAGGCAGGAGAATCGCTTGAACTCAGGAGGCTGAGGTTGCAGAGAACCGAGATCATGCCACTGCACTCCAGGCTGGGTGACAGAGCGAGACCCTGTCTCAAAAAAATAAATACAAATAAATAAATAATTTTTTAAAAAACACGAGTATATAAATCAATCCACTCAGGGACTCGGTGACCAATGCCAGTGCCTTCTGTTCTCACCCTACCCCACAACACACACGTATGCAAACTCACTCAAAGATTAACCATCGTGCCCAGGACACGGCCTCACTGCCAGATACTTGTGCGTTCCACCTGACATCACTCTCCATACAGAGTATGGCCCAACTCACTGACCCTATAACTGGCATCTCTGGCATCTAATGTATTCTATGAAGTTTAGAGCCGGGGGTGGCGTGGTGGGCCACTCTTCACAACTCCTAATTTGGAGGTTGGGGAGGAAGCAGCCTCCTATGTGACTAAAGAGAAGAAACCCCTCCAATCCCTTCTTTCACCTTTCTTTGGTCTCCCCAGGCTCAGATCGACCAATATGTGGGGTTGGTGACCAATCAGTTGAGCCACATCAAAGCTAAGTAAGAGCATGGGGCGGAGGTCGATGGGAGGGGGAAGTGGGGGAGCTTGGGAACCTTTCCTTTCTACTCTCGCTGTCCGCAAATCTCCTGGGGTAATGTCCCCTTGAAAAGGCTGAGGAGGCAATTCCAATGTAGGCCACTAGGTGGAGGGCAGGAGCTGGCTTCGGGCTCTTGGTCAGTTTCCCACCCAGCTTTCCCCGTTGTCCCCAGATGCCCACCCCGCGTCTCTTGCCCCACCTCGTGATCCCACCTGTTTCTCCTTCAGGATCCGAGCTAAAATCCCAGGGACCGGAGCCCTGGCCTCTGCAGCAGCCGCAGTCTCCGGATCCAAAGCCAAAGCCGAATGAGAACGGTGTCTCTGCCCGCAGGACGCCTGCCCCCAGCCCCCGCAGCCCTCTGGCCCCCTCCATCTCTTGTCCGTTCCCACCCACCCCCCTCCTCGGCCCGAGCCTTTTCCCGGTGGGTGTCAGGATCACTCCCACTAGGGACTCTGCGCTAATTACCTGAGCGACCAGGACTACATTTCCCAAGAGGCTCTGCTCCAGGAGTCCAGGAAAGACGAGGCACCTTGGCCGCGGGGCCTGCTGGGACTTGTAGTTGCCTAGACAGGGCACCACCCTGCACTTCCGGACCCGCCGCTGGAGGCGCCGTGAGGCGTTGGTGTCTCCTGGATGCTACTAGCCCCAACGCCGGGGCTTTGCATGGGGCCCAGGGGAGGCCTGAGCTTGGATTTACACTGTAATAAAGACTCCTGTGGAAAACCCGAGGCCTCTTGTGCTTCCAGAACCCTCCAGTTGTTCACCTTTCTGCACTGAAAGGCACTTAAGTGACACTCCAGGAGAACCTTCCCCATCTCTGGAGAAGGAGCTCCCTCTGCCATCTGTGTAGGTTATGAAATGATTGAGGGGAGGCCGGGCGCAGTGGCTCACGCCTGTAATCCCAGCACTTTGGGAGGCCGAGGAGGGCGGATCACTTGAGACCAGAAGTTCAAGACCAGCCTGGCCAACATGGTGAAACCTCATCTCTACTAAAAATACAAAATTTAGCCGGGTGTGGTGGTGCATGCCTGTAATCACAGCTACTCGGGAGGCTGAGGCATGAGAGTCGCTTGAATCTGGGAGATGGAGGTTGTAGTGAGCCAAGATTGCGCCACTGCACTCCAGCCTCGGCGACAGAGCGAGATTCTGTCTCAAAAAAAAAAAAAAGAAAGAAATGATTGAGGGGAAGATGCTGACAGACCACCCATTCCAGGGTTAGCCAAGCCTTGGCAGCCACTTCCCATGCCTGTGCTCAAGGCAGACATCACTAATGGATCCCACACCCTGCCTACTGTGCAGCCACCTCAACTGAGCCCAAACCCACGTGTCCAACGGCCTCTGGATGCCCCTTCCACCCTAAATCTAACCAAACGTCTTCTTCATCCTACCTGATTTCCAACTCAGAGATGTTTTCACTGCCCACGGTGTCACCAGGCCAGACACCCAGGTATGGCTCTGGACTTCTACACACTCACCTCCCACAAACAATCAGTCACAATGCTGTGTCTATCCTGCCTCACAAACTTCTCTCATCCACCCACGTCTCCCCACCCTGATTGCCTCGGGAACAAATACAGGGCCTCCCTGGACTTCCAGTTTCAACACTAATCTGAGGCCTGGCATGATGACTCACATCTGTGATCCCAACACTTCGGGAGGCCAATGTGGGAAGATCACTTGAGGCCAAAAGTTCGAGACCACCCTGAGCAACATAACAAGACCCCCGTCTCTAAAAAAAAAAAAAATTTATCCGGGCGTGGTGGTGCATGCCTGTAGTCCCAGGTACTTGGGAGGCTAAGACAGGAAAATTGCTTGAGGCCAGGAGTTCGAGGTTACAGAGAGCTATGATCACACCACTGCACTTCAGCCTGAGTTACAGAGGGAGACCCTGTCTCTAAACAAAAACAAAAACAAAACACAAAAAAACTACATACTGGGCGTAGTGGCTCACGCCTGTAATCCCAGCACTTTGGGAGGCCAAGGTGGGCAGATCACTGAGGTCAGGAGTTCCAGACCAGCCTGACCAACATGATGAAACTCCATCTCTACTAAAAATACAAAAATTAGCTGGGTGTGGCGGCGCATACCTGTAATCCCAGCTACTCGGGAGCCTGAGGCAGGAGAATCACTTGAACCCAGGAGGCAGAGGTTGCAGTGAGCCAGGATCATGCCGCTGCACTCCAGCCTGGGCAACAGGGCGAGACTCTATCAAAAAACAGCAACAACAAGAACAACAACAAAAAAGACAACTAAACTCGGAAAGGATGAAGCAAAGGGACCCGTGGGGAGACTGGGAGAACACTGAGGTCTAAAGATCCACAGACTTGGGTTTGAATCCTGGCTCTACTACCCCTTCGCTGTATGACCTTGAGCATATGACTTCATCTCTCAAAGCCTCAGTTTCCTCAAATGGAAAACTTATTAGGCCGGGCACGATGGCTCACGTCTGCAATCCCAGCACTTTGGAAGGCCAAGGAGGGAGGATCACTTAAGGCCAGGAGTTCGAGACAAGTTTGGGCAACATAGACCTCATCTCTACAAAAAAATTAAGTAAGAAAAAAAGAGGCCAGGTGCAGTGGCTCACACCTGTAATCCCAGCCTTTGGGAGGCCAAGGAAGGTGGATCACCTGAGGTCAGGAGTTCAAGACAAGCCTCGCCAACATGGTAAAACCTCGTCCCTACTAAAAATACCGGATGTGGTGGTGGGCACCTGTAAGACCAGCTACACGGGAGGCTGAGGCAGGAGAATCACTTGAACTAAGGAGGTGGAGGTTGTAGTGAGCTGAGATTGTGTCACTGCACTCCAGACAGGGCGACAGAGCAAGACCCTGTTTCAAAAAAAAAGAAAAGAAAAAGAAGAAAACTGTCAACCATAACTATACCTACATGTAAAGCCCTTGGCATTGGGCCTGGCATATAATAAATGCACAGTAAGGAGTTATAATATTGTTTCCCAAACCTCAGTCATTCCCCACATGACCTTCATCTTTCTACAACCTGTTCTGCTATTTATCTAATATTTTTCTTGAAAATTGGTTTAATATTTAATAATATAATAACAAATGTATTTTAAGAAGAAAGGTTACCTTGCCACCAGAAACCAGTATTGCTTGCCAGAAATAGAAGACAATAGTAAAAATAAACACAAAAATATTGACGTTTAAAATGTTTGTGCAGCCAGGCGCAGTGGCTCACGCCTGTAATCTCAGCACTTTAGGAGGCCAAGGCACGTGGATCACCTGAGGTCGGGAGTTGGAGACCAGCCTGACCAACATGGAGAAACCATGTCTCTACTAAAAATACAAAATTGGCCGGGCGTGGTGGTGCATGCCTGTAATCCCAGCTACTTGGGAGGCTGAGGCAGGAAAATCGCTTGAACCCGGGAGGCGGAAGTTGCAGTGAGCCGAGATCACACCACTGCACTCCAGCCTGAGCAACAAGAGGGAAACTCCATCTCAAAAAAAAGCCGGGCTCGGTGGCTTACGCCTGTAATCCCAGCACTTTGGGAGGCCGAGGCGGGCAGATCATGAGGTCAGGAGATCGAGACCATCCTGGCTAACACGGTGAAACCCCGTCTCTACTAAAAATACAAAAAAATTAGCCGGGAGTGGTGGCGGGCGCCTGTAGTTCCAGCTACTAGGGAGGCTGAGGCAGGAGAATGGCGTGAACCTGGGAGGCAGAGCTTGCAGTGAGCCAAGATCGCGCCACTACACTCCAGCCTGGGCGACAGAGCGAGACTGCGTCTCAAAACAAAAAACCAAAAAAAAGAAACAAAAAAAAAAAAAACTCACTTGTTCGTCATACACACGTCACATATTAGGAGACAGATAACGGTGTTCCAAGGAGTCCTTACATCCTCAGAATTTGTATACAGAGGTGCCTAGCAGCAACTATCTAATTAAAACAAAGAGGGTTTAGGGGATATATCTTGAATCTGGATTTGCCAAGCAGAGGGAATACTTTTTTTTTCTTTTTTTCTTTTCTTTCTTTCTTTTTTTTTTTTTTGAGACAGAGTCTCACTATGTTGCCCAGGCTTGTCTCTAACTCCTGGGCTCAAGCTATCCGCTCATCTCGGCCTCCCAAAGTGCTGGGATTACAGCGCCTGTCCAAAACTTTCTAAAGATACTCTTAGTTAAACTTCCCATAAGACAAAATGTTTATTGATCTATCACAAAAAGTGGTGGAAGAGGGTCTGATTGAGATTTTGGGTCTGGGAATGACTAAAGCCTCCAAGCTCAAAACAGATTGAAGACTGAAACGGCCTTTATTGGCCAGGTGTAGTGGCTCCCGCCTGTAATCTCAGCACTTTGGGAAGCTGAGGCAGTTGGATTACCTGAGGTCAGGAGTTCAAGACCAGTCTGGTGAACATGGTGAAACCCCGTCTCTCCTAAAAAAACAAAAAACAAAAATTAGCCAGGTGTGGGGGCAGGCGCCTGTAATTCCAGCCAAAAAAAAAAAAACTTTTTTTTTTTTTTTTGACAGAGTCTTGCTCTGTCGCCCAGGATGGAGTGCAGTGGCACAATCTTGGCTCACTGCAACCTCAGCCTCCTGGGTTCAAGGGATTCTCCTGCCTTAGCCTCCCGAGTAGCTGGGATCACAGGTGTGAGCCACCATGCCTGGCTACTTTTTGAATTGTTAGTAGAGATGGGGTTTTACCATGCTTGCCAGATGGTCTGGAACTTCTAATCTCCTGTGATCCACCCACCTTGGCCTCCCAAAGTGCTGGGATTACATGTGTGAGCCACCGTGCCCAGCAGAAACAGCCTTTACTGAGCTCCTCCCAGTTGCCTCAGCCAGTGTCAGAATTTTATATCATGATTTCTCCAGTGAGATCAGTTGTACTAGTCTGGTTATACAAATGAGAAAACTGAGGCTGAAAGAAGGATAGTGAGGCCAGGTGCTGTGGCTCACGCGTGAAATTCCAGCACTTTAGGAGCCCAAGGCAGAAGCATCACTTGAGGCCAGGAGTTCGAGGCCAGTCTGGGCAACAAAGTGAGGCCCCTGTTTCTACAAAAAAAATTAAAATTAGCTGGGCGTGATGGTATATGCCTGTCATCCCAGGGAGGCTGAGGCAAGAGGATCACTTGAGCTTGGGAGGTCGAGGCTGCAGTGAGCCGTTTTTGCGCCACTGCATTCCAGCCTGGGTGACAAAGTAAGATCCTGTCTGGAAGAAGAATGAAAAAAAGACAGTGATGATATTCTTTTATTCATTCCACAAACATTTACTGAACATCTGCTATGTTCTCAAGCACTTTTTAGGCACTAGAGATACAGCAATGATCAAAAATAAAGTGCATAGTTTCATGGTGCTGATATTCTACAGAAGCAGACAGACGGTAAGCAAATAGACACAGAAAATGGCAGGTGGTGATCAGAGTGGTGGGGAAATGTCTAGCAGGGTAAGGGGATAGAGTGACAGAGCTCGCTTTTTAAAAATTTTTATTTTATTTATTATTATTATTACTTTTATTTGGAGATGGAGTTTTGCTCTTTTCACCAAGGCTGGAGTACAATGGCACCATCTCAGCTCACTGCAACCTCTGCCTCCCCGGTTCAAGCGGTTCTCCTGCCTCAAACTCCCGAGTAGCTGGGATTACAGGCGTGAGCCACTATGCCTGACTAATTTTTGTATCATTCGTGGAGACGGGGTTTCACCATGTTGGCCAGGCTGGCCTCGAACTCCTGACCTCAGGTGATCCACCCGCCTCGGCCTCCCAAAGTTCTGGGATTACAGGCCCTGAGCCACCGATCCCAGCCACTAGCTATTTTATTTATTTATTATTTATTGAGACGGAGCCTCGCTCTGTCCCCCAGGCTGGAGTGCAGTGGAGCAATCTCAGCTCACTGCAAGCTCCGCCTCCCGGGTTCACTCCATTCTCCTGCCTCAGGCTCCCGAGTAGCTGGGACTACAGGCGCCCGCCACCACGCCCAGCTAATGTTTTGTATTTTTAGTAGAGACAAGGTTTCACCGTGTTAGCCAGGATGGTCTCCATCTCCTGATCTCGTGATCCACCCGCTTTGGCATCCCAAAGTGCTGGGGTTACAGGCGTGAGCTACCGCGCCCGGCCGCCACTCGCTATTTTAAACTGGGATCAGGGAAGGCCCCACTGAGTGCTGGTCACTCAGTGAGTTTTTGGTATTGACATTTGATCAGATGACAGAGTGAAGGGAGGCGATGAGCCATGGGAACATGTGAAGAGGAGATCCAGGCTAGGGGATCGGCAAGCACAAAGTCCCTGTGGTGGTAGCATGATCCATGTGTGCAGCAAGACATCTGTGTGCCTAAATCCAATAATATCCAAGGGAAGAGGAGTATGTGAGACAGGGTCAGAGGGACCAAAGGGGCTGGATTACAGGGATTTGTAAAGCAGGGTGAGTACTTTGACTTTTACTCTGAAATGGAAGTCATGGGAGAGTTTCATGCAGGAGAATGGTATTGTCAAAGAATCACTGACTTAGAATATTGAATAATTTTTCGTGATGAGTACACCTAAAAGCCCAGATTTCACCACGATGCAATCAACATATGCATGTAGAAATCGGCACCTGTACCTCCTAAATATGTAAAAATTTAAGAAAAAAGAATCACCTTTTTTGTAATAAAAATTGTAACACAAGTTCGATTTCCCTAAGTGGATGGGCTGTTTTAACCGGAATATGGTACTATCCGTTTCTGAGTCTGTCTCAGTTTCTCCAACCATAAAACGCAAGTGCAGAAATTGGTTATGTCTAGTGTTTAAACTCAATCGGGACAGGATGTCTGTCGTCACCAGCACCGAGACAGTTCCTGGGACTCAGTAGACGCTCAATAAACGTTTGAATGAACGCGGAGCTCCATCGGCCTACGCAATTCCATAAAAGAACAGCAGGTGTCGCACCAGCCCTATAGCCGCCTGCTCAGAGCCTTTGGGGCCAGGGTGAATCAGACTCTAACAGGAACCCACTCACCACTCCTCCGCAGAAAGAGAATTCGGAATTTTCCGAGAAGGCGCTTCTGAATGCCGAATCATGAATCTCTCCTCTTAAAAAGCTGACTTTTCATTTTGGAAAAAGGGGGTCCTGGGCCCTTTAACAGCTTGCCAGGTGCTCAAACGCTGCTTCCCAGAATGCGTGGCGCTATGTAAATGAGACGGTTTGGGGAGCGAGGATGATTCATACTATATGAAGTGAAGGCAACGTTTTACAAGGACATCTCTCACGATAAATGAGTGGGGAGAACTTATAGCCCTTGAAGTCAACCATCTCACACCTTTCCAAAGGACGCGACCATAACTCTAAAAGGTAAGCTTTTGCGATCCTTATATAGCTGCGCGGGAATAAGGTTGTCCTGCCCGGATGATCCTCAGTGGTCTGGGGTGCAGGCTTCAAACCTGTAGCTGTCTAGCGACAGAGTGGTTCAATTCCACCTTTCGGGCGGTAGTAACTAAGCGCCTTAAATCTTACTTATCGAACCGGACTTCTTTTGCTTGTTGCCCGGGAGGCGCTCCTCCAGCCTGCACCTGGAGAGGTCGCTGCGGCCTTCCGCATCGCAAACTCATTCTCTGTCACTCCGATCTCTGATTGTCGTTACTTATTTCCCCCTCCGGAGTATAAAAACCCACTCCAAAAGACGGAGAAAAAGTCATCTACCCAGTTCTGGGATATTGGCAGTTTGGAAATTATCCTAGATCTCTCCCCTTCAATTGCTTACTCATTCAGTCGTTTGCTCACTCATTTATTTAATCACGCATGCCGTGATTAATCAGTCAAATACTTGCCCATTTGTTCATCTGTCATTCACTCATCAAACAAGCATTTGCTGAGGACGCAGCGGTGGGTGACAGCCCTGGCCTTGGTCTCCTGGTGCAGTCAGCCCAGTGGGGGAGACAAACATTAAGCCATCATGTAATTACACACTTAATTAACAACTACAAAGGGGATAACGGCTGCAAAGGGAATAGAAAAGTGAGGCCCTCTCATAAGGAGAGCTGAGCTGGTCGGGTGTCATGGGAACATTAGGGCAGACCCTTGAAGGATGGGGGTGAATATTATGGGATATCGAGGGTTCAGGCTGACCCCAATAAAGATGATGGGGGTAATGATAATTGCACCGTCACTCTGCACTTACTGCTGGCATGCACAAGCCTTGCAACTCCTCTTAACAGCCCCCATTCTACAGATGAGGAAATGGAGGCTCAGGGAGATGAAGTCTGTTGTCCAAGGCAACCCAGCCTTTTTTCTTTTTTCTCTCTCTTTCTTTCTTTCTTTCTTTCTTTTTTTTTTTTTTTTTTTTTTAATTTTACTTTAAAAACTGCTCCTTGTAGAGCAGGGTTAACTCATAGGCAGTGTCTTTTTTTTTTTTTCCTTTTTTTTTTTTTTTTTGAGACAGGGTCTTACTCTGTCACCGAAAGTGGAGTGCAGCGGTACGATCATAGCTCACTGCAGCCTCAAACTTCCAGGCTCAAGCAATCCTCCCACCTCAGCCTCCTGAGTAGCTGGGACCATAGGTGCGTGCCACCACTCCCAGCCTCACTCAGACCACTTGACCCATGCTATTTATTACTGCCCTGTATTTTCCTTCCCAAGCCGGCTGCTCACCAAGCCCAACTGTCCTGCCTCCCGAGTGTCTCCTGAATCCTTCCCCTCCTCTCTGTCCCATGTCCCTGGCCCTGTTCTGGACTCCTCCTCACCCCACCCTGCAGGGTCCCCACCCCACTTCCTCCCTGGTCTCCTGCTCAGTCTCACTCCTCTCCCTTCCAGTCACGCTCAGTCTGGGGCCAGAGGGGTCTTTCCTAAATCACAAACCTGCCCCTGCCCCTCTCGTGTTCAAAACCTGCAATAGCTCCCCAGTGCCCTGAAGAAAAGATCTAAACTCCTTAGCCTGGGAATGTCATTATAGTACCTGCAGAATCTGGTCTCTACTAACCCCTCTCTCCACACCCGTGGTTCCAGTCTCCACGAATCTCTGAGTTTTCTCTTTTTTTTCTTTCTTTTTTTTTTTTTTTTGAGACAGAGTCTCGCTGTGTTGCCCAGGCTGGAGTGCAGTGGCACAATCTCAGCTCACTGCAATGTCCACTTTCCAGGTTCAAGCGATTCTCCTGCCTCAGCCTCCCGAGTAGCTGGGATCACAGGTGCCCACCACCATGCCTAGCTAATTTTTTGTATATATATATATATATTTTTTAGTAGAGACGGGGTTTCGCCACGTTGGCCAGACTGGTCTTGAATGCCTGACCTCAGGTGATCCACCCACCTCGGCCTCCCAAAGTGCTGGGATTACAGGCATGAGCCATCGCACCCGACCCTCTAAGCGTTCTCAATGTATCAAGCCTTCTCCCCACCAACAGATCTATGGCTGTGCTATTTTCTTGGCCTTGGCCTTTTTCTATTTCTTTCTATACTCTCTATCCTCCTCTAGGACTCAGCTCAGCTGTCCCCTCCGCCAGGAAGTTTTTCCCGACTCCCAGTCCAAGCTAGGTGTCCCTGCTGTGCTTCCCTAGCCCCATGGGCTTCCCAAACCCAATCCACTTTAGGTTGTCCCTGACTGGCAACGGTGTGTGTCCCCCAATGGACTGTGAGCCCCAGGAGGGCAAGACCTGAGGCTCAGTCCCTATAGTGTCCCCAACTCCCAGCACAGTTGGGTAGGTGCTTAGCACATTTTTTTGAGTGAATTAATAAATGGATTCCACCATGACAAATTCCCTTGCTTATTGATTTACCAAAGCGTCTGAGCGACCCCTGGACCCTCACCTCAATTCCCAGAGGACTTGCTGTTATGCAAATAAGAGACGGCTAGGATTTTGCAATGGGGATGGCTCCACTCTATGTGTAAAAAAAAAAAATGGTCATATATTTGCTTCAGTCAGTCTTGGGTTGGCCCCAATAGTGGTCATATGGAAAACAAAAGGAAACACATCTTCAGTGTAAAATAATTGTTTTTTGTAGTTGTAGTTTGTAAAAAATCCAAGATGACGCCTCATTCCTAGCCTGAGTGGTCTTTAGTAGTTTGCTGTGCAAGTTTCTCAAGATCCTCTTTTTTTTTTTTTTCTCAACATAATGAGATGGGTTGGGGTGGGGGGTGTCTCACTATGTTGCCCCAGGCTGTTCTCGAACTCCTAGCCTCCTACCTCGGCCTCCGAAAGAGCTGGGATTGCAAGTGCAAGCCACTGTGCACAGCCCATTAAGCTTCTTCTGTGTATAGTTTATCTCCTTAGCGTCTGTTTTTAACCCATAGAGCATACAAGCTCCATCACTAGGACACCTCTGTGATCCCACACCTGCAGGCTAACCTTCTGACCCCTTACTTTTTTTTTTTTTTTTGACAGTTTCACTTTGTCACCCAGGCTGGAGTGCAGTGGTGCAATCTTGTGTCACTGCAACCTCTGCCTCCTAAGTTAAAGTGATTCTCCTGCCTCAACCTCTCAAGTAGCCTGGGATTACAGGTGTGCACCACCACACCAGGCTAATTTTTGTATTTTTTGTAGAGACAGGGTTTCACCATCTTGGCAAGGCTGGTCTCAAACTCCTGACCTCAAGTGATCCGCCCATCTTGGCCTCCCAAAATGCTGGGATTACAGGCGCAAGCCACTGCGCCCAGCTGTAGCCACTTACTTTTTCTAGTAGGAGGCACTGCCTGCGAGTACAGGAAGTCCTCCTGACTGTCTGCCTTCCTTTTATCCTGCTGTAGACCCATTGACTAGAAGGAGTTCCTGCATAGGTGTGTGTCTGTGTGTGTGTGTGCATGGGTGTATGATCTCTGTGTGTGTGTAGTCCTTCGACAATCTAACCTCATCCTCTCTTACTAAAAGGAAGCCAGGCAATGGGTGTTAGGAGGAAATAAACACTGTAGCCTGGCGAATGCGTTTTTAAGAGCTTTTTATTGGCAACAGTGCAGAACCAAGGGGAGAGGGGACGGCCCATTGCCAATCTGTCCCAGCCCCCCGGGGTCAGATGCAAAATACAAAAAGAGAACCACAAGTACAGCATGGGGTAGGGGGGTCGGGGATTCATTGAATTGTGGTTGGCAGGAGCAAGCCCTGCTCACACTCTCACACTCGCACCCAGAATTGTCAAAGATACAGATTGTAAAAATCTACGATCCCTCAGTCTCACTCACAAAAAATAAAATCTCATGTCCCCAACGAACCCAGAGTCAGACGACAGCTGGAGCATTGGCAGGGACAGTCAGAAAGGAGACAAGTGAAAACGGTCAGATGGACACAGGCGGAGGAGAAAAGACAGAGGGAGAGAGACCATCGGGAACAATCAGAGGGGCCGAGACGATCAGAAAAGGGTCAGCCCGAGACAGGCTGAGCCAGAGTTTCTAGAAGCAGTTTCCAATTCAACGGCTCGCTTTGAGGGCCAACGTGACCTAGGCCGAGGCTGCAGAAGCGCTCACACACTCACGCGCACGCACACACACACATCCATATATAATATATTTACTTATACATAATAGATATAATTGCCTTTCGGAAACCAGGAAAGGGATAAATAGCTAAGGAATGGGTCTGGGATCAGGATGGGAGACGCGCGACAAGGGGCACGTGGAATGTTTTTCATGCAGCACGGATGGAGGGCGGCGTGGTCCACCCCCCGATATTAAAAAATATAAATTTGCCTCATAAAGAAATCCTCATGAGATGAAGCGCAGGGAACGGCGGGGTGGGAGAGCCAAAACCATGGTCAGGGATGGGCGGACTCGGGCATGGAATCATGAGATTCCAGCCCCTTGAGTCTGCCAGTCCAAAAATATTGGGGGTTTGGGGGTACCAAAGCCTCAGCTCTGAAATCTTCTCCGGAAAAATGTCACAGCCCCTCACTCCCTTCCTGGAGAGGATGTGAGGGGCCAAGGGGTGGGAGAAGTTGGCGTCCTAGGCTGGGGATTGGTCGGGGGACCTTAAAGAAAAAGGCCAGGGCTGAGGGTCCTGAGGAGAGAGAGAGAGGCCACGTGGATGGAGGACTGTCACCCCCTTCTCGGTTCTGTCACCCCCTTGAGTCTAACTCACTGTTGAGGGGAGGAAGAAGGGGGATGGACGGAAGGGAGACCGAGGAAAGGCTTTCGGGAGTGGGGACATTATCCCCCCAGAGGTGTGCTGCCCCACCCAGCTGCACCCCACAATCTGGCCAACTCATTTCACAGTATAAATCACTCCAGCAGGACGGCATCACAGCAGCCCCTGCTGCCTGAAATCAGAGCGGCCCAACGAGGAAGGCCAGGAGGGTCGGCTGGCAGGGGGCAGGGTCTTGGGATAACACTGTCATCAGAAACAAGGCTGGGGGCTGATTTCGGGGTGGGGAGCCTTAGGAGGCCAGAAATTCCAATCAGAGCCAGTTTTTCTGGGAGGGAGTGGCTAGACAGTCAAGGAAGGACGTTCACATTTCAAAAGAAGTCGGGTGGGGGGATGAGATTATTCTAGGGGGGCATCGAATTCCCTTTAAGGGGGGGGCTCACTTCTGCCCAGAGTAAAGAGGATCTCACACCATGGAAATGTGGGATCAATAAGCTAAGGTCGGGAGTGCAGGGGAAACCAACCTAGGCACCCCAAAAAAAGGGTGGGTGTGGGAGACATTGGGTAGGGAGTGGCATTTTTCCTTGTTGAGCCTCTCTGGAGAGGACTCCAGCCCACCCCACAGCCTACCTCCCACCCCCGTCCCTTAATCCTCACACAGGACTGCCCGAAGGTGGGCGTCACCCGCCCCCCTCCCCACCCATCCCCAGAGCTTGGGTTGACGTCAGAGAGCCAACAGTCAGCTGGGGGTGTCCATCCCCTTCCCACCCCCTGTCCCCAAAGTCACCAGCTCTCCGGCCTCGCCGGGGCACAGAAACAAGAGGCAGGACAAAACACAAGGAATCCTCCTGTCCGATGGCAGTGGCGCAGTGGCCGCAGAGGGTCAGACGGAGGAGCCAGGGAGGCCACACACCCACTTTGTCTCTTCCCCTCTCTCTCCTCCTTCTCCTCCTCCTCCTCCTCTTCCAAGTCTCTCTCCCCCATGTGTTTGTTTGTTTTGTGTGTCTAAAGAGTTCACAGAGCGAGGAGGGAGGGCGAGTTCAGGGGATCGGAAGGCTGGTCACTGCCGCTGGTGCGTTGGGCGCCGGCGAACGCGGAGACCTCCGGGCAGGTGAGGACAAACGAAGAAGTGTACGAAGGGTTAACAACGGGGAAGGGGTCGCCGAGGACTTGAACTTCACTGTGTGTAAAGAGAGAAGCCGTCAGGTTGGGGGGTGCGTCTTGGCTGGTCTGGAAGGGCAGGGGCGGTGGTGGCGGGGGCGGCAGCAGCCAGCTGAAGCCATCTTCCTTAGCCGGTGCTGAGCCCGGCAAATCTCTCACCTCCGCCAGCGGGCCCGGCCCGGGCCCCTCTTCGTAGGGGATCTTGCAGCCCGGTTTGTGGGCCACCAGCACAAACTCCAGACGTTCCTTCTCCTTTTGGAGCTCGGCGATCTCCGACTCCAGCTCTGCTTTTTCTTCCTCCAACTGATCTGTCTCCTGAGGCCAGGGAGGCCAGGTCACAGAAGAGAGAGAGGAAGGAGAAAAAAGCATGTCAGTGACCGGGAAACTCGGGTCATGGCTCCCTTGGACTTGCTGCTGGAAGGCAGCCCCGGGCTGAGAAAAAACACCTCCTGAGATGGAGTCCTGGTGGCCATGGGAGTTGGGGCAAGGGTCTTGCCTTCCAGGAACCTCAGTTTCCCCCATCTGTCCAAAGGATGGTACAGAAGGGGCCAGGTTTATGGGGAAGTTTCTGGTGTGCAGGAGGTTTGTTGAATGAATGAACAATCGTTATGTGGTTGGTTTTGTTTTGCTTTTGAGCCAGAGTCTCGCTCTGTCCCCCAGGCTGGAGTGCAATAGTGCAATCATGGCTCACTGCAGCCTGGACCTCCTCGGCTCAAGCGATCCTCCCACTAAAGCCTCCATAGTAGCTGGGACCACAGTGGTGTGCACCACCATGCCCAACTAATTTTTTTTTTTCTTGGTAGAGACAAGTCCTCCCTATGTTTCCCAGGCTGGTCTCAAACTCCTGGGCTCAAGCAATCCTCCTGCCTTGGCCTCTCAAAGTGCTGGGATCACAGGCATGAGCCACTGTTATGTGTTTTTAATGTGTTCCCTTCTATTACCCCTCCCTCTCTACCTCCCGGGGAAGAGAAAAAGTAGAGAAGGAAAGTTGACAATTCCCTTGTTCCCTCAAGGAGTAACAGCTCACCCTGCAGGCATACAGCAGGGAACTCTCAGACCAAGGGAGGACGTAGGAAGGGAGTGGGTTTTGGGGGATGCCACCAGCACCAGGAGAGCTGTGGGTGGCTAGGGCAGGAGGTGGAATAATTTCATTTCACAGGCTTTCCAGAGTGTTAAGGGTAGAAAGAGCCCGGGAGATTTGATGAGGGTTTGCAGAGATGGAGAAACTGAGGCAAAATGGGTTGTTACTTGCTGAAGACCAGATGGGAGAAATGATGGGGGCGCCCCTCTCCTCAAGGGCCCCATGTGGCCCCTTGGGATGAAATGAAGGCTAGGAGAGTAGTCCGTGGGGTCAGGAAATGGGGGGGGGACCAGGAGTTGACTTAAGTCCATGGGGGTCTGTGTTTGTGCCCTGGGCTACCCAGTCTGGCCACAGCAGTACCTAGTTCCATGTGTGGAACGTCTAGTTCTCAACCCAGGATAAGGGTACAGGTGGAGAGGGGGCAGAGAATGGGGAGAGAGCTCCCCTCAACATCCCCTCTCCCACCCCAGGGCCTGTCCTCACCGCCTGGAGTCGGTCGGTCAGCTCCCTCCGCCGGTTCCTGCATTTAGCTGCTGCTAGTTTATTTCGTTCCCGGCGCACCCTTCGCTTCTCCTCTTCCTCTGGGGTGAGCTGAGTCAGGGAGATAGAGGCCATGAGATTTGGGGATACAGCACTCCTCCACCCATCCCGAACCTCTACTTCTTTCAGAACCCCCAAGAGCCAAAAAACAAGCCTCCGGTCCTCGCTCGTGTAGCAAGGATCTTGGGGTTTCTGTAACACTGAGGCCTTAGTGGAGCCCCCCTCCATTCATAAGAAACTTCCTGCCTCTCTTGCTTCCCCCTACCCAGGCCAAGTTCTGATGTCCCTTACTCACCGTCTCCTCTCGGGGTCTCCTAGGCCGGGCTCGGGCTGGGCGGGCAGGCCCAGGCCCACTGGTAGTTCCGCTGGTGGAAGGCCCACCACTGCCACTCGCTCCGCCACTGCTGTAGCCACTCATGCCTGGTGTGGAGTAGCTGGTTCCCGGCATGTCGTAGGGGTCGACGACCGGGGGCTGGGAGGCCAGTGGCTGCCCCTGGGACTGGGCCATGGAAGAGATGAGGGTGGGTTGCACAAGCCACTGGAGGTCCTGGCTGGTTGTGATCGCGGTGACCGTGGGCACGAAGGAACCGGGCATTTCCCCGAGACCGGCGCACTCCTACGGGGTGACACATACACACACAGGCGTAGACACACAAACAAAGACACCGACACACACACACCCAACACACATAACACACACCGACCCCGTGAGTGAGCACAGGGTGAGCGAGTGTGGATGTGTGTGTCACAGGGAAAAAGCCACAACACCCACCCTTCCACTACACCGTGACGCAGTGGTTAATGAGAGGATTTCTGCTCAACTGGCTTCTACCTCCTCCTTCTTCCTCGGGGAAAGGTTGCACGGTTCCAGCGGGTGGTGAATCACACCCCGGGTTGGTGACTCTTAGGTATGGGGGGTGGAGAGGAGGCTGGACACAGCCGGGTGACAGAACCCCCGGGACGGAGCCACAGCCACACACACAGCCACAACACCCCACCCCCACCCCAGAGGCAAGGGGAGGGAGAAGGAGAGGCCTTAGGCCAAGCCTTCCTCTACACTCACACACATACACACCCCCCTCTGCGCGAGGTCCCATGCAGGGGCGGGGGTCCCAGTCAAAAGGGTGTTTGGGGGACGGGCCTAGGAGTTTAGAACAACGTTTCAAGTTACTGTCTCTTCTCAGAGTGAGACTGACGAGTGACAGTTTAGGGTGAACGGACAGGTAGATAAAAGTAACCACTGGAGCTCTCTCAGATTGTCGCGGAGGGGGAATGGTGCGGGACCTGAGCCCCCAAGCCTCAGCAGCGCTCATCTCCCCCCTCCCGTAAATGGACTCCTGGAACTGCTCTGAAGGCTTAACTACTCTCTCGGGGGGCGTGGTGAGGGAAGGGCTGGCTCGCCGACCAATCAGAGTCCTGGGAACCCAGAGGGGGCGGAGCTCCTGGAGACCACCTGGCTGGTTGCCCTTCGGTTCGCGGTTCTAGTCCTGTCTTGGGACACACCGGAGGAACCGGGCATGAGGAGCAGAGGGAGTGGGAATGTGTCTGTGTGTGCCTGGAGAAGAGGGTGACAGCCACCGTATCTCTCCAAGAAACGCCAGCACACAAGCAGACACCCCCTTCTCCTGAGAGCCCAGGGACTAGATCCCCGCAAGGGCCTCGCAGATCCATTGGGTCGCAGACAGGCGCTCTTGTCACGACAGGGATCCCCTCCCTCTGCCTCTAGAGGCGCCGAAAAGAGACCCAGCCGCCAAGGAACCACGGGTTCCGGGGACAGAGAGGGGGGAAGGAAAATGCACCCTACAAATAGGAAGGGAAAGCTGATTGGCCAAGGCGTGCGCCCCGGCGGCCAATCGAAACGCCGGGCTGCCCCCTCCCTTAGCAACGTGGCCCCGGCGTTCCAAAATAGAACGCTCCCGGGACGTCAGGGGCGGGGCGGACGAAGGGGGCGCCGCGCGCCGTGCGTGCCCCGCGTCAGACGGAGGATTCCAGCGCGTCAGCCGTTACGCACGGGTCCCCCGTTACGTCTCCGCGCAGGAGGCGGAGGCAGCGCGGCTGAGGGTTCGAGGCCCCTCTTCCCGATGGGTGGAGGGCGACCCGGCACCGAAGTGGGCGCTCCGAAGGAGGAGGAAAGGAAAAGAGACTGCTGGAAGCTTCCCCGGGATTTCCCCCACCTGCCTAACTGCGCTAGCTTCAGGTCTGGGACCCGAGCAGGGGGCAGTCCCGGGGCCGGCTCAAAGTTCTCAGCCCCGCTACCGCATACACGTTGCATTGAGCAGCGCATTACCCACCCCACCCCCACCTCGCCCCAAAGCCTACCCTCCCTGCCGCGTTCCCTCCTTGCGCTCCACGCACGCAACCAATTGCAAACATCTCCCGACTCTTTGCAGTTTGCAAAGTGCGCTGTGAGCCTTTTCCATCTCAGATCTAGGGTTCTGATGCGCCTTTTTGTGGGGGTTGGGGTTTATTCTTTTCACCCTTGACTTAAAAAATAAAACCTACAAAGCAGCACCCCTACTATCAAAAACTTACCTGGGAGGCGGCGGCGGTGGGTGGACTGCCGAAGGAGTCCACCGAAGACAGATATTGAGACTCGGCAGAGGGTGAGGAGCTGCACCGGGAGCCGGAGTCGTAGTCTCCGGGGAAAGCCTGAAACATTTCCCTGGGCACAGGGGGGCCCCTGTGACCACGCTGAGGTCGCCGGGAAGCCAAGGCTATGGCCGGGTTGGGGAAGTAAGGTGCAAGTCCGGGGTGAGCCGTGGGAGTCCCCGGTGAGCTGAGCGAGTCCTCAAAGTACGCTGTCCGGGGAAGCTCGGGGAAGGAGCAACGTCCCGTTCCAACAATGGCAAAGTTTCTGTGCAGTCTTCCTGCGGTGCCCAGGCCCCCACAGGATGCCGCTGTACCTCTTGAAAGTGCAGGCTCCGTAGGACCCAGGGGCGAGGGAGGGGTTGCTCCCCCAGGGGCAGAAAGCGCTGTCCCGCTGTACAGAATCAGCTTCAGCTACGGTCTCCTCCACGCGTCCGGCGGGTCCCACGGGGGGAGGGGAGTAATAAAGAAGACCAAAAAAAGTAAGTCGGTCCTCCAAAAGAAAATGAAGAAATATCTGGAAGAATCTTTCCAAAAACTTTCTCCCCGGAAAAAAAAAGATTAATGAAATTTCATAACCCCCAAGAAGAACCACAACAATCAAGTTTCCAAGTCTTGGTTCCGCGTGTCCCTGCCGTGGCCGTAGCTCTGAGTCTTATGAATGAAGCACAGACCCGCCAGCCTGTATTTATATGCCCGGGACCCGCCCCCCTGCTTACGTCACCCGCCCCTTGCTGGACAAACTTCCCCAAATCTCCGGCCCCGCCAAATCGAGTCCCGCACTGTCCAGCAAGAGGTCTGTTCTAGACTCGATCTGGTCACTTGCATGACCCTCGGGGCCCTGGGGGTCTCGGGGGTTGCGTTCCGGGCCACTCGGCGGGAGGGGATCCCGGCCCCGCCTTCCCGGAGTTCCTGTGACGCAATTAGCCATATAAGGAGCTCGGCCGGCGCGGCGGAGTGTTTGTTTGGTATCCTAGCAATGACGTCAGAGGGAATCCCTCGCTCGCTCGCGCGCGCGCCCGCGCCCCGCCCGCGCCTGCGCAGTGCAACGCCGCCCCGGGGGCTGGTAATAATAGGCGCTTAGACTAGCCCCGCAGGGACCCCGCTGACCCGGGCGGGGAAGACCCCAGCCTGCAGGTCCCCTTCACCTCTGGCGCCCCCACCTACCCTGTTCTACCGATGGTGCAGCGCCCCCATTCGAGAAGAAGAGCAGATCTCCAAAAGGAGACCCTGATTAGTGTGGTGTGGTCACGTAGGTGGGGAAACTGAGTCCCGAGCGGGCTGTGATGCTCAGGTGAAAGTGGAGGTAATGGAGGGATTCCGAGGCTCGTCCTGGTTTCTGTCCTGATTCGCTGTGCGAGCTTAGGAAATGTTTTCCCTCTCTGAGCTTTAGCTTTAATCTTCCCCGCTGGGCAAAGGATGTGTGTCTTGGACCCTGCTGGCCTTACAGGTCCGGCGTTTGGGAGGGATGCGGATTTGGAGGAGATGGGAAATGAAACTTAGAGAGAAGCCTCTCTTCTGATGGTGTTGGTAGCCTCTCCTTCCACCTTTTAATCCACCCGGAGACAAAGAATGTGTAAGAGGGAGGGGATATTATTATTAATTCTAATAATAATAATTAATGCCTTGTATTTGGCACTTGCCAAGCACAGCTCCTGTGCTACGCCTTTCAGTAGAAGATTTGTAATCCTTAAAACAGCTCTGGAAGGTTAAGAGAGAAAAATCTTCATTTTATAAAAGAAAAAAATGATACTCAGGGAGGTTAAATGACTTGCCCAAGATCCCATCACAAGAAATTCAAACTCAGAATTGTCAAACTCCAGATTTCCTACCCTTTCCATTTCTTTTCTGATTTCTGAGACCTGCCTGGTTGGATGAAACTCCCTGAAAAACCTGTGTCTGGGGTTTTTTTAAATGATAATGGCAATATTAGTAGCTTTCACTTGTCAGGTCTTTTTTTTTTTTTTTTTTTTTTTTTTTTTGAGACGGAGTCTTGCTCTGCCGCCAGGCTGGAGTGCAGTGGCGATCTCGGCTCACTGCAACCTCCGCCTCACCTTAGCCTCTCGAGTTGCTGGACTACAGGCGCGGGCCACCACGTCAAGCTAATTTTTATATGTTTAGTACAGACGGGGTTTCACCATATTGGTCAGGATGGTCTTGAACTCCTGACCTGGTGATCCGCCTGCCTCGGCCTCCCGAAGTGTCGAGATTACAGGCGTGAGCCACAGCGCCTGGCCTGTCAGGTCTTTCTAAGCTTTACAATCTCCTTCTTACTGCTCTTAGCATGTACTGTTGCAATCTTGGCTCACAGGGGTACAGGTGACTACCTGAGCAAATCTTCTTAGCAAATGGGGTTCATGAATCTGACGTTTTTTTTTTTTTTTTTTGACAGAGTCTCACTCTGTTGCCCAGGCTGGAGTGCAGTGCCACAATCTCGGCTCACTGCAGCCTACATCTCCTGGGTTCAAGTGATTCTCCTGCCTCAGCCTCCCGAGTAGCTGGGATTACAGGTGTGCGCCACCACACCTGGCTAATTTTTGTTTTGTTCTGTTTTGTTTTTTGAGACAGAGTTTTGCTCTTGTTGCCCAGGCTGGAGTGCAATGGCACGATCTCGGCTCACCGCAACCTCCGCCTCCCGGGTTGAAGTGCTTCTCCTGCCTCAGCCTCCCGAGTAGCTGGGATTACAGGCATGTGCCACCATGCCTGGCTAGTTTTTTTGTATTTTTAGTAGAGACAGAGTTTCTCCATATTGGTCAGGCTGCTCTCAAACTCCCAAACTCAGGTGATCCTCCCGCCTTGGCCTTCTTAAATGCTGGGATTACAGGCGTAAGCCACTGTGCCCGGCCTAACTTTTGTATTTTTAATAGAGATGGGGGTTTCACCATGTTGGCCAGGCTGGTTTCGAACTCCCAACCTCAGGTGATCCGCCTGCCTCGGTCTCCCAAAGTGCTGGGATTACAGGCATGAGCCACTATGCCTGCACTGACTTGGGTATTTCAGATGCTACAGCCCCCAACTCTTAAGCACCCACTGGGAAGGGTGCTACCAGCTATTTCACAAACCTCAGAGAACCCAGCACTTCCCTCCCAGTGCACAGCCTGGCCCAGCCCTGGGCACAAAGGAAGAAGCACTTTTAAAACATTGAATTTCACAGGTTGAGAGAGGGGCAGGGCCTGTCTCCGGGCTACACAGCAAGCCTGTGGCAGAGCCAAGGCGATGGTTCTTAATTTTCAGGGAGTCCTGATTCCCTGCCCCAATAGTAGGGAGGGTGTAGGGAGATGTGGAAGACTAGAGGGACGTGGGGGGCATAGGTGGAGGTTCAAGTTTCCAGACAAAAGTCCAGCCTCAAGCCCACCCCCTGCCCTGTTCCTCCACGCCCCCTCTGTCTGCCACCAGCCAGGAGGGAGGGACAGAGACTGGGAGATGACACAGCAGCCACTAGTAGGCAGTGACTCGGCCCCAGCATCAGACAGGGAGTGACCCCTCATTCTTCTGTCTCATCCAAGCCCCTCATCTCCTCCTCCATGGAATAAAGGAAACATGCAAAGACCTACCCTGGCTGGCCAGAGACTCCACACCCGACACAGGCAACACAGACTTCCACACAGCCGCTCACCAGGTCACGCGTGGGCAATCACCCACAGCCACATAGAAACAGCTTCACAGACACACACTGGCATGTGGAAACACACACTGTCATATGGTTATCAACACACATGACACACATCCCTACACACACAAGAAGACGTAGGGTTCAGGTGTACAGCCAAGGACAGGTACAGACCCCCAAAACACACAGAGACCCCTAGATCTTTACTAAAGGTGCATATATGATCTCACACATTGACACACACACAACACTCAGAGATCAAGAGAGCAACACACACATATACACATATACACATAGATACACACATACACACACACATATATATATATACACACACACAGACCAACAACCATGCATCCTGCAGAGGGACTCGTGTAAAGCTCTTCACACAACCATAACAAGAGCTAATTCTTCCCAAGAGCTTATATTAACTTATTTAATTCTCACAACACTCCTGTGAGGTACAAATGATCATTTTACAGGAAGGGAAACAGAAGCCCAGAGAGGTTAAGTTATTCACCCAGAGTCACACAGCAAGTAAGTAGCAAAGCTGGAATAACACCATGCAGGGTGTCAGGCTTCAAAGTCTGTTCCTTGAACTATTAGTATTATTTTGAGATAGGATCTTGCTCTGTCATCCAGGCTAGAGTGCAGTGATGCAATCATAGTTCACTGTAACCTCGAACTCCTGGCCTCAAGTAATCCTCCTGCTTCAGCCTCCCAAGTAACTAACAACTACAGGTGCGTACCACCATGCTTGACTAATTTTTTTTTTTTTTTTTTGAGACAGAGTCTCGTTTCTTCGCCCAGGCTGGAGTGCAATGGCATGATCTTGGCTCACTGCAACCTCTACCTCCCAGATTCAAGCAATTTTCCGGCCTCAGCCTCCCCAGTAGGTGGGATTACAGGCATGTGCCACCACGCCTGGCTAATTTTTCTATTTTTAGTAGAGAAAGGGTTTCACCCTGTTGACCAGGCTGGTCTCAAACTCCTGACCTCAAGTGATCCACCCACCTTGGCCTCCCAAAGTGCTGGGATTACAGGCGTGAGCCACTGTGTCCAGCCTAATTTTTTTATTCAAAAAAATGTTTTTAGAGTCAGGGTCTCACTTTGTTGCAGGCTGATCTCAAACTCCTGGCTTCAAGCGATCCTCCCACCTCAGCCTCCCAGAGCGCTGAGATTGCAGGAGTAAGCCACGGCGCCTGGCTTTGAAATTTATTAAATGGGTTTATGTATGTCAATTTATTCACACAGGGATGCTCATGTTCACGAACACACTGGGCATTTATCCTCACACGATCGCAGACCCAGAAGCTAGGTGGCCTAGGCTTATGTTCCGCTTCTATCACCAAGTAGCTTGGTGAACTTGAGCTAGGACATCCGGGGCCTCAGTTTCCCTACCCGACAAAGGAGAACAAGATGTAGTGCCCACTCATGAGACTGGTGGGAAGATATCATAAGGCTCCTGACAGATTGTACATGCTCGTTTTGTTACTAAAACAAAGTCTTCCTGAACTTTATACATGTATACCCTCCTGACCCATATCCGTGGGTCGGTTAAATTTATCATGGGCCCTAGGCACTGTGCCCCTGGGCCTAAGGGAGAAATTGGCCCTGGAGACACACACACACACACATACACACACACACACACACCTGCACTCACAGACATGACACACCTGCCTGCAGAGCATGGAGTGGGTAAATCAAGTTCTTCTCCATAAGGCTCATTCCTTGCCAGGCTCAGTGTCTCATGCCTGTAATCCCAGCACTTTGGGAGGCCAAGGTGGGCAGATCACTTGAGCCCGGGAGTTCAAGACCAGCCTGGACAATGGCAAGACCCCATCTCTACTAAAAATACAAAAACTAGCCAGGGGTGGTGGCGTGTGCCTGTAGTCTCAGCTATTTGGGAGGCTGAGGTGAGAGGATCACTTGAGCTTGGGGAGGGCAAGGCTTCAGTGAGCCATGATCATGCCACGGCACTTCCAGCCTGGGTGACAAAGTGAGACCTTGTCTCAAAAATAATAATAATAAAAAATAAAATAAGAGGCTCCTCTTGGAAGGAGAGCTTCCAGGAGGAGGAGGACCTGAGCATGGGGGAGAGGGTTGCATCTCTGCCCTGGCTCCCAAGGGCTCAGCTCTGCTTGGGGGAGACGGCTGGGGGAGCCTTAGCCTTCTGCCTCCCGCAGGGTGGAGGTGGGTATCAGTGCCCATCCTGGCTTTCCTCAGAGTATCCTGTAAACAGCCCCCGGCAGAGTCTGTGAAGGCCAGCCACACCACGTCCTTCCCACCTTCCTCTGGCCAAACCTCTGCTCCTCTGTTCCTCAGTTCCCCCATCTGTAGAGCAAGAAGGTTGAGTGATGGCGGTCTTCGAAATTTCTTTCCAGCTCTGAAATTTAATAATACAGAGGAGGAGGAGGGCTGGGTGTGGTGGCTCACGCCTGTAATCCCAGCACTTTGGGAGGCCTAGGTAAGAGGATCGCCAGAGGCCAGGAGTACAAGACCAGCCTGGGCAACATAGTGAGACCCACCCCCAACCTCTACAAGAAATTTAAAAATTAGCTGGGCATGGTGGCACACACCTGTAGTCCCAGCCACTCAGGAGGCTGAGGCACGGGCATCACTTGAGCCCTGAGAGATTGAGGTTGCAGTGAGCTATGACTCTGCCACTATACTCCAGCCTGGGCAACAGAGCGAGACCCTGTTCCCCCCCCAAAAAAAATAAAAATAAAAAAATAGAAAAGAGGAAGAGGAGCTGCTGAAAACAAGCACTTAGGAAGCTGTGCTTAGCACTTTCACACTCATTATCTCAGTTAAGCCTCACTCCACGTCAGTCCTCTACATGGATTCTGTTTTGATCTCCTTGTACAGAAAAGGAAACTGAGGTACAGGGGGGTTAAGCCTGAGAGCAGCGCTTCTCAATTCGTGGTGATCACGAATTGCCTGGAGAGCCAGCAGATCTGCTGTGGTCATCTTTTTATTTTTATTATTTTATTTTATTTTGAGACGGAATTTCACTCTTGTTACACAGGCTTGAGTGCAGTGGCACGATCTCAGCTCACTGCAACCTCTGCCTCCCGGGTTCAAGTGATTCTCCTGCCTCAGCCTCCCGAGTAGCTGGGATTACAGGTGTGTGCCACCATGCCTGGCTAATTTTTGTATTTTGTTTTTTGAGACGGAGTTTCACTGTTGTTGCCCAGGCTGGAGTGCAATGGTGCCATCTTGGCTCACTGCAACCTCTGCACCCCTGGGTTCAAGCAATTTTCCTGCCTCAGCCTGTAGCTGGGATTACAGGCGTTAGCCACTACGCCCAGCTAAATTTTTTTGTATTTTTAGTAGAGACGGGGTTTCACTATTTTGGTCAGGCTGGTCTCGAACTCCTGACCTCAGGTGATCCGCCTGCCTCAGCCTCCCAAAGTGCTGGGATTACAGGCGTGAGCCACCGCGCCCAGCCTATTTTATTATTATTTTTTTAAGACTCACTCTGTCACCCAGGCTGGAGTGCAGTGGTGCCATCTTGGCTCACTGCAGCCTTCACCTCTCGGGTTCAAAAGATTCTCCTGCCTCAGCCTCCCAAGTAGCTGGGATTACAGGCGTGTGCTACCACGCCCGGCTAATTTTTTTGTATTTTTAGTAGAGACAGAGTTTCGCTATGTTGGCCAAGCTGGTCTTGAACTCCCAACCTCAAATGAACTCCTGACCTCAAATGATCTGCCTGCCTCAGCTTCCCAAACTGCTGGGATTACAGGTGTGAGCCACTGTGCCCAGCCATCTTTTGCATTTCCAACAAGCCCCCTGGTAGTGCAGAAGCTTTGGCCCCAGGGACACCCCCTGGGAGGAACAAGGTCTGTGGGTTTCTGAGGCTCCAGAGGAGGGGAGGGGCACGTTCATGAGTGTGCACGTGCAGGTGTGTGTTTGACTGTTGTGACTGTGACCTCTGGGAGGGCAAATCCAGGCTGATTTAGTAACGGCTGCCTCCTCAGTGCTCAGCATTGAATAGTGAGTGTGACTGGGTGGCTGAGCCGCTCCACACTGAGCAATCCCTAGGGCTTCCTGGAGGAGATGTCCCTGGAGTTTCAGGGAAGCAGAGTAACCCAGATTGGACACTGTTAGCTTGACCCTCCCAGTACCCCTGCATCCTGCATTATACTCCTCCCCATGGCTCCTGAGGCCCTGAACGACCTGCTCCGAGGGTGCCCTAGTCTCGTCTCTCCTCTCCCCGTTGTGTTCCAGATGCCTGGCCTCTCTCCCTGGACTTCAGGCCTTTGCAGGTGCTTTTCCCTCTGCCTGGGTCACTCTTCCCTTCGCTTCCTGTGGCTCATAGTCTTTTCCTCCAAGTCTTAACTCCCATAACCTCTCCTCCAGGAAGCCCTCCCTGATCTCCAGGCTGAGTCAAGGCCCCCTCTCCTGGGGTCCCTCCCTCCAACTCTGCCAATCTGGGCTCATCATTGTCTGGGGATAGGTTTGTCTCCCTCATTGGGTTGTGAGCTGGGTGAAAGCTCGGCCAAAACCATCCCGGTCACTGCCTTGTCCCCAGCATAGCACGTGGTACCCAATAGGTGGTTATTAAATATTTGTTCAAGCCAGGCACAGTGGCTCATGCCTGTAATCCCAGCACTTTGGGAGGCTGAGGCAGGAGAATCACTTGAGGCCAGTTTGAGGCCAGCCCAGTCAACATAGTAAGACCCTGTCACTACAAAAAAATTTAAAATAAAAACAATATAATATAATATAAGAATAAATGAGGCAGGACTGGTGGCTCATGCCTGTAATCCCAGCATATTGGGAGACTGAGGTGAGCAGATCACTTCAGGCCAGGAGTTCGAGACCAGCCTGGGCAACATGGTGAAACCCCATCTCTACTAAATATACAAAAATTAGCTGGGCGCAGTGGCACACACCTGTAATCCCAGCTACTTGGTGGCTGAGGCACAAGACTCTCTTAAACCCAGGAGGCAGAGGCTTCAGTGAGCCGAGATTGCGCCACTGCACTCCATCCTGGGTGACAGAGCGAGACTCTGTCTCAATAAATAAATAAATAAATAAATGTTTGTTGAGTAAATGGATCTTCACCATTCATTCATTTACTAATTCCTAAACTCTGACAGACTCTCAGACAGAAACATATCTGAGCCTCTTTTTTTTTTTTTTTTTTTTTTTGAGACGGAGTCTTGTTCTGTTGCCCAGGCTGGAGTCCAGTGGCGCAATCTTGGCTCACTGCAACCTCCACCTCCTGGGTTCAAGCAATTCTAATGCCTCAGCCTCCCTGAGTAGCTGGGATTACAAGCGTGTGCCACCACGCCCGGTTAATTTTTTTGTATTTTTAGAAGAGATGGAGTTTCGCCATGTTGGCCAGGCTGGTTTTGAACTCCTCACCTCAGGTGATCCGCCCGCCTCAGCCTCCCAAAGTGCTGGGATTACAGGCGTGAGCCACCACACACCCGGCCAACCTCTCTTTTGCCGTGAGGACAGAGACAGATACACACGTAGACAGGCTGAGATGTCCATATATACACCCTATCCACAGATCTCAACAGGCAGACACCTTTCACCTTTGTCTGTGCAGGCACCTGATGACTATTTGTTTATTTTTGTTTTTGCTTTTGTTTTGAGACAAGGTCTTGCTGTCGCCCAGGCTGGAGTGCAGTGGCGCAATCTCGGCTCACTGCAGTCTGGACCTCCTGGGCTCAATGGTCCTCCTGCCTAGGCCTCCCAAAGTGCTGGGATTATAGGCATGAGCGACCACGCCCGGCGACAAGATGACTTATTTGAACACACGATCACACACACAGAACAAAACACGTGCAGTTGTGCAAACACATCACATAGGTGTTCACACCCCAAACACAGTAAATGACACACACTTTTGTCTACATAGACTTACACATCTCCACACACACACAAATGGGTAGAGCTAGGACCCCTGCTCTCACAGTGATACCCTCAGAGTTGTGGACTTGAAGAATGTCTTCTTTTTTTCTTTTCTTTTCTTTTTTTTTGAGACAGGGTCTCCCTCTGTCGCCCAGGCTGGAGTGCAGTGGCTCGATCTCAGCTCACTGCAGCCTCCACCTCCCAGGCTCAAGGGATCCTCCTGCCTCAGCCCCCCAAGTAGTAGCTGGGACTACAGGTGCCCACTGTCATGCCTGGCTAATTTTCATATTTTTTGTAGATACGAAGTCTCACTATGTTGCCCAGGCTGTTCTCGAACTCCTGAGCTCAAGCGATCCACTCACCTGGGCCTCCCAAAGTGCTAAGGCTACAGGCCTGAACCACTGTGCCCGGCCTACTTGAAGAATTTCTTAGATATCCGTACAGACACGTGTGCGAAGGTTCACTCACAGTCACACCGTACGAAACAGCTCCTAAAGACCCACTGACTTGGCCGGGCGCGGTGGCTCATGCCTGTAATCCCAGCACTTTGGGAGGCCGAGGCAGGAGAATCATGAGGTCAGGAGTTTGAGACCAGCCTGGCCAACATGGTGAAACCCCATCTTTACTAAAAATACAACAAATTAGCTGAGTGTATTGGTGGGCACCTGTAATCCCAGCTACTCGGGGGGCCGAGGCAGGAGAATCACTTGAACCCAGGAGGTAGAGGTTGCAGTGAGCCAAGATCGTGCCACTGCACTCCAGCCTGGGCAACAGAGTGAGATTCCATCTCAAAAAACAAAAAACAAAAAGACCCACTGACTTGCTTGGAGTGGCATCCAAATCTATAGAACAAGGCACTCTAGGCACACAGATACACGAATCACACACCTAGCTTCCACTGCCATGCAGCCTCTTCCACACACACTCACAACTACACACACACACACGGGTTCACATATATGAGTATGCACAGAGTAGGGCAGACACAGACACACCCAGGTACAAACACAGACCTAAGCAGAGAGCCACCCTTGGATACAGACTTGTCCCAGGCCCTGGCCAGGGGTGCCACTCACTGTGGGGGCTGTCTCTCACCCACCCCCAATCCAGGGGGCACACACTGTGCAATGTGTCACTCACTGACTACAACCACTCCAGGCATTGGGTGGTGAGAGTGCTTAGTGAGGCTGGAGTAAGCCAGGAGGACTTCCTGGTGGAGGTGGATCTAGATAATCATGATTGAGTTCTGAAGAGTTATGAATGAGGAGGGAGTCCCTGAAGCACTCTCTCCCTACTACAGACATATATAACCAAAGAAGAGGCAGCAGGAAGGACTGCAGGGAGGTAAGAAGTAGAACTGGACCAAGGCAGTGAGGGTGACTGTTTTGGAGGCCTTCCTAGTTGGACTTAGGGATAAAAATAATGTGTATTTGGCCAGGCACGGTGGCTCACGCCTGTAATCCCAACACTGTGGGAGGCCAAGGTGGGTGGATCACCTAAGGTCTGGAGTTCGAGACCAGCCTGACCAACATGGTGAAACCCCGTCTCTTCTAAAAATACAAAAATTAGCTGGGCATGGTGGTAGGGTCCTGTAATCCCTACTACTTGGGAGGCTGAGACAGGAGAATCGCTTGAACCTGGGAGGCGGAGGTTGCAGTGGGCCGAGATTGCACCACTGCACTCCAGCCTGGGCAACAGAGTGAGACTCCATCACCGAAAAAAAAAAAAAAAAGAAAGAAAGAAACAAAAAAAGGGAAAATAATATGTTTAGTACTAAGAATCATAACAGAGTCACTTGAGAAAGCTTACCGTGTATGTACCAAGTGCCACAAATACAGATGCAGTTGACTCTCTTTTTTCTTCTTCTTTTTTTTTTTTTTTTTTTTTTTTTGAGACAAGGTCTTATTCTGTCACCCAGGCTGGAGTGCAGTGGCACAATCTCAGCTTACTGCAACTTCCATCTCCCAGGTTCAAGTGATCCTCCCACCTCAGCATCCTGAGTAGCTGGGACTACAGGCATGAGCCACCATGCTTAGCTAATTTTTTGATTTTTTGGTAGAGATGGCATCTCACTATGTTTCCCAGGCTGGTCTCGAACTCTTGGGCTCCGGCGATCCACCCACCTTGGCCTCCCAAAATGTCGGGATTACAGGCGTGCCAGCCACCAAAAAAGCGAGAGGATAGCCTGAGCTCAGGAGTTCAAGACCAGCCTGGGAAACATAGTGAGACGTCATCTCCATTATTTAAAAAAAAAAAATGTAGAATGCCTAGAACAGCACCTGGCAGAAAGTATGTTCCCCGTAAGCATAGCTATTACAATAATAGTGATTTTTTTTTTTTTTTTTTTTTGCTATAGGATCTTGTTCTGTTGTCTAGGCTGGAGTACAGTGGTGCAATCAATAGCTCACTGCAGTCTCAAACTCCAACACTCCAGCAATCCACCCTCCACAGCCTCCTGAGTACCTGGGACTACAGGTGCACACCACCACATCCAGCTAATTTTTAAATTTTTTCTTTGTAGAGAAGGGGTCTTGCTATGATGTCCAGGCTGGTCTTGAACTTCTGGCCTCCAAGGGATCCGCCTACCTCTGCCTCACGAGTCACTGTGCCTGGCCTAATAATGCTTGTTAATACCCCCACTCAACAGATGAGGAAACTGTCCCTTAGGCCTCAGTCCCTTAGGGAACTTGCAGGCTTATGGGTAGTGAGGCCCCGCTGGCCTGGGGTGGGTGGAGTCAGGGCCTCCCCAGGCCGGGTGTTGAGTGTGCGTGTGTGCCTTTGCGTGTGTAAGCACATTGGTGATTCCATTGTCCTCCTGACTGACTCTTACGACCAAGTCTCTTACGATTTGGTGATTCTCTGCGCAAACACTCAGACCCCATCCCACCCCTGTGGGTCGCCCAGCCGCTGCCCACAAGCCGCAGCCTCCCCGTCACACCCACACGTGCTTCCTCCTCACCCGCCAGGGCCTCCCCACAGGCTCTCCTTCCCAAACTTTCTCCTTCCTGCCCCACATGGACGCCTGTGGCTGGGTGGTCTCTGGCTGTAGCCACCCTGTCCCTGACTCAGGCCCCATGCCCCCTCACTGACCCCTGTGTGCCCGGCCCAACCCCCGCAGCCAGACGGCCACTCGGGGGTGTTGCGGGGGGTCACAGCAGGCCACGTGCCCGGGGTGGCTGAATTCCGCCTGTGATTCAGTCAGCTTGTCTAGGCTGCCGGGGGTGCCCTGGCCGGGTGATGTCAGCGGCCAGGTATGTGGCTGGGGTTTCTCCCAGGGTGACTCAGGCTCCTGAACTACCCTCTCCCTCCTGCAGACACTCTGGGCTGCTGTCCAGGGCAGGCAGCCGGCTGGCTGCCTGACACTCCCTTCCCTGGCCCCCTCCACGCCCTCTTCAGCACAGAGCTGTGGGAACAGCAGGGCTGGGGGACTGGCACAAGAGGGATCCCAGAGGCCAGGGCCCCAGCCCAGCCTTCCCCTAAGACCAGGACTCACAAGTGGTTGTAGGATGACATTCATTCGTTCATTCAATCAGCCATTCAAATATTTAATCAGCACACCTACACACACACACACACACACACACACACACACACACACACTGCAGTCACACACTCTAGGTGCTGGGGACAGAGCAGGAAACAAGACAGACAAAAATAAAAATTTCCTCAAATGGCCAGACATGGTGGCTCACTCCTGTAAACCCAGCACTTTGGGAAGCCAAGGCAGGAGGATTGCTTGAGCCCAGAAGTTTGAGACCAGCCTGGGCAACAGAGTGAGACCCCATCTCTACAAAAAAATAAGCCTGTAGCCCCAGCTACTCAGGAGGCTGAGGCAAGAGGATCACTTAAGCCCAGGAGGTCAAGGCTGCAGTGGGTTGTCATCATGCCACTGTGCTCCAGCCTGTATGACAGAGCCAGAGCCAGACCCTATCTAAAAAAAAAAAAAAAATTAGCTGGGCGTAGTGGTGGGCACCTGTTATCCCAGCCACTTGGGAGCCTGAGGCAGGAGAATCGCTTGAACCCGGGAGGCGGAGGTTGCAGTGAGCCGAGATCGTGCCACTGCACTCCAGCCAGGAAAGAGAGTGAGACTCTGTCTCAAAAAAAAAAGAAAAAAGAAAGAAAGAAAATTCCTCACAAAGCCTTTATCAGTATCTGCACCTAGTGCATTATTATTATTATTATTATTGTTTTTGACACAAAGTCTCACTCTGTCGCCCAGGCTGGAGTGCAGTGGCATGATCTCGGTTCACTGCAACCCACACCTCCCGGGTTCAAGTTATTCTCCTGCCTCAACCTCCCGAGTAGCTGGAATTACAGGCACACACCACCAAGCCTGGTTAATTTTTTTTGTATTTTTAGTAAAGACAGGGTTTTGCCATGCTGGCCAGGCTGGTCTCGAACTCCAGACCTCAGGTGATCCACCCTTCTCGGCCTCCCAAAGTGCTGGGATTACAGGTGTGAGCCACCGTGCCTGGCCTATTGTTATTGCTATTATTGCCCCCCTCCAAATTCCACTAGCCTGTGAAACTCAGGCTGGTTTCTCTTCCTCCAGGCAGCTCTCCAAACAGCTCATGTTTTTCTTTCTTTTTTTTTTTTTGAGAGGGAGTCTTGCTCTGTCACCAGGCTGGAGTGCAGTGGCGCAATTTCGGCTCACTGCAACCCCCGCCTCCCGAGTTCAAGTGATTCTCCTGCCTCTGCCTCCTGAGTATCTGGGACTACAGGCACGCGCCACCACGCCCACCTAATTTTTGTATTTTTAGTAGAGATGGGGTTTCACCAGGTTGACCAGGATGATCTTGATCTCTTGACCTTGCGATCTGCCTGCCTCGGCCTCCCAAAGTGCTGGGATTACAGGTGTAGGCCACCAGGCCCAGCAAAACAGTTCATTTCTTATAGTTCCCAGCCCCAAAATAGTCCTAGGAGGAAGTCCTTTCTGGAGTCTGACCCTCAGTCTGCCTGCTTCAAATGCGCTCTTTCATCCCTCTTTCACTTCCCACTTTCCCAGTCCCATGGAGTGATTTGAACCTCAATTCCATCCCGTCCCAACTTCACCCTTCATTTACCTTTCCTGAAACCAGACCACGGCTGGGCCTTGTAGCCATTGGGGTGTTCCAGATGCAGCTTCATTGAGTCCCAACTGGCCCTGGAGAAGGTCTGGAACATGCCCATGGTATAGGAAGGAAAGTGAGACTCAGGGCATTTGGGTACCCAGTAACACAGGACTACAGAGCTAAAGCCTGCATCTGCAACCCAGATTCTAGACACGCACACGCACATCCAAGGACACACACAGAGGAAGTAATAATACTGACAACAATCAAAACAGGTATTTTGTAAATGTTTGTTTTCTGCCAGGCATTTTCTAAATGCTTTCCATATGAACTCATTTACTCTCCCACAACAGTCCCATAAACTGGGTCTATTATTCTCCCTATTTGACAGATGAGGAAACCGAGTGCATAGAGGTCCTAATGCTAGCAGGAGGAAGGCCACACAGTTCGGCCGGACGCGGTGGCTCACGCCTGTAATCCCAGCACTTTGAGAGGCTGAGGCAGGTGGATCACTTGAGGTCAGGAGTTTGAGATCAGCCTGGCCAACATGGTGAAACCTCGTCTCTGCTAAAAATACACAAAAATTAGCTGGGCGTGGTGCAGGCACTTGTAATCCCAGCTACTTGGGAGGCTGAGGCAGGAGAATTCGGGAGGCAGAGGTTGCAGTGAGACGGAATCACACGTCTGCACTCCAGCCTGGGTGACAGAGTGAGACTCTGTCTCAAAAAAAAAAAAAAAAAAAAAGACAACAGAGTTCAAATCCATAGTTTTTAGGGGTTTTTTAAATTTTTGTTTTTGTTTTTTGTTTTTCTTTTGAGACAAAGTCTCACTCTGTTGTACAGGCTGGAGTACAGTGGTGTAATCACAGCTCACTGCAGCCTTGATCTCCTGGTCTCTGATGATCCTCCCACCACAGCCTGCCAAGTAGCTGGGATTCCAGGTGTGCACCACCATGCCCGGCTAATTTTCGTTTTGTTTTTATTGTTGTTGTTGTTGTTTGAGACGGAGTTTCACTCTTGTTGCCCAGGCTGGAGTGCAATGACGTGATCTTGGATCACTGCAACCTCTACCTCCCGGGTTTAAGCAATTCTTTAGCTTCAGCCTTCCAAGTGGCTGGGATTACAGGCACCCACCACCATGCCTGGCTTTTTTTTCTTTATTTTTAGTAGAGATGGGGTTTCACCATGTTGGCTAGGCTGGTCTCGAACTCCTGACCTCAGGTGATCCACCCTCCTTGGCCTCCCAAATTGCTGGGATTACAGGCATGAGCCACTGCGCCTGGCCTAATTTTTGTATTATGTGTAGAGACAGGGTCTCACCTTGTTGCCCAGGCTGGTCTTGAACTCCAGGTCTCAAGTGATCCTCCTGCCTTAGCCTCCCAAAATGCTGGGATTGCAGGTGTGAGCCAGTGCACCTGGCCTCCTACTCCACGTGGCCCTGATATGTGCCATGAGGCTCTGATATGTGCCCTGCACTGTGGGGGGTGCCAAAAATTAGAGCTACATGGCTACAGAGACCCTCCTGTGCTATGGCCCACGCAGCTTCTAGACACACACAGAAGACCCAGTACCACAAAATCACTTGCAGGGTTACATGGATGTGTGTGCTCGACATGGACATAAGAGTCATCGATTCATTTACCCAACAAGGAATTACTGAGCACCTTCTCTGTGCAGGGTGGTGCTGGGGACCTGGCAGTGACCACAACAGCCTTGGGTCCTGCCCTCACAGGGTGCACAGTCCAGTGGGGGAGATGGACAGTAAACAAAGGAACAAATATATAATTAGACATTGCAATGAATGCTGTGGAGGGAGCTCTGAAAAATAATCTGTACACAAACGCAGGTACCTGCATGGTTACACACAGAAATCCAGAAACACACATGGCTAGGCACGGTGGCTCATGCCTATAATCCTAGCACTGTGGTGGAAGGCCGAGGTGGGAGGATCACTTGGGGCCAGGAATTGGAGACCAGCCTGAGCAACACAGCAAGATCCTGTCTCTACAAAAAAAACCAGAAAATTAGCCGAGTGTAGTGGCGCTTGCCTGTAGTCCCCACTAGTCGGGAGGCTGAGACGGCGGGGATCGCTTGAGCCCAGGAGTTTAAGACTAGCCTGGGCAACACAGCCAGACCCCATCTCTAAAAAACAAACGAAAAAACCAGAAACACACACACACAGAACCAGAAATGCACGGCTAGAGGCAAAACCGTGCACATCCATGGGTACTTATACAGGCATTGTTTCACATAGATGACCACATGCAAGACTCACAACTGCACACACATTCATATCTACACAGTCAGCAGGGCTACACACTCCCATACACCCAGATACACAAGTGCAAACCACAGAAACCACTCACTGAGTCCTGCAGTTTTGCTCTCACACAGGAAATACCAGATGTGCACATTGTCACCGACTGTTGCTCACCTATAGTCACATCCATTCACACTGTCACACACTCAATTTCTTCTCTCTGCTCGGAGATTCGCCCCAGCCCTGGTCACATGAAGCTACTGGATGGGGGGGTGTTGGGAGTGTGTGTTGGGGATGAGTTGTTAGAACCTCCCAGCTGTGGACAGCTTCCCGGACACAGGATGGAAGGACCACGGGCTGCCTGTCTCTTGAAAGAGGCTCGAGAAAGACAGGCAAGAGAACCCCAAGGGAGCGGGGAAAGGAACGGGAGGGCTTTGGGGCTGTGGCTTGAGTGTGAACAGATTGTCTCCCCTTGTCTGTCTGTCTCCCCTGGTGGGGACCCCAACCGCAACAATGCACCCGGAAATCCGGCAGTCCAAGGCAGAAACGGCAGGCCAGCGAAGTGTGTGCTTGTCCCTATTTTGGTTGTGATGGTTTGGGGGGGATATGAGACAGCCACAGCGCGGGAGGCGCTGGACAGACGGACATGCCGGGGAGGAGGGGGCGCAGACGGACAGATACCCGAGCGGAGGCGGTCCCGGGGCAGACAGGAGGAGCGGGCGACAACAGACGGCGGCTGTCTAAAGGGAAACCGGTAATTTGGGAACCCGGTTCTCCCCCGCTTCCATCACCGCAATCCCCTCCACCCCCCGCCCCGGGCTCCCGGCGGGCCGGTCTGTCCGCCCGGGCCGGTCCTGGCTGCGCCCTGTGCGGCCGCGCCACCCAGCCCGGGACAAACAGCCCTCGCGTTGCTAGGCGACGGCGTTCCACAGTCCGTCGCGTCACCGCGTCTGCGCGGGCGTGGGGGGGGGGGGGGGGGGCGGGCGCACGGAGACGGCGGCCGCGTCGTTTGTTGACGTTGCCCGGCAACCGGCGCGGCGCTGCCGGGCAACGCCGGCCGACTGTTCATTCTCTCTCTCTTTTTTTTTTTTTTTTTGAGACGGAGTCTCGCTTTCGCTCTGTGGCCCAGGCTGGAGTGCAATGGCGCGATCTCGGCTCACTGCAACCTCTGCCTCCCGGGTTCAAGCGATTCTCCTGCCTCAGCCTCCACAGTAGTTGGGATTACAGGTGCGCACCATCACGACCAATTTTTGTATTTTTAGTAGAGACGGGGTTTCGCCATGTTAGTCAGTCTGGTCTCGAACTCCTGAACTCAGTTGATCCACCCGCCTAGGCCTCCCAAAGTGTTGGGATTACAGGCGTGAGCCACCGCGCCCGGCCTGGACTGTTCATTCTCTTAAAGGAGCAGGAGCATTTTACAGCGCCGACCTCGGCCGGCCGCGTGGCGGAACTGAGGCGTTAGAGGGAAAGAAGAGGGTTCCTTCCCTGGCTCATGAAGGTTTAGGGGATTGGAGGCTGGGTTAGCCTTCTTGAGGAAGAGAAAAGATATAAGGCGGGAGCTCTGGGTATTTCAACTAGAGTGTTTGGAGATGTTAGTGCAATATTGATTGCACGTGTGCATAGGCATGCTTGTGGACCTGTATGCATGGGAGTAGGTGATAGAGATACAGGGCTAGCAAGGACTGGGTTTAGTTACCCACTCCGGAACCTTGACCTGTGACTTCCTCTGAGCCTCCTTCCTTCCTGAAATGGAGGTGATAACATCACCCACCCCTAGAATTGTGACCATCAAATCCGGTAAAGCACTTAGTACATAATAAGTGCTCCGTATAAAATAGGTTTAATTATGTTATTTAATAACTGGATTCTGTCCCTAACTCGCTGGGCTTTTTTTGTTTTGTTTGAGATGGAGTTTTGCTCTTTTTGCCCAGGCTGGAGTGCAATGGCATGATCTCGGCTCACGGCAACCTTTGCCTCCCATGTTCAAGTGATTCTCCTGCCTCAGCCTCCCGAGTAGCTGGGATTACAGGCACCCGCCACCATGCTGGGCTAATTTTGTATTTTTAGTAGGGACGAGGTTTCACCATGTTGGCCAGGCTGGTCTTGAACTCCTGACCTCCAGTAATCCACTCACCTCGGCCTCCTAAAGTGCTGGGATTACAGGCGTGACCCACCGCGCCCGGCCATTTTGTTGGTTTTTTTTGAGACAAGGTCTCATTCTGTTGCCCAGGCTAGAGTGCAGTGGTATGATCACAGCTCACTGCAGCCTCACTTCCTGAGCTCAAGCAATCCTCCCGCCTCAGCCTACCAACTAGCTGGGACTATAGGCACTGGCTAATTTTTTAATTTTTAATTTTTATTATTTTTTGTTTTTAGAGACGGGGGTCTCATTATGTTGCCCAGGCTGGTCTCGAACTCCTCCTGGGCTCACCCAATCTTCCTGCCTTGGCCTCCCAAAGTGCTGGGGTTGCAGGCGTGAGCCACAGCGTCCAGCTCCTCACTGGGTTTTGGAATACATAAGACGGTGTTTGTAAAGTACTTACTGCAGCCCGGTGCACTCAATACACAGCAGTCGTTGTATTACTAGAGGTGTTTTTATTATTGTTTCCTCCACTCTGTAAAGGATCACGTGATAAGGCACTAGCAGATGTGGTTGGAATCCTTGCTGTGCTGAATCCTGGCTGTGTGACCCCAAGTAAGTGCCTTGCCTTCTCTAACCCTCTGCTTCCTCTTCAGTGAAATGCATGATCCCTTATCCTTCACAATCACTTCCAGGTAAAGGTCCTGGGCGAGGGGTCCCCTCTCACTGGGCATGTCAGGTCAGTGCCCCGTGTCTGCCGCATGACTCACAGGGCTACGTTATGTAAAGCTCCTTGATTCTGCACAGAGGGCAGGTTATATAAACGTATTTAATGTGCATCCTACATATCAAGCCTGGGGAGGAGACCTGGCTTGGTAAGGCTGAGATTGCTAAACCATGGCACTGGCTGTTTCTGGGAAGTAGGGCCTATTAAAGCATGGGCCAAGGAGACGGTATTGTCTCCTTCAAAAGAAAATACATCTCTCCTGGGGCGGGGTGGGGGGTCTTTCTAGGCCCCCAAATAGCTTTTTGTCTTTCTCAGCCTCTGATGTGTGTTTATCTCTCTCTGCATTTTTTTTAAATTAATAAAAACTTTTTTTTAAATAAAGATGGGGTCTTACTATGCTGTCCAGGCTGGTCTCAAACTCCTGGGCTCAAGAGATCCTCCCATCTCCGCCTCTCAAAGTGCTGGGATTACTGGCGTGAGCAACTGTGCCCAGCCTCTCTCTTCTTTTTTTCTGAACCCTATCTCTGATCTCTCTGTCTCTGTCTCATCATCTCTATGTATCTCTGTCACTTTCTGCTTTTATTCCCGTGAGTCCCTTTCTGGGTCTCTGTCTCTGTTTGTGATTTTCCTTTATTACTTAACTCTCCCTCAGGTTGTTTCCAAACATTCTTAGGAGAAATCTGAGTAGCACCAAGCCCCTCGCAGCTGACTGCTGTGTGATGTTGGGGTGAGCTGTCTGCTCTCTGGGCCTTGACTCTTCTCTGTCTGTAAAATCAGATGCAGTAACTAGTACAAGCAGGCAGGGGTCCCAGTCACTGGGGAGTATTTTAAAGGTGGGTTCCTCCAGTTCCACACCCACAAGCTGTGGGTCAGAATCTCAGAGAAAGACGACCGGGCGCGATGGCTTATGCCTGTAATCCCAACACTTTGGGAGGCCGAGGTGGGTGGATCACCTGAGGTTAGGAGTTTGAGACCAGCATGGCCAGCATGGCGAAACCCCGTCTCTACTAAAAATACAAAAATTAGCCAGGCTTGGTGGCATACACCTGTAGTCCCAGCTACTTGGGAGACTGAGGCAGGAGAATCACTTGAACCTGGGAGGCAGAGGTTGCAGTGAACTGAGATTGTGCCACTGCACTCCAGCCTGGGTGACAGAGCAAGATACTATCTCAAAAAAAAAAAAAAATCTCAGAGAAAGAAGCCCAGAGAATTATGCTATGTGAGTTACTCCCCAGGTGATTCTGAGCAACCAGCCAGAATTGCCGACCTGGGGCTGGACACACCTGTCCAGAGGCCAGGTTCTCATGGTACATAATAGGTGAGGTCCTATGGAAACACACAGCCAGGGACAAGAGTCATTCTGCGGCAGTTAGAGGATCCTGAGTGTGGAGGCGTGAGAGAGACAGAGCTGGGTCAGAGTGAGACAAAGGTCAGAGATAGAGACAAGAAAAGAAAACAGAGAGATACAGAGACATAAAGAGATAGACGCCCGGCACAGTGGTTCACGCCTGTAATCCCATCACTTTGGGAGGCGGAGGCAGGTGGACCACCTGAGGTCAGGAGTTCAAGACCAGCCTGACCGACATGGTGAAACCCTGTCTCTACTAAAAATACAAAATTAGCTGGGTGTGGTGGCACGTGCCTGTAGTTCCAGCTACTCAGGAGGCTGAGGCAGGAGAATCGCTTGAACCTGAAAGGGAGACGTTGCAGTGAGCCTAGATCCCGCCACTGTACTCCAGCCTGGATGACAAGAGCAAATCTCTGTCTCAAAAAAAAAAAAAAAAAAAAAAGAAGCAAATCTGTGTTTTCTGCACACTGCCTGAAAATGCATTCCCAGAGCAGAAGGCCACATTTCCGTGTGTATGCGTGACTGTGTTTCACATGTTGCTGCACGTAGTGCTGGGGTGTGCCAGGCCTAGGCCGTGATTGGATGTGGGAGCCAGATGCTGGGCTGGGAGGTTCTGGGTGGACCCTCTGTGCCTGTGCCAACCTGCCTCTAAGCAAGTGTCCTGGGCCAGCATTCTCCCCATCTGGCTCCTACTTTCTTTTCTTTTCTTTTTTTTTAGACAGAGTCTCACCCTGTCACCCAGGCTGGAGTGCAATGGCGCGTTCTTGGCTCACTGCAACCTCCACCTCCCGGGTTCAAATGATTCTCCTGCCTCAGCCTCCTGAGTAGCTGAGATTACAGGCGCCTGCCACTGCGCTCAGCTAATTTTTGTATTTTTAGTAGAGATGAGGTTTCACCATGTTGGTCAGGCTGGTCTCGAATTCCTGACCTCGTGATCTGCCCGCCTTGGCCTCCCAAAGTTCCGGGATTACAGTTGTGAGCCACCTCTCCCGGCCCAGCTCCTACTTTCTACACCGGCTCCATGTGACTGATGAGGACATGGCTCCGGGAGTCCTGGGGCCCACATGGATGAGTACAGGTTTAGATGTAAATCTAGGCACTGAGAGTGTTATGTTCGGGTGTGTGGGCTTGGGAATAGCCGTCCCAATAGAGGGGTACCATCTTTGGAGCTAGACTGAGCCGTGAGACCTTAGGCAAGTTAAGCGACCTCTTTGGGCCTCAGTTTGCACATCTGTAAAATAGGGATGTTAACTTTTATGGGGATGTGGTGAGTACCACCTAACATAATGGAAAGTGCTGCCATCTACTGATGGCTTGCTATGAATGTGCTTGTCAGCAAATTTTGCCTCTCTTAACTCAAAGGCCTCCAGAATCGATCCCTACTACCTCCTAGTCCAAGTCACCATTGGACTCAACTGGACCATGACAGTGACTGGTCTCCCTGACTCCACACTTGTCCTCCAAAGTCTATTCCCCACCTACAACCCAAAGGACCCTGTTAAAATAAAAAACAAGCCAGGCGCGGTGGCTCACGCCTGTAATCCCAACACTTTGGGAGGCTGAGGTGGGCAAATCACCTGAGGTCAGGAGTTCGAGACCAGCCTGGCCAACATTGGGTTGAGTGAAACCTCATCTCTATAAAAATGCAAAAAAAAAATTAGCCAGGCGTGGTGGCACGAGCCTGTAATCCTAGCTACTTGGGAGGCTGAGGCAGGAGAATCGCTTGAACCCAGGAGGCGGAGGTTGCAGTGAGCCGAGACCACGCCATTGCACTCCAGCTTGGGCAGCAAGAAAGAAACTCTGTCTCAAAATAAATAAATAAATAAATTAATTAACAAATAAGAAACAGTTCACATCCCTCTTTTGCTCAAAACCCTCCCATAGCTCCTGACCCACTCTGTAAAAGACTTCACCTCAGCCCATCGGGCCCTGCGGGATCAGCCCTTAGTCTCTCTGACCTCTTCTGCTCCAGTGCCCTCCCCACGTTCTCTCTGTCCACCCACACTAGCTGCCTCCGTGTTCCTCCAACACACCAGACATGTCTTCACCTTACACCCTTTGCACTTGCTTAGGCCACATATCTGCATGGCTTCTCCCAAACCAACTTCTAGTCTTTGCTCAAACATCACCTTCTCATTTAGGCCTTCCCTGACCATCCCATTTAAAATAGCAACCCCCAACCCCCTGTCTCTGCTTTTCCCAGCACTTACTACTTTCCAAAGTACTATATAATTTGCTTAATTTGCTCATTTGTTCATTTATTGTTGGTCATCCCCCTTCCAATTTCCAAAGAGTAAGCTTCCAGAACAGAGAGCTTTGTCTTGTTCAATACTGCATTCTCACAGTCTTTACCAGTGCCTGGCGTATAGTAGATGCTCAATAAATACCTGTTGATTGGGGCAGGTGCCGTGGCTCACACCTCTAATCCCAGCACTTTGGGTGGCCAAGGTGGGTGGATCACTTGAGGTCAGGAGTTCAGACCAGCCTGGCCAACATGGTGAAACCGTGTCTCTACTAAAAATACAAGAAATAGCTGGGCGTGGAGGCACAGGCTTGTAATCCTAGCTACCTGGGAGGCTGAGGCAGGAGAATTGCTTGAACTCAGGAGGCGGAGGTTGCAGTGAGCCCAGATGGTACCATTGCACTCCAGCCTGGGCCACAGAGCGAAACTCCTCTCAGACAACAATAACAACAACAACAAAAAATCGGTTGAATGAATGAATGATGAGTGTACATGCCAGGAATTGTGCTACAAGCTCTGGGTCTGCGAATTCACTGAATCGTCAGAACAGCCTGATTTGCTAAGCGCTGCGTATTAATGTCCCCATTTTACAAATACAGAAACAGAGTCAGAGAGGGGAAGTCCCTCGAACTGAGTGCAAAGGTCCTGAGGACTAAAGATGGATTATTCTGCCATCAGGGGCGTCCCTGCCGGCCTCGGTGTTGCCCGTGTGTAACTGCATTATTTCTGTGCTTATTTCTGGGCCCCGTCCTTGTTCGATCTGTCGCGTGGTCTTTCCTTATATCTCTGCGCCCCGACAGTTCCCTGTTGCTTCGGCCTCCACGCATGTCTCCGAATTTCTTGCTCCGGGGCCCTGATCTCTGTATCTCCTCTTTGCTGCGCCTCAGTCTCCGGGTTTCTGCGCCCTGAGGCCTCTGGGGGCCAAGGCCGAGGGTTTGGCGCGCAGGCCTGGGTGCTCCGTCCCGGCCCGGTGGCCTCCTGACCGCCCAGCCTCATCTGGCGGCCCTGGGGCGGGGCGGGGCCTGTTGCCTGGAGACCAGTGTTTTGCCGCAGCAAACTGGGTCTCTGGGCCACCGCGGGGGGGCGGCCTGGGAACCCGCGCCGGGCGTGGGAGCGCGCCCGGGAGGGGCGCGGGCCGGCCTTGGGCCTAGGGGCGGGGAGGGGCTCCGGGGTGGGGGGCGAAGCGGCTGGCTGGGGGAGGGGGGGAAATGGGGAACAGGATTTGGGGAGATGAGGTAGGGACATGGGGCAGTTCGAGGAGACAGGAGGGAACTGCGGGAGGCTGGGATTAGGAGGACAAGAGAGTGTATTGGGGTCAGTTGGAGGGAAGCGGGTGAGTCGGGGGCTAGGGAGGGCTGGGAGATATTGAGGAAAGCTTGGGGGAGCCCGGGGAGGGGATTGGGAGGGCCTGGGCAGGATAGTGGGGGTAGTTGAGGGGGTGGGAAGAGGGGCCCGGTATGGATGAGTGAAGGAAGGACCGGGGACACTGGAAGTTTAGGGGATTCGGGAATTACAAGCGATGAGTGTGAGGGCAGAGAGTTTCGGGGGGCGTTGGGAAGGTGTGAAAGGACGGGGTACGGGGTGTAGAGGAGAGAGGTTTGCCGGTTCGGAGAAAGAACCGAACTGCAGGGCCACAGGAGGGTAGAGTTGGGAGGAGATAGGATCCCCAGGGAGAAGGAGGCTAAACCGGGCCGGAAACAAGGGTGAATCAGAAGAGGGGGAGCCCCTGCCACTTCCAGGTTCCTGCGGGAGGGGCCCTCCTTGCCCATTGTCCCCGGCCCGGCCAGGACATCCGGCGACTTCCCTCGGGACGCGACGACGGGTTGTGTAACCCTGCCCGGCCCGCCTGCTCCCGGGGGCGGGGCCTGAGTCTGGACTCCCGGGTTCCTCTCCGCCCCCATCCCAAGGGAGACGCCTGGGTCGGGATCCTGGGGGAGCGGCTCGTGACGTCACAAGTGGGCGGAGTCCACCAACGGCGCGAACCCGTTTTCTTACTCACTGGCGATCTGGGATCTGGGACCCAAGGTGGGGAGGGGTGTTCTTAGCGATCCCCTTGGTTGAAGCAGCCCAATGACCGCGAGGGTAAACTGAGTCCCAGACGGTGCTGACCCTTTTCATTCGATTCATTCATTCAGTAAGATGTATGGAGCGCCGGCTGTGTCCCAGTTACTGCCTTAGGTGATGGGGACACAGCAGTGACTGATCCTTGCAGCCCCTGGGCGGACCCCATCCCAAACTGAGTGTGACTGACTACAGCCATACCTCCTTGGAGCCTGGCCTCCTTCACTAGACAAATCAATAAGATGGACCCTCACATCCAGGCAGCTGGGAGACCCCTCCCTAGTGCAGAGGGCACCACACATCCCTCAGCTCCTGAGTCCCTGGTCTGTGTGTGACTGCATCTCCCCTTCCTCCCCCGATGGCCTGTCACTTCCTCTTATCTTCATCCCCCCCGCGGGGCATGACTAGGGATGCTGGTCTTAAGGCAGTTGGCAAATCACTCAGACGTCATAACTAAGCCGGCTGTGCTATCACCGAGATGTGTCCCTGAGATGTCATTAAGCAGCCTGCTTCTTCTATACATACCTCTGGGGTGCTGTGGGTCTGAGGAGGGGCCACGCCCTGCTGCTGGTGGTTCCTCAGCCTGCCAAACAGAGTTATCTACTTCCATCCAAGCCCTCCATCAGAAGGTTCTGGAAGATGCCTTCCTGGCTACCCTTAGTCTTCTTCCAGGCAGCCTTCCTTGACTCCCCACCCCTGTCACCCTCCCTGGGATTTGTATCCTGGCCTGAACCTTGCCTCTTTGATCTCATCCACTTCCTTGCCTCAACTTTGAAAAGCCTTCAGAACCGGGCCCTCAAAAGGACACATCCTTGCACCTCTCCAAGCCTCAGTTTTCCCATCTCTAAAATGGGCATAGCAATGGGGTCTGGCCTACTCACTGAGTGCTGAATGATTCCAGCCACTTCATTTCTGTGATGGGCTTTGCATAGGCCAGGGACATCGTGAGAGCTCAGTGAATCCTACTGGCCAAGATACATAAAAAATAGTTAATATTGAGAAGTGGGGATCAGAGTGGGAGGGAAATTTACTTTTCCAAGGTATACCCTTTTGTAGTTACCAAAACTTTTTTTCTTTTTCTTTTTTTTTTTTTTGAGACAGGGTCTCTGTTGCCCACGCTGGAGTGTAGTGGTGCCATCTCGGTTCACTGCAACCTCCACCTCCTGGGCTCAACCGATCCTCCCACCCACCTCAGCCTCCTGAGTAGGTGGGACCACAGGTGCATGCCACCACACTTGGCTAATTAAAAAAAATTTTTTTCCCAGAGATGAGATCTCACTATAATGTCGAGGCTGGTCTTGAACTCCTGGGCTCAAGCAATCCTCCCACCTCGGCCTCCCAAAGTGCTGGGTGGGATTACAGGCATGAGCCACCGCACCTGGCCTCTAAACAGTTTTCAAAATTAAAAAAAATAAAATAAAAAAAAAGTGCTGTGCACAGTGGCTCACACCTGTAATCCCAGCACTTTGGGAGGCCGAGGCAGGCGGATCATGAGGTCAGGAGATCGAGACCATCCTGGCTAACACTGTGAAACCCCGTCTCTACTAAAAATACAAAAAATTAGTTGGGCGTGGTGGCATGCGCCTGGCCTGTAGTCCCAGCTACTTGGGAGGCTGAGGCAGGAGAACCACTTGAACCCAGGAGGCAGAGGTTGCAGTGAGCCGAGATCCCGCCACTGCACTCCAGCCTGGGTGACAGAGCAAGACTCCGTCTCAGAAAAAAAAAAAAAAAATTAGGCTGGACGCAGTGGCTTACGCCTGTAATCCCGGCACTTTGGGAGGCCGAGGTGGGCGGATCACTTGAGGTCAGGAGTTTGAGACCAGCCTGGACAACATAGTAAAACCCCGTCTCTACAAAAAAATACAAAAATTAGCCAGGCTTGGTAGCAGGCGCCTGTAATCCCAGCTACTCGAAAATTTTAGAAGTTACTTAAAAATTACCATCTCTGCACTGACTCTGAAACTTATCTAGGTATCTTCCACCCACATTTCACCTCAGGGATGACCCCCCCGCCATCCACCCTGCTACCTGGGTGGAGACCTGGGCCTCAACTGGGTATCTCTCCCACCCACTGCAGGGTCAGGGCCAGGCCCAAGACCTTAGTCACTCATTCTGACCTCTGTCACCCTCAGGGAAGTCAGTGTGCTCCCTTTAAACCCCCAGAACATGCAGTGTAGGTCCTTGAGGCCTGACACTGATGCTTGGAGTGGGCACTGAGAATCTCAGGATATGGAAATGGGGAGGCCCTTAGATGATCTCAGTGCAAAGGGAAGACCTAGGCCCAGGGAACAGAGTTCTGACTGTTCCCAAGGCCTGGAGCTGTTGTGTCCAATCACTGACTTGCAAGGGAGGAAAGAATCTTAGTGGAGGCGGGCTCTGTAGCTCATGCCTGTCATTTCAGTGCCTTCCTAGGAGGAGGCCAGAGGATAGCTTGAGGCCAGGAGCTCAAGACCAGCCTGGACAAGGCGGGCAAGGCATGGAGACTCTGTCTCTACAAAAAAATGAAAAATTAGCCAGGTGTGCTGGTGCACACCTGTAGTCCCAGCTACTAGGAAGGCTGAGGTGGGAGGATCTCTTGAACCCAGGAGTTCAAGGCTGCAGTCAACTAAGATCCCAGCACTGCATTCCAGCATGGGCAACACTGCACTCCAGCCTGGGCGACAGAGCAAGGCCTTGTCTGAAATAAAAAATATTAGTGGAGGTGGGTAAATAAAGAAACGGCTCAAGGCTGAGCCCTAACTCTGGTGACACAGTGATCAAATTTGGTGACAAAGACGGTCATCCTTCCCCAGCCTGAGCCCCGACCCTGGTCACAGAATGAGCCGTGATGCTGGCCATGCCTCGCCTCAGCTCTGAAGACTAGGCCAGACTGAAGTGTCCCATGCTCCAACCCCCAGATCTAAGCCTACCCCTGCCCACAGTAGAAACAAACCAAGAAATCAGATCCTCACCCCCAGCCCTCAGCCCTCAGCCCGCAGGTCTCCTGACTCCCTGTGATCCTCTCGCCCTGCTCTGCCCCCATAAAGGTTGGCCTTGAGGACAGAGATGGTAAGGGGCAGATTCAGGACGACAGGAGATTGGCGATGAGGGTGGAGAGGGGAAATAGGGACAGGAGTAGGACAGGCTGGGGGATGCGGATGAGTACCAGTGGGGGACATCGCTGGGGGTGTAGGGGAGGGGGGAGTTATGATGAGGAATGGAGGTGAAGCTGAGGATGGGGGACAGGGGATGAGGATACAATGTGGGGGACGTAGGAAGGCAGCCAGGCTAGCGGCGGGGCGGGGTCGCAGTCGGGGGCGAGTGTGACCGCCAGGGCAGAGTGGGGGTGCGCTGGGGACAGCGGCGCCTGCTCGGCCGGGCTGCGCCCAGCACCGCTCCCCCCGCGCGCTCCCCCTTCCGCTCCCCGGAAGCGCTGAGTCGTCCTGCCTTATCTGGGGGCCGCTATTTCGGGCTCGGCTCGGAGCGCGGCAACTATTTTTAGCGGAGCTGGGGTAAAAATGGACGCGGCGCCGCGCGGGTTCCCGAGGCCGTGCGCGCCCCCTCGCGACCACTGAGGGCCCCGGGGAGGAGCGCGCGCCTGAGTCACAGCCGTCCCCCTACCCCGAGGCACGGCGAGGGGGCCTCGATCGGGGGCGCCCTGGACACCCCGCGTGCACACCCGCCTCCCGGGCTCCCGGGCGCCGGCGAGCCGGCAGGGCGCAGAATCTTCCAGGGGCGTCGGGACGCGTCCGCCGGGGTTCAGAGCCGACGGCGGAGTTTTGGGCAGGGGCGCCGCGCCCCCTGGTGGCCCCCGCAGGGATCGCAGGCAGGAGCTGGGCCTGAGTCCGTCTCAGCTTATCTATTCATTTATTTTTATTATGATTATGATTATTTCTTTGAGATAGAATCTCGCTATATTGCCCCAGGATTGTCTAGAACTCCTGGGCTCAAGCGATCCTGCTACCTCGGCCTCCCAAAGTGCTGGGATTAAAGGCCTGAGCCACTGCACCCGGCCTATTATTATTAACTACTATTATTATTTTTTTAAATCTGACCTCGTCGTCCACACCCATTTTATAAATGAGGAAACTGAGGTCCGGAGAGGAACTGGGTTGAGGCATTGCAGCATGAACCGCAATGTACCATCATTTCAACTTGAGCTTGGACACTTCCTAAATGGGGAATTCACTGCCTCCCAGAAAACGAGGCGCTATTTGTTTTTTTGTTTGTTTGTTTTTGTTTTTTGAGACAGAGTCTCGCTCTGTCGCCCAGGCTGGAGTGCAGTGGTGCGATCTCAGCTCACTGCAACCTACACCTCCTGGGTGCAAGAAATTCTCCTGCCTTAGCCTCCCGAGTAGCTGGGATTACAGGCATGCGCCACAACGGCTGGCTAATTTTGTATTTTTAGTAGAGATGGGGTTGGGAGAGGAAGAACAGAGAGATGCGGTTAAAAAATACCAAACTACAGTCAGATAAGAGGAATAACTTCGGGCCGGGCGCGGTGGTTCACACCTGTAATCCCAGCACTTCGGGAGGCCGAGTGGGGCGGATCACTTGAGGTCGGGATTTCGAGACCAGCCTGACCAACACGGAGAAACCCCGTCTCTACTAAAAATACAAAATTAGCCGGGCGTGGTGGCGCATGCCTATAATCCCAGTTACTTGGGAGGCTGAGGCAGGAGAATTGCTGGACCCAGGGAGGCGGAGGTCACGCTGAGCCGAGATCCAGCCATTGCACTCCAGCCTGGGCAAAAAGAACAAAACTCTGTCTTAAAAAATAATAATAATAATAAATAAAAATAATTAGCCGGGCGTGATAGTGCACACCTGTAGTCCCAGCTACTCAGAAGGCTGAGGTAGGAGGATCACAGGAGCATGGGAGGCAAAGGTTGCAGTGAGCCGAGATTGTGCCACTGCACTCCAGCCTGGGCGACAGAGTGAGACTGTCTTAAAATAAATAAATAAACAAACAAACAAACACATAAAAAATAAAATTACACATATGGATCCAGCAATCCCACTTCTGGGTGTATATTGCAAATAAATTGACATCAAGATGTCAGGGCCAGGTGCGGTGACTCACGCCTATAAATCCAGCAGTTTGGGAGGCCGAAGCAGGAGGATGGCTTGAGCCCAGGAGTTGGAGACTAATCTGGGCAATGTAGTGAGATGCCATCTCTACAAAAAGCACAATAATAAAAATAAAAAAAATCAGATGAGAGGCCGGGCACAGTGGCTCACGCCTGTAATCCCAGCACTTTGGGAGACGGAGGCGGGTGGATCACGAGGTCAGGAGATCGACACCATCCTGGCTGACACGGTGAAATCCCATCTCTACTAAAAATACAAAAAAAATTTAGCTGGGCGTGGTCTCACACGCCTGTAGTCCCAGCTACTCGGGAGGCGGAGGCAGGAGAATCACTTGAACCCAGGAGGCAGAGGTTGCAGTGAGCCGAGATTGTGCCACTGCACTCCAGCCTGGGCAGCAGAGCGAGACTCCGTCTCAAAAAAAAAAAAAATCAGATGAGAACACGTAGTGACAAAAAATAAAAAATAATATTTACAAATTTAAAAAATTTAAACTCTATTTTAGCAACTTTGAAATACACAATACATTAGTATTAACTGTGGTTACCATGCTGTGCAATAGATCACTGAAATATATTTCTCCAGTCTCGCTGAAACTTTGCACCCTTTGATCAACATCTTCTCTTTTCCCAACCCTCTCCCACTTCCCTGGACTCTAGTAGCCACCTTTATACTGTTTCTATGAGCTCGACTTTTTAAGATTCCATATAAAAGTGGGATCATGTGGTGTTTGTCTTTCTGTGTCTGGTTTATTTCACTTAGAATAATGTCCTCCAGTTCCATCCATGTTGTCTTGAATGGCAGAATTTCCTCCCTTTTCAAGGCTGTATAGTATTCCATCGTGTGTATATGCAACATTTGCTTTATCCATTATGTCCCTTGATGGACACTTAGGTTGACTCCATATCTTGGCTATTGTGACCAGTGCTGCAATGAACTTGAGAGTGTAGATAACCCTTCGACATCCTGATTTCAATTCCTTTGGAAATATAACCAGAGGTATATGAGTCTGCTAGATCCATATGTACGATTTTATTTTTACTTATTATATATATATATACACACACACATATATATTTTCTTTTTCTTTTTTGAGATGAAGTCTTGCTCCTGTCGCCCAGGCCGAAGTGCAGTGGCGTGATCAAGGCTCACTGCAACCTCTGCCTCCTGGGTTCAAGCGATTCTCCTCCCTCAGCCTCCTGAGTAGCTGGGATTACGGGCGTGTGTCACAACGCCTGGCTAATTTTGTATTTTTAGTGGAGATGGGGTTTCACCATGTTGGTCAGGCTGGTCTCGAACTCCTGACCTCAGGTGATTCACCCACCTTGGCCTCCCAAAGTGCTGGGATTACACGCGTGAGCCACTATGCCCGGCCCTTATTTTATATTTTAAAGTCTCACTATATTGGAATCCACTATATATGGAGTCTCACTGTATGGCCCAGGTTGATCTCCAACTCTTGGTCTCACGGGGTCCTCCCACCTCAGCTTTCCAAGGAGCTGGGATTACAAGTGCAGGCTACCATGCCTGGCTGTCACACATGTCGTTTTAAATGTTTAGGCCAGGGTGGCTCACACTCGTAATCTCAGCCCTTTGGGAGGCCAAGGCGGGCAGATTGCAATGTCAAGGCCAGGAGTTTGAGATCAGCGTAGGCAATAGAGCAAGACCCCGCCCCCCCGCTTCATCTCTACAAAACTATTTTTGTTTGTTTGTTTGTCTGAGACGGAGTCTCACTGTCACCCAGGCTGGAGTGCAGTGGCGTGATCTCGGCTCACTGCAAGCTCCGCCTCCTGGGTTCACGCCATTCTCCTGCCTCAGCCTCACGAGTAGCTGGGTCTACAGGCGCCCGCCACCATGCCCGGCTAATTTTTTGTATTTTTAGTAGAGACAGGGTTTCACCATGTTGACCAGGATAGTCTCGATCTCTTGACCTCGTGATCCGCCCGCCTCGGCCTCCCAAAGTGCTGGGATTACAGGCGTGAGCCACGGCGCCCGGCCGAATTTCTCTTGTTTTAAGTCACTGAATTGGGGATAATTTGTTATAGTAGCCGTTAAGAAACTAATGCAATCTGTTTGAGCTTCTGTCCCCTCCACGCTAACGGCAGAGTTTCTGAGGCTTTTAGAGAACATCTTTTCCAACCCTTCCACATAGGGAAGGAAACTGAGGCTCAGAGAGAGGATGGAGACTGAAGGAGACCTCAGGCTTCCCGCTCTTCATCCAGGCTCCGTGGGTCACTGTGGCAATTTACAGATATTTTTCCCGTTTTAAAAAAAATAGGCTGGGCACGGTGGCTCATGTCTGTAATCTCAGCACTTTGGGAGGATGAGGTGGGCAGATCAACTGAGGTCAGGAGTTCAAGACCAACCTGGCCACCATGGTGAAACCCCGTCTCTACTAAAAATACAAAAAATATTAGCCGGGCATGGTGGTACATGTCTGTACTCCCGGCTACTTGGGAGGCTGAGACTTGAGAGAATCGCTTGAATCCGGGAGGCAGAGGTTGCAGTGAGCCAAGATTGCGCCACTGCTCTCCACCCTGGGTGACAGAGTGAGACTCCATCTAAAAAAAAAAGTACAGAATGTGGACTGAACATGGAGGCTCACACCTGTAATCCCAACACTTTGGGAGTCCAAGGCAGGAGGATCCCTTGAGGCCAGCAGTTTGAGATCAGCAGCCTGGGCAACATAGCGAGACCCCATCTCTACACAAAAATAGCCAGCTCTGGCGGTGCACACCTATAGTCCCAGCTACTTGTGAGGCTGAGGTAGGAGGTTTGCTTGAGCCTAGGAGTTTGAGGCTGCAGTGAGCTGTGATCACCACACTGCACTCCAACCTGCGTAACAGAATAAAGGTCTCAAAACAAAAACAAAAAGGCCAGAATGTTTATTGAGTTTTCTTTTAAGGCTGAGACAGAGCACAAGGTTTGGTTGGAGTCCTAGTTTGTTTGTTTACCTGCTATGTGGCCTTGGATAAGAGTCTACCTTCCCTGTGCCTCAGTTTCTCCCTCTGTAAAATGGGCATGGTGAGATAAGTCATCTCAGAGGGTTGTAGTGTGGAGGGCTGCTGTGAGAATCAATGTTACTGTGCGGCATAGTCCTGGAAGTGTTTGAAATGCTGTAAAATGGGCCTGGCACAGTGGCTCATGCCTGTAATCCCAGCACTTTGGGAGGCCAAGGTGGATGGATCATGAAGTCAGGAGTCTGAGACCAGCCTGGCCAACATGGGGAAACCCCGTCTCTACTAAAAATACAAAAATTTGGCCAGGCACCATGGCTCATGCCTGTAATTGCAGCACTTTGGGAGGCTGAAGCAGGTGGATCACCTGAGGTCAGGAGTTTGAGACCAGCCCGACCAACGTGGAAAAACCCCATCTCTACTAAAAAAAAAAATACAAAAAATTAGCCGGGCGTGGTGGTGCATGCCTGTAATCCCAGCTACTCAGGAGGCTGAGACAGCAGAATCGCTTGAACCCAGGAGGCAGAGGTTGCAGTGAGCCAAGATCGCACTATTGCACTCCAGCCTGGGCAACAAGAGCGAAACTCTGTCTCAAAAAAAACAATAAAAATAAAAATAAAAAAATTTTTAAAAAAGGCCGGGTGTGGCAATGTTCGCCTGTAGTCCCAGCTGCTCGGGAGGCTGAGGCAGGAGAATTGCTTGAACCCGGGAGGCGAAGGTTGCAGTGAGCTGAGGTCGTACCACTGCACTCCAGCCTGGGTGACAGAGCAAGACTCAGTCTCGGAAAACAAAAGCAAAAACAAAAAAATGCTGTAAGACAAGAAAAATAAATGAGATGCAACGATTGGAAGGCAAGAGAGAAAACTGCCAGATAGATTCTCTTTTCTTTTTTTTGAGATAGGGCTTTACTCAGTTGCCCAGGCTGGAGTGCATTGTCATGATCATGGCCCTCTGCAGCCTTGACATTTTTGGGCTCAAGTGATCCTCCCACCTTAGCCTCCCGAGTACGTGGGACTACAGGCACATGCCACCAAGCCATGCGATTTTTTTTTTTTTTGTATTTTTTGGAGAGACACGGTGTTTCACCATGTTGCCCAGGCTGGTCTCAAACTCCTGGGCTCAAGCGATCTGCCAGCCTTAGCTTCCCAAAGTGCTGGGATTACAGGTGTGAGCCAGGGCACATGGACAGGTCTCTTCTTCTTCTTCCTCTTTTTTTTTTTTTTTTTTTTTGTGTGTGTGTGTGTGTGAGACATTCTTGCTGTTGGCCAGGCTGGAGTGCAGTGGCACAATCTCGGCTCACTGCAACCTCTGCCTCTCGGGTTCAAGTGATTCTCCTGCCTCAGCCTCCTCCCGAGTAGCTGGGACTACAGGCGCATGCCACCATGCCTGACTAATTTTTGTGTGCGTGTATTTTTAGTAGAGACGGGGTTTCACCATGTTAGCCAGGATGGTCTCGAACTCCTGACCTCACGTGATCCACCCACCTTGGCCTCCCAAAGTGCTGGGATTACAGGTGTGAGCCACTGTGCCCAGCCAGGTCTCTCCTTAAATGCTCCTTTGACAGAGAAACCTCCGCTACCCTCCCATCCACTCGTCCTCTCCTTCAAAGTTAAAATGATGTTCCACATTCTTGTCCTTCATGACACTAATCAGGTTTGTATGATTGTTAGTTCATTGATTCTTTTTTTTTTTTTTTTAAAGACAGAGTCTTGCTCTGTCACCCAGGCTGGTGTGCAGTGGTACAATTTCGGCTCACTGCAACCTCTGTCTCCCGGGTTCAAGCAATTCTCTGGCCTCAGCGTCCTAAGTAGCTGGGATTACATCCGTGCACCACCATGCCTGGCTAATTTGTTTGTTTTTGAGATGGACTCTCACTCTGTTACCCAGGCTGGAGTACAATGGCGCAATCTCGGCTCACTGCAACCTCCACCTCCCAGGTTCAAGCGATTCTCGTGCCTTGGCCTCCCAAGTAGCTGGGATTCCAGGCACATGCCACCACGCCTGGCTAATTTTTGTATTTTTAGTAGAGACGGGGTTTCACCATGTTGCCCAGGCTGGTCTTGAACTCCTGACCTCTGGTGATCCACCTGCCTTGGTCTCCCAAAGTGCTGGGATTACAGGCATGAGGCATTGTGCCCGGCTTAATTTTTGTAATTTTAGTAGAGACAGGGTTTCACCACGTTGCCCAGGCCGGTCTCAAACTCCTGACCTCAAGTGATCTGCCTGCCTTGTTCTCCCAAAGTGCTGGGATTACAGGTGTGAGCCACCGCACCCGGCCTAATCCATTTATTTATTTATTTATTTTGAGACAGAGTTTCATTCTTGTTGCCCAGGCTGGAGTGCAGTGGCGCGATCTCGGCTCACCGCAAACTCCGCCTCCCAGGTTCAAGCGATTCTCCTGCCTCAGCCTCCCGAGTAGGTGGGATTAGAGGCATGTGCCACCATGCCCGGCTAATTTTGTATTTTTAGTAGAGACAGGGTTTATCCATGTTGGTCAGGTCATGTTGGTCAGGCTGGTCTCGAACTCCCAACCTCACGTGATCCGCCCACCTCGGCCTCCCAAAGTGCTGGGAATACAGGCGTGAGCCACTCCACCTGGCCCCCTTACACTCCTAATTATTGAAGGCCTCTGCCTGGGCAACATAGCAAGACCCCGTCTCTACAAAAATAAATAAAAGCAGCCAGGAGTGGTGGCATGCACCTGTAGTCCTAGCTATTTGGGAGGCTGAGGTGGGAGGACTGCTTTAGCCCAGTTCAAAGCGTGCAGTGAGTTATGACTGCACCATTGAACTCCAGCCTGGGCAACAGAGTGAAACCCTGTCTAAAATTTAAAAAATGTATTGAGGACCCCAAAGAGTTTTTGTTGATGTGTATGATTTCTATCAATATTTACTGTAATGGAAATCAAAACTGAGAAATTTTAGAAATATTTGTTGATTCATTTAAAAGTAGCTGGGTGCAGTGGTGTAAACCTGTAATCCTAGCTACTTGGGAGGCTGGGGTGGAAGTATCGCTTGAGTTTGAGACCAGCCTGGGCAGCGCAACAAGACCCCCATCTCTAAAAATAACTAATAATAATAATAATAATAATAATAATAATAAATTAATTTTGTGTTGGCCAGGCGTGGTGGCTCATGCCTGTAATCCCAGCACTTTGGGAGGCCAAGGCGGGTGGATCATGAGGTCAGGAGATCGAGAGCAGCCTGGCTAACATGGTGAAACACCGTCACTACTAAAATATGAAAAATTAGCCCGGTGTGGCGGCACATGCCTGTAGTCCCAGCTACTCGGGAGGCTGAGGCAGGAGAATTGCTTGAACCCGGGAGGCGGAGGTTGCAGCGAGCCAAGATTGCGCCATTGCACTCCAGGCTGGGCGACAGAGCGAGATTCCATCTCAAAAAAATAAAAAAATAAAAAATTAATTGAATGTTAATGTAAGTTATATCTTTTACATGAAAATAACCATGTTTTCCAAAATAAAAAAAAATTTTTTTGAGGCAGGGTCTCAGTCTGTTGTCCAGGCTGGGGTGCCAGGGGTATAATTAAGACTCACTGCAGCCTCCACCTGCTAGGCTCAAGTGATCCTCCCACCTCAACCTCCCAAGCAGCTGAGAACGTAGGCACGCGCCACCAAGCACAGCTCATTTTAACATTTTTTGTAGAGATAGGGGTCTTCCTAAGTTGCCCAGGCTGGTTTTTTTTTTTTTTGAGATGGAGTTTCACTCTTGTTGCTCAGGCTGGAGTGCAATGGCATGATCTTGGCTCATTGCAGCCTCCACCTCCTGGGTTCAAGTGATTCTCCTGCCTTAGCCTCCCAAGTAGCTGGGATTACAGGCGTGTGCCACCACGCCCAGCTAATTTTTGTATTTTTAGTAGAGATGGGTTTCTCCGTGTTGGTCAGGCTGGTCTTGAATTCCTGACCTCAGGTGATCCACCGCCTCAGTCTCCCAAAGTGCTGGGATTACAGGCATGAGCCACTGCTCCCGGCCCTCCAGGCTGGTCTTGAACTCCTGGGCTTAAGCCATTCTCCCACCTTGACCTCCCAAAGTCCTGGAATTACAGGGATGTACCACCATGCACAGCCTGAAACAAAAACTTAGTGAGAGGAAGGGCATTGTTTTAATTTTTGCAAATCACTTTCACGTCAGGCTTAACAGAAGACAGCTGGGTCCTCACGTGTGTGTCTGCATTTGGTCTGTTGCAATATCATGGAAACTGCACTGGCTGATATGGTGAAACCCCGTTTCTACTAAAAATACAAAAAAATTAGCCGGGCATGGTGGTGCATGACTATAGTCTCAGCTACTTGGGAGGCTGAGGCGGGAGAATCGCTTGAACACGGGAGGTGGAGGTTGCAGTAAGCCAAGATCGTGCCACTGCACTCCAGCCTGGGGAAGGCTGAGACCCCACCCCCCAACTAAGTATTATTATTATGGTGTATCATATATTATGTCAATATTATTATGGTAATTTTTTTTTGAGACGAGGTCTTGCTCTGTTGCCCAGGCTGGAGTGCAGTGGCCCAATCTCAGCTCACTGCAAACTTCATCTCCCAATTCTCCCACCTCGGCCTCCCAAGTAGCTGGAATCACAGGCACCCACCACCATGCCCTGCTAATTTTTTGTATTTTTAGTAGAGTTGGGGTTTTGCCATGTTTGCCAGGCTGGTCTCAAACTCCTGACCTCACGTGATCCGCCTGATGCCTCAGCCTCCCAAAGTGCTGGGATTACAGGCATGAGCCACCGCGCCCCGCTTATGATAATAATTTTGTATTTGTAGACCCCCAAAGGGGTGCTGGGGAACCCCCTAAGGTTCTTTGGGCTGCAGGCTGAGACTCACTCCCTAGCTTTTGGTTCCACAGGACCCAGATGTATGTATGCTGGAAACCGAACACCTTTGGAGCCAAGGTGACCTAGGTTTAAGAGAAAGCTCTGAGTGCAAGCAGTGAGATCCAGTACTTTTAGCCCCTTTGGGCCTGGTGTCTTCATCTCTAACATAGGGATGGCGGTGATAATAATAATAAAAGTACATCCCTGCAGGGCTGCAGCGAGGCCCACAGGAGATAAGGCTCAGAATCATGCGTGCCGGTCACAGAGCATGCAATCAACATTTGCTATTATAACGGGAAATGTCATTTTATTTTATCACCAGCACCTTTTATTCATGCAGTTAATTTATCCCAAGGCCTGTCCTGTGCTGGGCAGCGCTGGGGACAAGGCGATGACTGAGATGGCCTTGACCCTGCCCTTATGGGGCTCCCAGTTCAGTGGGTCACGGAGTTTTTATTTGAGGAATTGCTCCGGCTGGACGCGGTGGCTCATGCCTGTAATCCCATCACTTTGGGAGGCCGAGGCGGGTGGATCACCTGAGGTCAGGAGTTCGAAACCAGCCTGGCCAACATGGTGAAACCCCATCTCTACTAAAAATAAAAAATTAGCTGGGTGTGGTGGCATGCGCCTGTAGTCCCAGCTACTCAGGAGGCTGAGGCAGGAGAATCACTTGAACCTGGGAGGCGGAAGTTGCAGTGAATCGTGATCATGCCACTGCACTACAGCCTGGGTGACAGAGCGAGACTCTGTCTCAAATAATAATAATGATAATAATAAAAATAAAGGAATTGCCCTGGGCACCAGGTCCTGGAGGTACATGAGTTCTCAAGGCTGAGAAGGCAAGGAAGAACATTCTAGGGAATGGGAACAGTATGCAAGAAATCGTGACAAGTGGAGAATGGCATGTGCTCTGGAATGGCAACTACCCAGGGTCCCTGAGTCCATTCCTTTGCCTCCAGAACATCCCAGTTCTCTTGCTGGTGAGAAACAAGTGTGTATATCTGGTTCACCTCCCCTCTTTCCGCCTTTCTCATTTTGTATAAATAGGTCCTCCATTCTGTCTTTATTTTTCTTTCCTTCTTTCTTTCTTTTTTTGAGATGGAGTTTCGCTGTTTTTGCCCAGACTGGAGTGCAGTGGCGCGATCTTGGCTCACTACAACCTCTGTCTCCCAGGTTCAAGCGATTCTCCTGCCTCAGCCTCCCGAGTAGCTGGGATTATAGGCATGAGCCACCACGCCTGGCTAATTTTGTGTTTTTAGTAGAGATGAGGTTTCATCATGCTGGCCAGGCTGGTCTCAATCTCCTGACCTCAGGTGATCTGCCCTCCTCGGCTTCTCAAAGTGCTGAGATTACAGGCGGGAGCCACCGCGCCCGGCCCAGTTCTGGGGTTTTTTGTGTGTGTGGAAGTCCCACTTCTGATCCAACCTCAGTCTCTCATGCTGCAGATCTTTCCTTTGCTGTACATCCATCCACAGCCTCTCCAGCGGAGACTTGGGATGTCCCACCAAAAAAGGTGCCCGGGAGGACGCGGAGTAGGGGCTAGGCGCCTCCACTGCCCCCCATCCGGGGGCCTCCGCTTGGGGCCGGGTGAGTCAGCCCCCGGCGGCTCCCGCGTCATCCCGGCCGCTCCGCTCCGCGCTATTTCGGGCTCCGGGCGCTATAAATAGAGGCTCGCCGAGCCGAGCCGCCCCCCTCCACTCGGGCCCCCCTGCGTCCCCGGCCCCGCCGCGATCGCCGGGCCGCGCGTCACCGCGGCTAAGTTTAGAGGCGGGCGGGGACGCCAGCCTGGTCACTGCGCCCCCCGGCGGTGCCCGCTTCCAGAGCCTTCGGCCGGGCTGCTCTCCGCCCCCCGTTCAGGTCCCCTTTGGCGGAATTGTCGGTGAGGGTCCCGTCCTTACAGTCTCCGTCCCCACCCCACCCGTTCCGGGGCGAACAAAGGGCTCGAAGTTGAGAGGAGGGGAAGGTTTGGGATGGGAGCAGGGGCCGTAGCTGGGGAGTGGCCCAAACTGGAGTTGCGGCTGAATTCTGGAACTTGGGGCGTTTGGAAGAAAGAGGCGGAATCGGAGCTTGGATACGGCTGGGGGATTCGAACGCGCAACTCTGGGAGCCGGGGAGATTCGAATCCGGGATTCCAAAGTTTAGTTTTGAAACAGCTTAGGCTGGGAGCAGTGGCTCACTACAGTAATCCCGACACTTTGGGAGGGCGAGAAGGGAGGATCGCTTGAGCCCAGGAGTTCGAGACCAGCCTGGGCTATAGTGAGACCCCACCCCCCCACCCCCACGCCTCTACAAAAAAAATACAAAAGTTGGCCAGGCGTGGTGGCGCGCGCCTGTGGTCCAGCTACTCGGTAAGCTGATGTGGGAGGATCATCTGAGCCCGGGAGGTTGAGGCTGCAGTGAGGTGTGATCGCACCACCGCACTCTAGTCTGGGTGACAGAGAGAGACTCCGTCTCAAAAAAAAAAAAAAAAAAGAAAGAAAGAAAGAAAAAGAAAAAAAGAAAAGAAACTGAGGGTAGAAATCCAACATCCAACTTGCCAACTTGGAAATAACGTAGAACCCAGGGCAATTTTTTCCCCTCGCTCTTAACTAACGTTAACCGATTCAGAATTCCACTGATCGCAGGCGGCGGGCCCTTTACCGCACTTCTGCTTCAAGGAAATGAATCGGGAGCGGGGAATGGGCCGCCTTCTAGGGGGTCCTGCCCCCGCTGGGTTCTGGCGGAGCAGAGAGGCCCCGGCTCCCCAACACTTCCAATCCTCTTGTGGTGCACCATCGCCCCCTTGCAGAAAACGCAGGAGTTGCAGGGTTAAGTCTGGCAATTCCATTCCCCAAGGGGATAACTGAGTCACAAGCCCTTCTACTTGGGATGACCTACTTCTAGAATCGCTGTATGGTCTTGGATACAGAGGCATATTTCATTTTTTCTTTTTTTCGTTTTTTGAGACGGAGTCTCGCTCTGTCGCCCAGGCTAGAGTGCAGTGGTGTAATCTCGGCTCACTGCAACCTCCGCCTCCTGGGTTCAAGCAATTCTCCGTCTCAGCCTCCCGAGTAGCTGGGATTACAGGCGTCCGCCACCACGCCCGGCTAATTTTTTTTTTGTATTTTTTAGTAGAGACAAGGTTTCATCATCTTGGCCAGGCTGGTTTTGAACTCCTGACCTCGTGATCCACCTTCCATCGGCCTCCCAAAGTGCCGAGATTACAGGCGTGAGCCACTGTGCCCGGCCTCCTGGGGGAAAATTATACCTAGTGATGAGACTATTAGACTGATTCTCCTTCCTTCCTACTAGGCGTGAGCCACCTCTCCTGGCCCCTATATCTTCTAACATTGCAAGAAACAATACTAAGAACCTAGGATTCTGGATTTCCTTTTTCTTTCCTTTCTTTTCTTTCGTTTTTTTGTTTGTTTGTTTGTTTTGTTTTGTTTGTTTTTGGTCTCACTCTGTCACCCAGGCTGGAGTGCAGTGGCACAATCGCAGCTCACTGCAGCCTCTGCCTCCTGGGCTCAAGCAATTCTCCCTCCTCAGCCTCCTGAGTATCTGGGACTACAGGTGCACACCAACACACATAGCTTTTTTTTTTTTTTTTTTTTTTTAGATGGAGTTTCGCTTTTGTCGCCCAGGCTGGAGTACAATTGCGTGATCTTGGCTCACTACAACTTCCACCTCCCGGGTTCAAGTGATTCTCCTGCCTCAGCTTTCCAAAGTGCTGGGATTACAGGCATGAGCTACCTTGCCCAGCCAATTTTTGTGTTTTTTTGTAGAGATGGGGTTTTGTCATGTTGCCCTGGCTGGTCTTGAACTCTGGAGCCCAAGCAATCTGCCCACCTTGGCCTCCTAAATTGTTGGGATTATAGGCATGAGCCACCGCACCCAGCCTAGAATTCTGGATTTCAATTGTTAGGGTGAAAAGAAAAAGGCATTTGAGGTAAGCAAGGTTCAGGACAATAAATCTGGGCAATAGATCAAGACCTTGTCTCAAAAAAAATTTTTTTTTTTTTTTTGAGATGGAGTTTCACTCTTGTTGCCCAGGCTGGAGTGCAATGGTGCGATCTCAGCTCACCGCAACCTTTGCCTCCAGGGTTCAAGCAATTCTCCTGCCTCAGCCTCCTGAGTAGCTGGGATTACAGGCATGTGCCACCATGCCCGGCTAATTTTTTTTTTTTTTTTTTTTTTTGAGACAGAGTCTGGCTCTGTCACCCAGGCTGGAGTCCAGTGGCACAATCTCGGCTCACTGCAGCCTCCGCCTCCCAGGTTCAAGCGATTCTTCTGCCTCAGCCTCCTGAGTAGCTGGGACTACAGGTGTGCGCTACCACGCCCAACTAATTTTAGTATTTTTAGTAAAGACGGGGTTTCACCATATTGGCCAGGCTGGTCTTGAACTCCTGACCTCGTGATCCGCCTGTCTCGGCCTCCCAAAGTGCTGGGATTACAGGTGTGAGCCACTGCACCGGGACTCTAATTTTGTATTTTTAATAGAGATAGGATTTCTCCATGTTGGTCAGGCTGGTCTCGAACTCCTGACCTCAGGTGATCCACCCGCCTAGGCCTCCCAAAGTGCTAGGATTACAGACATTAGCCACCATGCCCAGAAAAAAAAAATTAAGTAAAATGGGAAAATGTAGACACAGATAGACACCCATAGATGAAAGACTGATGTGAACAAAGAAACAGAGGGATGTCATGTACATGCAGGCAAGAATAAATAAAAAGATCAATGAACATAACAGAAATGTCAGAAATAGACGTGTGTGTATGGGAATTTGGTATGTGATAAAGGTAGAATTTCAGAACAGTGGAGAAAAGATCTACCTTTGGTCAACTTGAGACAATTGGTTACATCACTCATAAACAACGACCTCGGTGCACTTTCAAAAATAAATCTTGGCCAGGCACCGTGGCTCATGCTTGTAATCCCAGCACTTTGGGAGGCTGAGGTGGGCAGATCACTTGAGGTCAAGAGTTCGAGACCAGCAGGGCCAACATGGTGAAACTCCGTCTCTACTAAAAATACAAAAGTTAGCCTGTAATCCCAGCTACTTGGGAGGCTGAGGCAGGAGAACTGCTTGAATGTGGGTGGCGGAGGTTGCAGTGAGCCTAGATTGCTCCATTGCACTCCAGCCTAGGCAACAAGAGCAAAACTCCATCTCAAAAAATAATAAATAAATAAATAAATCTTACATAGATTAAAGCCAGATGACCTGCTCATTCTAGGTCATTACTGTTTGGGACCGTGTCTGTGTCCCTCACTGAACTGTAAGCTCTGGGAGGACAACACGGGGCTTTTATCTTTTACGTAGATAAAAGAAATGATAGAATATATCATTATAGCCGTGCACTGTAATCCCAGCACTTTGGGAGGTCACAAAGTGACCTCAGGATCAGCTGAGGTCAGGAGTTTGAGACCAGCCTGGCCAACATGGTGAAACCCCGTCTCTACTAAAAATACAAAAAAAAAAAAAAAAAAAAAAAATTAGCCGGGCATGGTGGCACATGCCTGTAATCCCAGCTACTAAGGAGGCAGGAGAATCGCTTGAACCCGGGAGGGGGAGGTGCAGTGAACTGAGATCGCGCCATTGCACTCCAGCCTGGGTAATAAGAGCGAAACTCCGTCTCGAAAAAAAAAAAAAAAAGAAAAAAAAGAATTTATCATTATGACCCTGGGTTATGGCAGGGCTCTTAACACACCAAAAGCAAAAGTCAGAACGGAACAGATTGATAAATAGTTGCGCATAAACACAAATAACTTCTGTGCCAAAAATAACTAAAGTTAAAGCCCAAAGTAGAAACTAGGAGGAAATGTTTGCAATATGGGTAACTAAGGATTAGAATCAGAATCCATAAAGTACCCCTAGAAATTAATAGTAATAAAAAAGCCATACAACCCATTTTAAAAATGGACAAGGAATATGAGCAAGCAATTCACAGAAGACAAAATTTACAAGACCAATACTTTCACAAAAAACATTCCATTTCCTTAGTAATCAGAGAGCTGCAAGTTAGAACAGTGTGATACTATCCTTTCAGGAAGTGACTAATACTAACTCATCAGCCAGGCCCCTGCTCAGATGTCCCTTCCTCCAGGAAGCCCTTCCGGACTCCGGGGCTGAGTCAGGCGCTCCCCCTGACCCCCATCCCACGGCTCTCCCGGGATCTCCCATCCCAGACCTGCCCATTCTGGGTCAGCACTGGGAACGTGTCTGTGTCCCTTACTGAACCGTAAGCTCCGGGAGGACAACACGGGGCTGTCGTTGGTCACTGCTGTGTCACCAGCACGGACTCGCACAGGACCGGGAAGAGAGGAAGCGCGTGGGGGGAATAGGTGTGGAATAAATGAATGAATGAGGAAACTGAAGCCAAGTCAATGTCTGAGTTGGATTCAAACTTAAGTCTCTCCTTACTGAGAGGAGGGACCAAGTTGGATCTCCTGCGATCTGTTCTCCACTGAGCCCTGCCAGGATTCTGGGCACACAGAAGCGCTCAGTAAGGGCTTTGAAACTTAACAGTTTGGGAGCCAGATCCTCAGGCCACATCTCTCTCCTCCCACGACCTCCGCGGTCCTCCAGAACCATAGAGAGTTGTACAGAGATCGCCCTGCTCTATGCTCTACTCTCCTGGGGAGCGGGGCCAGAGAGGCCGGAAGTGCTGCGAGCCCTGGGCCACGCTGGCCGTGCTGGCAGTGGGCCGCCTCGATCCCTCTGCAGTCTTTCCCTTGAGGCTCCAAGACCAGCAGGTGAGGCCTCGCGGCGCTGAAACCGTGAGGCCCGGACCACAGGTGCGGGAGGCGGAGACTGCGGGTGGAGATTGGCGCCGCGGAAGCCAATCATTGCCGAGTCTGAGAGATGGACAAGGCCAGGCGTGGGGAGGGCGTCCAGATGCTAGCCTCGGGGGCCGGACGAACGGAAGGCGGGGGATGGTGGGGACGGAGCCAATAGAATCCGGTGGGGGCGAGGGGCGGAGCGATGGGACTTGTGGACCTGTAAGGGGCGGGGCGAGCCGAAGGTGGAGGTCAAAGGGGCGTGGCGTTACAGAGCCTCTAGCGCTGGGTGTTGGGGACCTGACGCTATGGAGCTCTCGGAGTTTTGTGGGGGACGGCTGTGAGTGGGGGGTTCCTGCTGCGGGATGAGAACGTAGACGCCAGTGGCTCACTCGCTCCTGGCACCTTCCCTTTCAGGCTCCAGATGGACCCTGGGAAGGACAAAGAGGGGGTGCCCCAGCCCTCAGGGCCGCCAGCAAGGAAGAAATTTGTGATACCCCTCGACGAGGATGAGGTCCCTCCTGGAGTGGTAGGACAAGGAGATGCGGGGCCCCTGGGAGGCTGGGGGCTGTTAGGACGAAGAGGATAGGATGGGGCCTGTGGGACCAGGGTGTGGGTTAGTGGATTTGGGGGCCACGGACGACTTGGGGAAACAGTCCTTGGTCCTCCCCAGGTCCCAGTTTCCCCATCTGTGAAATGGATGGGTGGTTCTAAGAGAGGGCTAAGGCAGAGGCCAGACACTGGCATTCAGCAGGTAGCCCCTGATGTGTTTTACGAGGCCAGCACCCTGATTTTTCAAGACATGAATTTATTGCTCGTGTTTAAGAATCGCCAGGTTTTGCAATCTTAAAAAAATCTACACTTTAGACATATTTTGGTAAATGGAAGGACCTGGCAATATTGAAATCTCCTTCCCAAGGGAAAACAATCGACGGGTGATGAGCATTGGCTATGAAGAAAAGGAAAGTGGGCTAAGGATGTAGGGCATGATGGGGGAGAGGACCTTCCTACTCTATTTATTTATTTATTTATTTATTTTTTTGAGACAGAGTCTCGCTCTTTTGCCCAGGCTGGAGTGCACTGGCACCATCTCGGCTCACTGCAAC